>NC_000010.11:131597130-131946019 GCF_000001405.40 Homo sapiens | reverse complement strand
GAGACACCCAGGCTCTGGGCAGAAGTGACCCCGCTTCTCGGTGGTGCCAAAAGCACACTCACCCTACAGCCATAAGCCTGTGGGAAGCATGACCTCGAGTTCCACTTATTAGCAGCAGCCTCTGACACAGCCACACTCGGACGGCCCCAGCAAAGGAGGGCTCCCCAGTTGTGCAAAGGCACTTGGGGAACAGGAAGAACTCTCTAAGTCTTTGGAGTGTCTGAAGAACAAGTGGCTCTAAATGAGATGCTTTAAAAGACGCCAGGCGTGACCAGGTGCGGTGACTCACACCTGTAATCCCAGCACTTTGGGAGGCCGAGGTAGGGGGATCACCTGAGGTCAGACCAGTCTGGTCAACATGGTGAAACCCTGTCTGTACTAAAAATACAAAAACTAGCTGGGCATGGTGGCACCTGCCTGTGGTCCCAGCTACTCGGGAGGCCGAGGCAGAAGACTTGCTGGAACCCGGGAGGCGGAGCTTGCCGTGAGCCGAGACTGTGTCACTGCACCGCAGCCTGGGTGACAGAGCCAGACTCCATCTCAACAACAGACGCACTTACACTTGGAGTGTCTGTCGCACAGGGCCGAGGAGCGCATGTCACACAGGCGGATGGTCCCTTTGCTACTGCTGTAGACGAACACGTTGCACTGGTGCGGGTGGAACTCGGCTGCAGTGATGACTTCGGTCAGCTCCTCCATGTTAGCAGGCTTGATGTCCACGATGTCTGGGAGTGCATGGTTAAGGCACAGTGCTCAGCTCAGCTGGTTGTTAATTAGTCTACATTCAGTCACGCGAAATAGGACGCCAAATAATCCACGCAGTGAGGTTTAAGGGATTAGCTATTAAGAAGGCTGGTTACACATCCCGAATTCCAAAGGAGCGCCTGGTAAGGGGATTGGGATGAGCACACTCAGACTACAGCAACGCCCCGGCCCAGGGGGAGACACAGACAAGCGAACACCGCTTTCATCTTGCTGCTATTATTAATGTTATACAGAAAGCCCTTAATAGCAAGATAGTACATACTTAATCATATAAATAGGAAAACCAAGCTAGTACCATCTGTGCAAAATCCCACACTCCCACACAAAACTACAACACAAGAATGCCGCCAAATTCCAAAAGATGCTGCTCTTCCTGACATGAAGAGCTTATTCTGTGTAGCTAGAACAGATCCAACAGAAATCCTATACAGAAATCCTTCAACTGAAAAAAATAAGAAAGGGCAGAATTCAGCTGTGGGCCAATTCAGACTAGCAGTCCCAGTTTCACCCTTCAAGCTGAAACAACTAAGAAAACCAACATACGACATGGAACCCCAGCTCAAGCCACTGGACAGCAGAGGGAGGACGGCAGGGACCCTGGAGAGGCTGCAGACGAAGCAAGCCCCATGCTCCCGGCTGCTGGCTGGAAAGGGGCCCATGTGAGGAGGGCTGGGGCCACCCAGACTGTGCACAGCCACAGAAGAACACAGGTTCTAACTGGAAGCTGCTGCTCAGATGGGTGATTAAACACTGCTCTAACCTAAGCCAGTATTTTCTATTATTCATTAGCAAATTTAGAAAAAAAAAAAGAACACATAATGTTGGTTTTTCAAATGTAGCCTATTTAAAACTGCCTCTGATTAAACCAGGCAGGCAGTGGACTTCAGGTAATTCCCATTATACAGATAACTTTTTCCCAAAGGTAGAAAGAAATTTGTATTTTTAGGGACAAACATTTCAAATCACAGAGAACTTACATCACAGGCTGCTGTGCAGTGATGGTATTTACAAGACTAGACTCCGAGATACAGGTGTATAAAGGGACGAGAGAAATTACTATCTAAAGAGCACCCTCGGGAAGACGCCAGTGTCCCTCTGAGGAAGGATACTAAAGCTTCTATCTGTGATTTCTAAGTGCCATAAATTAATTCTCAGGTCATCTGCAGAAAGATATGTTTCATGATCACTATTTACTGAAATGGAATTTATATGATATGTGTGAGCATTTGCAAAAATTCGCCGTGGACTCGCTTCTACCATAAGATCCATGGGCTTCAATATTGGGACCTAAAAATGGAAGGAAATAGGAATTCAAAACAAAGATCACAGCAGCACATAATTAGAACACTTATAGTAGATAACGAAAGAGGACAAGTTTATATTCATGGCTAAGTAATAATTCTGTACAGGCAATACCCCCAAATAACCAATTAGCAGAGTTATGAAAATATGCTACAAAATGGAATACTGTCTATTCCAAGTCTTCCCCTTGCTTCCATTACCGAGGTCGACATGTTCCTGCTGAAGAGAAGATCAGCTGGCAGGGTAACAAACTGCCCAGGCACCGAGGCCTGCGGCTCCCTCTCCTGTGTGTCCTCCAGTGGCCACACTGAGGCGCTGGACAGCAAAGTCCTCCTGGGTGGCTCAGCTGCACCCCTCCCTTTGTCCTCTCCTTGCAGCTAGATGCACACACCTCTTCTCACTGCACTAGGACTATGCTTCTCGGTGCAAACCCCACAAACCTCCACTGGCTCCAGGTACTGGCAGGGTGCACAGCAGGGTGCTGGGGAGCTGAGGATATTCCATTTCTTGGTCTGGGGCTGGCTACATGGGCATGTGCACCCTACAAACATTCATGGAGCTGGTCACTTATAGGGCAGATGTCTTATCTGGAGGTATGTATTATATATTACACTTCACTTGAGGTTAAAACAAAAAGTAGAAGGTACCTCCCGCCCCCATCTCTGTGTTGAGTGCTGTGGTCAGGGAGGCTTCCTAGGGAAGCCCAATTCGCACAGAAATAGAAAGGACAGAGAGGAGTGGGCGCTGGCTGCAGGCCGCCTATGGTCAGAGGTGAGAGCTCAGGCGTGAGGAATAGCATCACACATGAAAAAAGGAAAAAGGCCTGTGTCTCACTAACATCCAGCTGGAAGAAAAACATAAGCTTTAAAATCAAAACAAAAAATTAATGATAGTATTTTTTGTTATTCTTGTAATTAGAAACCAAAAGGGAGAGCCTTGAAAGCTTAGGGGAAAAAGAAAAGCTCTCAACTGAGTCTTGTCTGGCTGAATTCTGTAAAAAACCAACTTGGAAAAGTGTGTGTAGGGAGGCTTCCCTCATTTTAACCCAGGTAGTGCTGACCACACCCTTGGATTCTCTAGAGCAAGAAGAGTCAGTTCTACCAAGTTCAGGCTTAAAAACACACACCTACCCCAATCCTCTAACAAATTTCCCATTAATCAAAACATATGATAGCTGCAATACTTACAAAGATTCCTTCTTTTATTGAAAACATTTTAATTTGCATATAAAATAATTTGCTTTCATTTTTAGAGATGGGGTCTGGCTATGTTGCCCAGGCTGGTCTTTGAACTCCTGGGCTCAAGTGATCCTCCCATCTCGGTCTCCCAAAGTGCTGGGATTACAGGTATGAGCCACCATACCTGGCCAAGATTTCTTCTTTTAATTATATCCCTTTTCTGGCACTAAAATAATTTAAGAGCAAAAATTTAAAAACAGCAACATGTCTGACTCTTACCCAGTTAGGCTCAGATACATAAATAGCCCACTCTGAACTGTTAGAGAGGTAAGATCTCAAATACCGACCTAAGTCAATGTACAGAATTACCTGTCTGTGGTCTCTTCCCCATGCACCAACTAATGAAATAACTAGACTTCTCACACACCTTCAGTAGGGCCACCAATTATACCCGTTTTATTTAGGCTAAACCTACAAAAGCAGCCTTGAATAAAACCAAGACTGGGCCTAGTAAAGGCCTACTGTTCTCCCAAAATGAGCACGTGAGCTGATGGGTTGTGGCAGGGTCTGATCAGGAGGAACAGGGGTTTCTGAGGGTGGGGTGTGCACAGGTAACTGGGTGGGAGGTGGTGTTGGCTGCAGAAGAGATGGACAAGGCTGGAGGGGGTCAAGTGCCCACCCTCGGGGGTCCCATCACACTTCTACTTTAGGATCAGCAGTTTCATGATGATGGAACTGCACAACTCGTGTTACTGTCACTAAAAGTGATTTACACTAATTCAGGGGTGCAAAGGCGGCAGCACTGTGTATCAGACATCACCAACATTTTGGATCAAAACATCTTGGTTCAAATTAGGACCCTATAAACTAGATTTTCAGCAAATGCCACAGCCTTTCTCGCTTTGATGAACTCATAGGAAATACGGTGACAACATCGATGTGAGAAGTCTGAGGACACTCCTCCTGAGGAATGCACAACCCCAGGTGTAGCCACCCCACACGGCAAAGCTGGAGAAATGGCATCAGAACAGACCCAACATCACTCCCAGAGGCACATGTGTTAGGGAAAGGCTTCTGCGGTACAGCGTCCTCTGTAGCACTCTCCAAGACTAATGTGGAATGGGCTCACTCACTCAGTCTTCACTTGATAAACAATAGTGTAAAAGGGGCTGAAATCTCATTAAAAACCAACCAAACCACCCAACTCAACCACCCACCCCCCGCAACCAAACCACCCAACCACCCAAACAACCAACGGTTTTCCAATCTAGTAACGGCACCCCCTTGGGACCAGGCAGAGTTTCCTTCCAGGGGACACACCTCTGCACAGGTGCTGGTTTCTCACCAAGACACACCTGGGCTCGAGCCCAGTTTGCCGGACACCCTTCACCATGTTCCATCTAATTTAAGACAACATCAGTGGTGCGTAGCACCAGGCCAATTATAAGACATTGAGGTTTTGAGTTTTAGCCGGTTTCATAAATGTTAAAATATGAAAAAATTTAGGCATCAGAATTGATGAAATATGATCATTTCATACTACCAACAATGGAGCAAATAATTTAACAATTAAAAAAGTAATGATGCTCATGGATGGACAGGTGGAGAGTTCTGAACCATCAGCATCTGCCTAAACCAACCCCAAAGAAATTCCCCGAGAAGCGTCCTGAATGTACCTGTGGCCCACAGCTCATCTTTCGACCTGCAACCTGTGCTACTGCACCTGTGAGGTGTTCTGAATTTCATCTGAACTCCAACCTCCCAGGTGCTGTTCTGAACCTTCTGAGAGAAGGGTGGTTGCTATGTCCACAAAGATTTCTGCTGTAGAATTAAATATGAGTTTTCCCCTTAGTATTGCTGTGTTTCCTAAGGACCACATGTGACTTTCTGCCTTTGTGAAAACAGGAGAAAGACCTTGCTTTTAAACACACACATGAGTGCAAACGACTTTCAGGAATCACGAGGCAGACCTCACAGCAGACCTCACAGTACTCCACCGCGCAGCACTCTCCAGACAGCAGACTGAAACGTTTATTCTTAACTTCTCAACAGCATTGGATAAAGCAAAGGCAACGTGTACCCGTAGCGCCGTGATCCTAAATGGGTCTCGAAGTCTTCCATCTTCGTCTTTCAGGTTATAACCTTCTGCTCTTTTATCCCGTTCACTTATTTTCCATAATTTTATAGTTTTATCTGAAAATAAAAACCTCATTCTCCATATGAAAAGAAAAACTATAACATGCATCACTACTGTTTGAGTACTGGTATTAGAAAGCGGTGTGGTCCTATATTGGGTTATAAGCTATGGGGTCTCTGAACATGAATATTTCCAATTGGAGGTGTTTTGTACAATAAAGAAAGATGTGCAGACGTGCAGAGTAACAGCATAATAAAGTGCACGTGTGGTTTTTGTTGCATACTTTGAATTTTCAACCTATCACTTGCTACCCTAGATAACTTACCCTCCCCCCAAAATTTAAAGCAGGAATAACTTCTAAAATAAAAAGGAATCTACACACACACAGAAAATTAAAAATAAAAAACTAAATCAAACAGCCACTTAGAACACAATTCTTACCATTTGTAGACAGTAGAAAATGAGCAGCATTCTGTTGTGGTAACCACCTAATTTTATTAATTTTTTCCTCAATTTCTAGACTTTTCAAATAGTCAAACTCCGGTTCATGACTTTGAAAGGTGCTGTAAACATTATATTCTCCCCTAGAATGAGGGCGGCTTTTATTCTGCAAGGAAACATGAGAGCTGTTTTAATGAACAAAGCACAGTGTAGAGAAAATTTCAGTACTATAAATTTGAATATCAAATGACCATACATATTTTTTAAAGCTAAAAAATCCTGGCTCAAAAAAATCTCAGATGAAACTCAGGGAAAAAAAAAAAAAAAAGAACGAACTTGATTTCCGACTCTTCGACTCCACTTCTAGGTATGCATCTGGAGCAGGTCTGCCGAATGCAGCCTTGCTGTATTTTCTGGAGCAGGTCTGTCAAATGCAGCCTGCCGTATTTTCTGAAGCAGGCCTGCCGAATGCAGCCTGCCGTATTTTCTGGAGCAGGTCTGCCGAATTCAGCCTGTCGAATGTAGCCTGCTGTGTTTTCTGGAGCAGGTCTGCTGAATGCAGCCTGCCGTATTTTCTGAAGCAGGTCTGCCAAACGCAGCCTGCCGTGTTCTCTGGAGCAGGTCTGCCAAATACAGCCTGCCGTATTTTCTGGAGCAGGTCTGCCGAATGCAGCCTGCCGTGTTTTCTGGAGCAGGTCTGCCGAATGCAGCCTGCCGTGTTTTCTGGAGCAGGTCTGCCGAATGCAGCCTGCCGTGTTTTCTGGAGCAGGTCTGCCGAATGCAGCCTGCCGTGTTTTCTGGAGCAGGTCTGCCGAATGCAGCCTGCCGTGTTTTCTGGAGCAGGTCTGCCGAATGCAGCCTGCCGTGTTTTCTGGAGCAGGTCTGCCGAATGCAGCCTGCCGTGTTTTCTGGAGCAGGTCTGCCGAATGCAGCCTGCCGTGTTTTCTGGAGCAGGTCTGCCGAATGCAGCCTGCCGTGTTTTCTGGAGCAGGTCTGCCGAATGCAGCCTGCCGTGTTTTCTGGAGCAGGTCTGCCGAATGCAGCCTGCCGTGTTTTCTGGAGCAGGTCTGCCGAATGCAGCCTGCCGTGTTTTCTGGAGCAGGTCTGCTGAATGCAGCCTGCCGTATTTAAGGCAAGTGTTAGTGGAACACAGTCAGGCCCATGTGTGCACATACTGTCTCTGGCTGCTTCTGCACCATCTGGGTAGAGGTGAGTGGTTGTGAAAAGGCCGCATGAGCTATAGAGGCAAAAATGTTTGCAATCTGGCCCTGGAGAGAAAGTGTCTGCTGAGTCTGCTCTAGAGGAGAGCCAGCACGGGCCTGAGGAGCGTGACACAGCGATGTGGCAGCTCCAACACAGTGGTAGTGAACCAGACGCCACACATATGCCAACCAGAGGCGAAGGGCAACAGTAAGCCACAGGGCCATGCAGGGACCACCACGAAGCCGCTGAGATAAATGAGCCAGCACAGACAACCGCACAGTGCTGCACAAGTGAAGCAGGCTGCACAGGTGCCCAGAGTGAGGTGCTGCTTACGTACGTACAGAACAAGTCTGTTACAGAAGTGGAGAAACATGCTTGGGAAGACATATGCCATCTTCAAAATCATGAGCAACTCTGGGAAGCTAGAGGGAGAGTGAAAAAGACCAGGAGGAAAGTAGCAGGCTGAAATGGGGAGGGGACAACAGGAGCTTCATCTGTATCCCGAGCATTCTCCTTCCTTTGATGAAGGGATAACCTCTGGGTGGTGGGTTTGCAGGTACATCTATATTAACCTCTGAATCTTCTGTATGCCCTAAGTGAAATTTTCTATTAAGTATTAAATATTTCATAATTCAAAATCAAGGACGCCAGTACTTTCATTCTTGCTCTATAACCAATATCTAATATCTTAGGTGTTTAACACTTTAGTACATATGCTAAAGGAATGGAACTAAACGAACTTTCAAGTCTAAACAGATGTTCCTTGATATTTCCAATCTGATCAAGTATCAGGAGAAGACATCCCAAGAAGCTACCCACACCCGCACTGCTGCAGAGTCCAATGTGCAGGGCATTCCTTCCACCGAAGCCTCCACGGGCAGAAGCTGAGCGCCTCGCCTGCCCCGCGTCGCTGCACTGAGTCTGACGTGCAGGGCATTCCTTCCACCGAAGCCTCCACGGGCAGGAGCTGAGTGCCTCGCCTGCCCCTGTCCGCCGCACTGAGTCTGACAGGCAGGGCATTCCTGCATTCCTTCAACCGAAGCCTCCACGGGCAGGAGCTGAGCGCCTTGCTGCTGACTGCCCCGCGTGTGCTGCACGGGGCAGATGTTGAAACTGTTCTCCTTTGACCCTCTCCTACCACTCTACAAAAAAGCACAGCCCCTCAACAGACAGTTCTATTTCAAGGGAGAAAAGTGGAACCAAATTATTTAAAAAGAAAAATCTGTATAACTAAATTAGTCCTATGCCCAAGACATTCATCTACCAAGAAAAAACAGCGGAATAGAAGCAAAAAAATAAAATGTCCAAGTCAAAGTGCTGCCTGCACTGCCCTGGCCTTTCTCCTAAGAGCCAGAACAAGAATGGTCCCTAGGCTGCAGGCTTGTCTCTCTGCCATGAACGGGTTCCAACTCCCATCCCAGTCACCCCAAACCCAAGCAACCCCTCAGCCTTCTCCAACACTCCCAGATCTCATGGAGTGCCGCTCTGCTAGGAGAGAATTCTAAAGGAAGCCTCATGGGGACACGGGCAGGAGAGCAGGGAAGTAACACACAGGAAGAGGAGGAAGCGAGCACCTTCTCTTTTTGGACGTGCTGATTTCTGATTTCACCTGATTCCTGGCGGCTAGAGCTGAGCCTGGAGGGCAGTGGGCCGCACAGCCACACCCATACGTTCTGTGGGCCTTAGTTTTATTGGCTGGGCTTTCCTGTAAGACTTAATCTGCACAGAAAAGTAAGAAAAGCTTGAAACTCAAGGTGCTGACTATGCTTCCCACCTCGTCTTCTGCACAGCCAGAGCTTCCCAACGGGCCTCTATGGACCTGACTCCTGAATCTCAGGCCCTGCACCTTCCACAATCTGGTGCTCACTCACTAGCCTTCCGAATCCTCCACGCTCCTTCGATTCTAAGACGCACACGTGGACGCCTGTGAACCTTGCTGCAGCTTCTAACTGGGAGCTGGGGTCGCTTGATGGGCAGCAGCTTCACCCTCTTGGCGGCTGCAACACCATCCGCGGCCTCCGGCCATGGATGAACACGTGCACTGCCGCCCTTACCCACAGACACACTCAAGTCCACAGGGAAGGGCACATGGGGCAACCAGCCGAATGCTCTAAAATGGATGGACCGTGAAAGCCTTTCAGACGTGAACCGAAATACGAAGAAAAAGAAAAAAGGCTGCCTGGGGTTTGTCAAGTTGCAGCTGGCTGAACAACTTCAGTAGGGACTTGCTCCTGTATAAATCTGTCACTCACATAACAACTTCATCTTAAAAAAGCACTTAACACTCTATAATACCCAATATCTTTTAGAACGAGATGCTTGACTTTTATCAGGGTTTGTTTTATATTTGAGACTATTATTATTTAGGTTAAGCAACGATTCACAAAAACAAGAGAAATTCCATTTTCTAACCTAAAATCTGTTAGGCAGGGATGAGGCATCTTCCCTAAGGCTATCGCTACAATGACAGACTTTTTAAATAAGCTAAAAGTGAAGTCTTGCATTAAGATAGCCATGACTCAACAATTTGTTAAAAAATCCTCCTGCTGGCCAGGCGTGGTGGCCCATGCCTGTAATCCCAGCACTTTGGGAGGCCGAGGTGGGCGGATCACCTGAGGTCAGGAGTTCAAGACCAACCTGGCCAACGGTGAAACCCCATCGCTACTAAAATACAAAAATTAGCTGGTCGTGGTGGTGCATGCCTGTAATCCCAGCGACTTGGGAGGCTGAGTCAGGGCGAACCACTTAAACCCGGGAGACAGAGGTTGCAGTGAGCCAAGATCACGCCATTGCACTCCAGCCCAGGTGACAGAGCAAGACTCCATCTCAAAAAAACAAAAACTCCTCCTGCTTTAAAAGTAACATTTAAACACCACAACCCACTTTTACTTCTGTTGAGAAAGGTAAGGTGTATGGTTCTTTTTTTTTTTGAGATGAAGTCTCACTCTTGTTGCCCAGGCTGGAGTGCAATGGCACGATCTTGGCTCACCGCAACCTCTGCCTCCTGGGTTCAAGCGATTCTCCTGCCTCAGCCTCCCAAGTAGCTGGGATTACAGGCATGTGCCACCACACCCGGCTAATTTTGTATTTTTCGTAGAGACAGGGTTTCTCCATGTTGGTCAGGCTAGTCTTGAACTTCCGACCTCAGGTGATCAGCCCACCTCGGCCTCCCAAATTGCTGGGATTACAGGCGTGAGCCACTGCGCCTGGCCAAGGTATATGGTTCTTAAGTAGCATTGTGTGATATTCTACTTCTGAGATAAAAATGCAAAATTATAAATGTATCAAACTGTGAAGAAATATTAACGATATACTTATTATTCACAAAAGGATTTCTTACCATCCCAAATCAGAGAAAACAGGATTTAAAAAAATCTTTAACTACCTGGACATAATCAAAATAAAGCTGCAACAGGTATGTTTTGATAATGAAATTGGTTAGCACCTGTCAATTTTCCTCATGTGGCCCAGGGACAGTCCTCCTCCAGGCTCCCCTTCCTGGGGGGCAGGGCCAGCACTTCCTGTGTACAGATCTGCAGAGAGGGGAACCAGGGCCCACCAACCTCTAAACCAAAGTTCGTCACACAAATTTAGAGACCAGACTTTGGAGATGATAAACTGTCCCTTTCATCTGTTAGGAAACTCAGAGACAGGAAGGGCAAGGGACTGTATTTATAAGGAAAAGGCAGGACAAATATTTCAGACCCCAGGCTTAGCTGCACAGAGCCAGGGTTCTTGCCAGGAATCCTTGACTACCAAATCATGATCTTGCTTCCTTTATCACTGCTCATTAGGACCTCTGAGGAGGCTCAACAGAAAGAAGAGGGAGGGGGCTGGCAAGGCATCAGTGAAAAGGCAGTGCCGTGACCGGGAAGCCAGTGCTTGCTTATGAGCTGTGGGCTCCTCCAAGGCCCACACTCTGAAGGTTCCCTTCCCTCCAGACAGGTGAAGCCTTCAAGGGGGCATGGAGGAGTGAGTGCTGCTCACCTCTCCCTGAAGGGAAGAGAGAATTCACACCCCTGCCAGACTTCTCTGCAGGAAGTGCTGAGAAAGCTGCTCACACTTCATGGCAGGGCAGGACGGCGGGGCTGGGCCAGTACCTGCATAGGCGTATAAAGGGATTTTCAGAGAGAGCCGCGTGAGTTCTTATGGAATGAAAGCACATAAATGCACCTCACCACCACCCTGCATCCTTCATGGGGTCCCCAGCGGAATCTCCTCCCTACTCTGAAGACAAAGGCCTTGGAGACTTCACCGGGGCTCAGCAGCTGAGGCCAGAACTTAGATAATTTCTGAAAGGAGATTCTGTATGGCTAATGTGATGGAACTGAATCTTAATGAAATGAGACAATGAGAAAATAATTTTGCTTCCTCCCTTCTAAGTTATATGCGAAAGGTTGAATAATTGCATTTGATTTGTGGACTGAAAATTACTGACCTCTTGTTCACGCTGAAAAATAACAACTCTGCCGCCCTTGTCTCCTGTTGCAAGAAGATCTCCAGAGTAATTAAACTCAACGGTGGAAATGATGTCCGCTGTCAACAAAATACAGAAGCGATTTACCGGATGCGGTTTTGGGGAGGAGTCACAATACCAAAAAATTAATAAAAAAGAGCAAAAGGACGATAAACATATACAACTTTCTCCGAGACTAAAGCAAAACTGTCTTGGCAAACTTGTAATTACCAAGTGGCCACTTATTGGTTCTGGTGCAGAGAACCTGCCGGCACAGGTGAATGGGCGAGTTTTACTCCACCCCCATGCCTGGGCCCCTGGAGCACCAGGATTTATCTAGACTAGGTTGTCTTGATAAAAGGATAAAGGGTAGAAATTTAGAAAATTCATCTGTAAAAGAAAAAAATAGAGGAAAAAAATGGGTCCTGAAGAATGTTGCCTAATTTTATAATGCATACCTAATGTTAACTTTTAAAATAAATCTGATTCTTATATAATAGTAATAAAAATGTTGTTAATATTCTATGCAATAACTTTTGTTGGCTTCTGTACAATGTAATATTCTAGACAGTAGAAGTTCCATGTCATTGTCTGGATACAGTTACCACCACTGATAATGATGACATCATTACCAAGTGAGACAACTGTCAGGGAGGCCTTGAGATCTCTGACAGCATAACAAAGACCCCAGACACCAGCTCAACAGAGGCCAAGACCCCGGGGCAGAAGGAACACCACCACTAAGCAGTGAGAAAGTCCTCAGGTGTCCTGAGGCTAACCCTTCGGGTTGGGAAGGGAGTGTCTGGATTTATGACCAACTATTAAATTAAAAAAAAAAAATCCCAGGTCTGTGACTTGGACAAAGATTTTCTGTTTTCAGGGGGAGTTCCATGACAGACTCTGGAGGAGGCTGGCTTCTCCGCAGTGCTGCTGTGTCGCGTGCGGACTGAGGATAAGGCCTGGCGTGGCCTCCCGAGGGGCCATCAGAGCTTGTCCTATGGCCACAGTGGGACTCCTCGCCTTACCCTGCAGTGTGGGGGAGTCTCAGGAACAGCTAGAACACTACAAGCTCGCCTCCCTGCTGGGCACCAACTCAAGGGCTCGCAGTGACCTGGGCACACCCAGGGCCCACGGTACGTTTATAGTAGGAAGTAAAAAAACAACTAAATGGCTATTGTAAACAACCTACTAAGAAGAAATGGGCCCTAAAGCTGAAGTGACTCAAACAGCTCCCTCCAAAAGTGGCTAGAATGCAATTCTGACAGGTCTGCAAAGGCGTTTTAATCGTGTTAGTGAAGGATTTCCACCAACATCTACACAGCAAGCTCCCGCGGCTGGCACTGTTCGCTGGCCTCACACGGGAATCCCTGGCCTGGGAGTTCTTTCTTTTCAAAATCTTCAGACTTTGGAAGAAGGATTAGGTTGTTTCTTAGAAGCGTCACTATTAAATTACTGAAAATAACCTAACTTGCTTAAATGAAACTAAAATATTATGTATTGGATTAAAAAGGTCTAAATCTATGTCATTTATACCCAGAGGGTGTATAAAATTACATAATTAATTGTATTCTAGCTCTGTCAGTGATTTTCAAACTTAATTATAATGGACTGAGTCTTTTAAAAGAGAAACTCCTGTAACTGTCGGTGCTGGGAAGTTTCATTAAGCTACACAAACACGCGTGAACCTAAAATTAGAAACACTGCAGTGCTCAATCTCTAAACCCAAACTAAATACACAAAATTACAAAACCAACAACGTTTAAATTATCAACATCAAATTAATCTGATGGAGACAGTTTTTAAAAACCAGACTGATGCTGAAGGCATAAATATGGTACTAAAGGCACCAAGTTAGGTTTTTTTTGTGTGTTTTTTTTTTTTTTTTTTTTTTGAGACAGGCTGGAGTACAGTGGCGCGATCTTGGCTCACCGCAACCTCCATCTCCAGGGTGCAAGTGATTCTCATGTCTCAGCCTCCTGCGTCGCCGGGATTACAGGCGTGCACCACCACACCCAGCTAATTTTTGTATTTTTAGTAGAGACAGGGTTTTGCCATGTTGACCAGAATTGTCTCGAATTCCTGGCCTCACGTCATCAGCCCGCTTCAGTCTCAAGTGATCAACTTGCCTCAGCTTCCCAAAGTGAGTTAGGTATTTTAAACTACCATAAACTTCACCATGGCTGCGTTCTGCCTCCATTTCCCTGCTGGGGTAGGGGAGTGCTTCTGCCCACGGTACAGCCTGGCACCTCCTGGCCATCCCATGGAGACATCGGGTCTCTTCTCAGCCAGACAGGCCCCACTGCCATGTCACACTCCACCTGCCGTGGCACTGCTGCCAGCTGGCTGTCTGGCTGTGCAATCCTCATTCAACATCCGGGTCCCATCAAATCCGCAAAGTGTCCGCAGCCACCCCGAGTCCTCTCAGACCTCCCGCCGAACATGGTGGGCCATGCGTGTGTGTTCATCTCCTTTACCCTCCCACCCCCGCCCAGGTGTCAGAAGAAAGCAGAAAAAGCATCTATGTGAGCAGCTTTAACAAACGTGGGGGCAGCAAGGGGCTGGCACAGAGATGCAGAAAGTCTTCACAGAGCTGCTTGGTCCCCAGGTCGCCCCCCATTCACCCTGCCAGGTGGGAGCACACAGTTTCTTGTTCCTCAGACACTGGCTACCGGCCGCCATCCCCAGGGGTGCCCTCCGAAATACTCCAGCCCTGGGGAAAGGGCCTCAATATTCAAACATTTGGGTTTTACAAGGACATGGCCAACCACAGTGAAGCTGCCAGCTGAAAAGCCCAGGCCCACAGAAACAGCAGCCTCGCTACACTCAGAAATAGAAACCAACAGCCACGACCTGCAGAGCCTCAAGAAGTCACCAAAACAAAGATGGGTGGGGCCAGGCGCAGTGGCTCATGCCTGTAATCCCAGCACTTTGGGAGGCCAAGGCGGGTGGATCACCTGAGGTCAGGAGTTCGAGACCAGCCTGGCCAACATGGCAAAGCCCCATCTCTACTAAAAATACAAAAATCAGCTAGGCATGGTGGTGTGTATCTATAATCACAGCTACTCGGGAGGCTGAGGCAGGAGAATCGCTTGAACCAGGGAGGTGGGGATTGCAGGAAGCTGAGATCACGCCACTGCACTCCAGCCTGGGCAACAAAGCAAGATTCCATCTCAGTAAAAAATAACAAAAAAACAAAAACAAGGATGGAATCTGAACAAAGAGAGACGGGAAAGCCCGAATCATGTTCTGGAGATCTGCTGACTACTACCAGCCGCTACAGTACCAGGGTTTGGCTGAATGCTTACTAGGAGCCAGGTGCTATCCTAACCACGCACAAGCCCTGTACTAACGTAGCCAGGCCTCTAAGAGCCCCAGGAAGCAGGGCTATCATCATCCCCGCCTGATGGAGGGGAGAGGAGAGGGATGCTGGACGTGGGACCCTGCGTGCTCAAGGTAGCAAGCCCCTGCGGGTGAGTGGGGCAGGACACCTGGGCTGGTCTCAGCCAGGACACCCAGTGGGGCCCCCAGGAGAGGAAGAATATGCTAAAGAAGGAAAGAGGAGGAGAAAGTGCCATGTGAAATCCAAAGGGCAACAGTAATCATCAAAACCTTCAGATCTCCTCCAAAGGGCAGAGTGGAAAGAAAGACATGGATGACAGGAAGGATAAGACAATCAGAGGATCAGTTTCGGTGGCCCACCTCCCAGCTGACGAGTTCTAGAAACACAACAGAGAAAGCAAGGCAGAAGCATCCAAGGCCCCGTTCCCAGGCTCAGAGGCCCCGCATGGCTGATGGCAGACCCAGGCCGCGCACATCTCAACACCAGGGATAAAAAGGAGATTCTAAAAATTTCCAGAGCAAATGAACAGGTCACATGCGGAGAGGAAGGGAGTCAGATGGCATCACACAGGTTGCAGGAAACATGGTGGATGAAACCTCAAACTACCCTCAAAATTCTGGGAGAAAACAATTTTCAACCTGAAATGCTAGACCTAGTCAAGTTTTCAATCAAATCTGAGGGAGCAGTAAAAATGTTTTCGAATATGCAAAGAGCCAAAACAAACAAATGCTTTCTCAGGAAACTGCTGCGAGAGGCAATTTGGCAAAATGAGAGAAAAAGCCAAGAGAAGGAAGATGGCAGATCTGACTTCCAAAAAATGGTGAGGAGAATCTCAGGACATGAGCCAGGCGGCCAGCAGGCCTCAGAGTGGCCGTTCAGGCCAGGGAGACTGGTCTGGGGACAAGAAGAGCTGAGAGCTGATCTGATGTGTTGGTATTTGATAGACCTGTTGAAGTGTTTGCTAAAAAAAAAAATGCACTAAAGACACAGATAACTAAGCATATGAGAAAATCAGGCAATCATTAGACCTAGGAAAGTGAAAACTTGTGTGAAAAAGAAAAGGCACAGTTCAGTAATACACAATATTTACCTGTTAACGGAATACTATGTAACAAAAACTTGCAATAGATCTCTTTCAACCTCTTTTTTTGTGGGGAGTGGGGATACACGTGGGCTGAAGGTGGTATCAGTAAAAGGCGGAATCATCGGTTGCCATACAGGAGGTTGGCACTGACGGTTCGAAACCACGGAATGAAAAGTGAGCAGTCCCAGCACAGGAGTTACAACCGGGGCGGCCTCAGGTGGCAAGAGAGGAGGGGCAGGTGACGAGGAATGAGGTCCCAGGTTTAAAGGACATTCGGGTGCTATGAGGAAGCAGACTAAGGAGCTGTGGATGGGGAAGGGGAAACGGAGTCAGTGGGATCTGTAAAACATGCCCTAGAAGTCAGGACCATGTGCCCCAGGGAGAGTCAGCTGCCGGTGGTGGCGGGGAGGGAGGCACGGAGCACAGCCGGGAGCTGCTGTGAGAATGGAGCGGGCAGGTGTGGCGGGCAGAGCACAGCCCCTCAGGCTGCACTGTTTCCACGAGGCATGAGGGAGGGTCACCTGCTAGGAGTGAAAGAGAGGACACGGGCGATGTGGAGAGCCTATGGCGGAAGTCCCCTCAGAAGAGAGAAGAGTGACGAGTCTTGAGAAATGCAGGCCTGCCTCCCAGTATCCACGCCCACTTCACACCTGAGGCCAGCAGCTTATCTTTTTAAGCTGCTCCTACATCTGAGTGGCTCTAAACCAAGCACTGCGTGGGTGGCCTCAAGACAACACAAAGCCCGTCTTCACACGGCTTACGCTTTAGTGAACGAAACACTAAGGGCAACACCAGACCACCCAGCACAGTTCCCACGATGGCATTTCCAGCCTGCCCATTCCCATGATAACATTTCCAGCCTGCCCAGTGGCTGGGAGGAGGCAGAGGCTCAGAGGATCAGGAGGGGGCGCCTGAGCAGGGCCACTCTGCGGGAAGCACAGGAGACAGAAATCCAAGGGGGTGCCTGAAACCAAGATTTCCGAGGTAGTACAGGGGGCAATGACAAGGCCGTCTGGGGTCATCAGCCTTCAGGAGATCCAGAAACTGCATCTGGAGAGAAACACAACGAAGGCAGACAAACAACTCCAGGCGTGAGTTCTGGGGTTGAGGACAGAGGCGCCTGTTGTATTATTATTCTACTTTTCTTTTATACGTACATCATTTCTAACTACTTCCTTTAACTGGTATGTCAAATATGAATGCATCAGATCAGCTCTCAGCTCTTCTTGTCCCGAGAGACAATGTCTCCTGACCCGTCTGACCCGTCTCCCCTGCCTGGACGGCCATTTGGAGGCCTGCTGGCTGCATGGCTCATATCCTGAGACTTTTCCTAACTTAATAGTTTTTGAAAACCCACTAGGTTTTTCAAAACAAAATAAAAATGTGACTATTTCACTTCTCTACTTCTCTGGATCTTCACTGCCGCCAGCCTCCGCCCACGGCACCCACCACCTCTGCTGGAGGGTTGCCGCAGCCTTCAAGGGGTTCCCCCATTTCCTCTCCTAAGCCTCAGAGCCCAATGTCCAGAAAGCAGCGGGAGGAAGCTCTTGAAAAGCATAAAGATAACATTACCAGCCTGAAAAAACCCTGTCAATACCCAAGTACCACAATCAGTCTATTACCAAAAAAGATACAGTACTTAAAACGCATCACCTAAAATTACTGAGTCATTGTCAAAACAAAAGGGATCCCTGACAGACATGATGTGAAAGTTTCCCGCAGGTCCTCTTCGGCTAGTTCTGGAGTGGGTCATTTAAACACACTTCCTGGCACATAACCACAGACCAGGTGCTGCTCGCGAGGCCACTGCCCCTTCCTGATGGTCTCCACCTGGCCACCAGGAACTGAGGTGGCCTAGCAGCCCAGGAGGTGGTTATAAGGAAAACTAGCGCCCTACCGGAGGCACTAGCAAATCGGACCCTAGGCTAGTAGGCAGATGAACTGGTGTCCACCCTCCCTAGCTGTCAGGGAAGGGTCAGTACAAGCCACCCTGCAATGTCACACTCACACACCAGCTGAAATGAGACTGACTTTTCCAGGTATCCACGGCAGCTCTCGTAGACAGCTCCTGGAGCAAACATGGGTACAGCAACTCTGAAAACCATCGGACAATATCCACTAAGGTGAAACATGCATATCCCGTGACCCAGAAACTCCACTCCAGACACACAGCCCCCAGAACTACATATGTGCATCACTGAACCACTTACGAGAATGTTCACAGCACGTTCACAAAAGAATCAACTCAAATGTCCGTCAAGAGTAGAAAAGATGCATAAACTGTGGCATATTCATACAACAGAACATCACACAGCAATGAAAACAAATGACCATCGCGTAACACCCCAGGTTAGTTACAGAAAGCCAAACACTGCAGAGGACTTAGGGTGCAATTCCACTTATACCACATTCAAGAACGGGGTGTCCGATGTGCGATGCCAGCTGGGGTAGGAGCTGCCCCGGAGGGAGGGAGGGCCTGGCGTCCTGGCAACGTGCTCCTAGTGGGGCTGGGTATTTACTGGGGGTCTTTGCTGGGCGACAGTCAGTACTGCATATCTGGGACCTGTGCCCTCTGCAGGTATTCCATTCTGCAGCAAACATCATCCCGCTGACTTCAGGCCCAAGCAGCTATCCGTCTTCACTCGGACTCTCACCGCCGCCAAGCTCTGGGCCTCCTGTACTCCAACCCGCGCACCCGTCCGACCCGCGCACCCGCCCTCTCTGAAGGCTCCATTCATCCTCTTAGTCTGAAACTTGCAATCCCTGACAGCAGCTTCTCCCAGGCCCTCTCCATGGGGGCTCTCTGTTGTCTCACACCCCACTCCCCGGGGGGAGAGTTTCTCCTTCCTTCATTTGATGCTCCCAGACCACGGCTCCTCCCTCCTCAAAATGACTGTCTCACACCTCTCCTCTCCCCTCAAACTTCCAGCACCCCAGCCACTCACCCCACTTCCCATTAATGAATCTGCTTATTTCATGAAAAACAGAAGAACCCAAAAGAGAACAGCCATAATCTCCCCGTCAAAGACACCCCCTGCAGTGGAAGAAGCCACTGCTTCCAGCAGAGACCACCTGGAGCGGGATGACCCAAGCTAGGCAGCTCTTTGGACTCGTGGTCACCACACCCTCTCCTCCCAGTCCTTCATGAACTCGCTGTAGCCAGCGCTCTGCTACCCTGACTCGGCAAGTTCACCCATTTCAACGCACCCCTACTCTGGCAACGAGTTCGTTTCCTACCATTACCCACCCAATCACTTCTCTCCTCTACACGCTGGGCAGAGGCAAGGTGCCGGGCAAGGCCATTTGTTTCCTGCTCTGCGGCACCTGGCAGAGCTGTGTGCATACTGCAGGGACTCAAACGATGACACACAACAGTCAAAAAACACATCCAGCCAGAGAGTTTTTGGAAATCACAACTCCTTCACATAAAACTTCTCTGAGAAGAATTTAGTACATATGCAGAAAGAGGAGTAGAGCTGCCCTCCAAGGAGGCAGAGTTTACCGAGGCTGCCAGGCGGTGAGCTCAGCAACAGGGCACTCTGGATACGACAAACTGACAGACAAGAAAAGTGGGAAATTGTCTACCTTTTTTAATGTTTTGTGGAGCCAGGGTCTCACTATGTTGTCCAGGCTGGTCACGAACTCCTGGGCTCAAGCGATCCTCCTGCCTCAGCCTCCCAGAGTACTGAATTACACGCGTGAGCCACTGCGCTCAGCTGGAAGTAAGAAATTTTCTACAAGCAGACACAGATGCACACGCACACACATATACACACGTTTCTGTGTCTTTTCAAAGAAGCTCACCCAAAGGCAAAAAGTCCATTCTGTTCAAAAACCAGACATAAACTAATAGAAGTGAATTATAAGCCTCTACCATATATTAAAAAAATGGAAAACTATTTATGTCCGAGACCCAGTAAGACTCTAGAGACACTATAATCTAAAAGCATCCAAAATTGAGTTTATCCGAATTACTGATAGAGGCAGGAGACAGCCAAATGCAATACACAGGCAAACAGGGAAAGGTCCCAAGGGAATCTCTGCCCCGCCCAGGTCATTGTGCATGGGGTGGGGGAAGTCGCCTAAACATGCCCACATTGAAAAATCCCGTCCCTTAACACATGCCCAGTAAGGGAAATAAATCAACATGGAGTGGCTCAGACTAAGGGCCTGTGTGTGCGCTGAAAAACGGGGCGGAGCCACTAGGAATATGCACCTTATGCTGGGGAGGGGCCTGGCTTCTTCAACCTCTGCGTGGTGGCCTCGTATTCAATTTGTGAGGGGGAAACCTGCTTGGAGAATCCCTATCTTTGCTGAGAGCTTTCCTTTTGCTTAATAAATTCTGCCTCCTCACCCTTCAATGTATCCGCATGCCTAATTTTTCCTGGTTGCAAGACAAGAAGCTGAATTTAGCTGAACTAAGGAGCAAAAAAAATCTTGCATCATTATGACTAGACTGGATAAAATGTGACAAAATAGAAAATTCTGCATACTACTTTCTAGTCACTTAAGCACTAAAAAAAAGTTTGTGGCAAATTATTCTAAAATACAGAAGTCAGAAAGAACTAAAAATTTCTCTGCTACAGGAACAAACAATATTTTTGAAATATGAGAAGTATACCATATCCTAGGAATGCAAGGTTGGTTTAACATACAAAAACAAATCAATGTAATACACCATACTAATAACATTAAAGGACAAAGACCACATGGTCATCTCAATAAATGCAGATAAAGCATTTAACAAATCCAACACCTTTTCATGATAAAAACACTCAACCAACTAAGAATAAAATGCAACTTCCTCAACTTGACAAAGAGTACCTAAAAAACCACAGCTAACATCACACTTCATGATGAGTCTGAAGGCTTTTCCCCTAAAAGCAGGAACAAGACAAGGATGTTTGATTTGCTAACTTCTAGTAAACATTCTACTGGAAATTCTAGCTGGGGCAGTTAAGCAAAGAAAATAAATAAAAGGCATCCAGATTAAAAAGGAGTAACATATCTCTATTCACAGATGGCATTATATTGTATACAGGAAATCCTAAGGAATCCACAAACACAAAACCTATCAGAGATAATAAACAGGTTCAGCAAGGACACAGGATGCAAGGCCAATAAAGTCAACTGCATTTCTACACCTAGCAATGAAAAATTCAGAAATAAAAGCAAGAAAACAACTCTGTTTACAATATCATCAAAAAGAATAAATACTTAGGAATAAATTTAATCAAAGAATGACAAGATTTGTACATTGAAAACTGCAAAATATTGTAAAAAAAAAAATTAAAGACCTGAATATACAGAAAGTTATCCTGTGTCACGATTGGAAAACTTAAGAAAGTATCTCCAAAGTGTTCTACAATAGTCAAGGTATTAACCCTATGAAAATCCCAGCTGCCTTTTTTTTTTTTTGCAAAAATTGCCAAACTAATTCTAGAATCATATGGAAGTGCAAGGGACTCAGAATAGCCAAAATGATCTTTAAAAAGAGCAGAGGAGGAAGACTGACACTTCCTGATTTCAAACCTTACCATAAAGCTATAGTAACCAAGACAGTATGGTATTGGCATGAGGACAGACATATAGACCAATGGATCAGAGGTCAGAGTCTAGAAGGACACTTACGGTCAACTGATTTTCAACAAGTGTACCAGGACAATTAATGGTAAAAGAATACTATTTCAACAATGATGCCAGGACATCTAAATATCCACATGCAAAAGAAAAAAGCTGAACCCTTAACACCACATATAAAAATTATATATAAATGTAATTAACTGCACATAAATTCTATATATAATTATATATAAACATGGATCAGAGACCTAAATGTAAGAGCTAAATGAATAAATCTTCACAATCTTGGATTAGACAGTGGTCTCTTACATATAATACCAAAAGCACAAACTTCTGAAAGAAAAAAATAAGGTGGACACCATCAAAATTAAAAATTCTTGTGCATCTAAGGACACCATCAAGAGACTGAAAACACAACTCATGGAATGGGAGGAATTGTTTGCAAATTATGTATCTGATAAGGGACTTGTATCCAGAATACCTGAAGAACTCTTACAACAATAAAAAGAAAGGCCCGGGCACGGTGGCTAACACTGTAACCCCAGGAATTCAAGACCAGCCTGGGCAACACAGCAAGACCCAATCTCTATCAAAAATTTTTTAAAAGTTAGCCGGCTGTGGTGGTGTGTATCTGCAGTCCCAGCTACTTGGGAGGCTGAGGCAGGAGAATCGCTTGAGCCCAGGAGTTAACAGTGAGCTATGACAGCACCACTGCACTCTAGCCTGGGTGACAGAGCAAGACCCTGTCTCTAAAATAAATAAAATAAAAAGACAAGCCAATTGAAAATGTAATTTTCCAAAAATATATATATATAAATGTCCAAATAAGCACAGGAAATGCTCAACACCATTAATCACTAGGGAAATACAAATCAAAACCACCAGATACCAGTTCACAACTATTAGGATGGCTAAAATTAGACAGACAATAACAAGCGTAGGTGAAGAAAAACTGTTCATACATTGACGGCGGGATTACAAAATGTTGCAGCCACCTTGGGAAACTGTTTGGCAGTTCCACAAATACATTAAACACAGTTGCCATATGACCAAGCTCCATTCCCAGGAATATACCCAAGAGCACAGAAAACACATGTCTATACAAAAACATGTACAAGAATGTCCACAGGTGCATTTGAAAGAGCCAAAAACTAGGAACAACCCATCAACTAACGGATAAACAAAAATGGAAAACTGTTTGACCAGGAAAGGAGGGAGGACTGACGCATGCTGCAGGATATGCCTTGACCGGCATCACGCTGGGGAGAAGCAGCCGGGGAGCAGAGGGACACGTGGGCCATGACTCCATTTACATGACACGTGAACAGGCAAATCCACAGAAACAAAGTAATCAGTGGTTACCAGAGGGCAGAGGGTGGAGGGAATGGGAGGGACTGCTAGTGGGTTTCTTTTAGGGGTGATGGAAAGGTTCTAGAATTATCCAATTCAGATGGCCACAAAACTGAATATTCACCCGCACACTTCACAAAGGATGAGCTCTGTGCTCAATGAATTACAGCTCAAAAGCTGTTGTAAGTAAAACTACCCCATAAAAACAAATGGATCAAGTCACTAAAAGGGCCTCACAACTTGCAACCATTCTCAAATACACTCTAAAAGTAGACTAAATTATTCCAAGTTTTAAAAATAACCAACAAACAAAAATCTGATATAAATTTGTTTTCCACAAATTACTAAATTCATTTTCCTATTTAAACCTAAAGGGACTTTGTTTTCTTTTTGGCTACTTTCCAATTTTTTTTAAGAAAAAAATTGACAGATAATGGCCGGGCGCAGTAGCTCATGCCTGTAATCCCAGCACTTTGAGAGGCCGAGGCAGGCGGATCACGAGGTCAGGAGTTCAAGACCAGCCTGGCCAACATAGAGAAACTCTACTAAAAATATAAAAAATTATCCAAGTGTGGTGGTGTGCACCTGTAATCCCAGCTACTCGGGGGACTGAGGCAGGAGAATCGTGTGCACCTGGGAGGCAGAGGCTGCAGTGAGCTGAGATCAAGCCACTGCACTCCAGCCCGGGTGACAGTGTGAGATTCTGTCTCAAAAAAAAAAAAAAAACAATTGACAGATAAGTATGTATCATGTACAACATGATGTCTAAAGTATACATACATTGTGGAACAATTAAATTTAGCTAATTAACAAATGTATTAGCCCACATAACTCCTTTTTGTGATGAGGAATACTTAACATTCACTCTTTTTATTTCTCAAGAATACATCAGCATTAACAATAGTTACCTTACTGTAAATACGGCCACTTTAGTTCTCACAGTCATAGACATACGTAAATGACATGAGAGAGAAACGGTCAATCTTTTATTGTGTTTTACTCGGAAAATTAGTATTTGCATCATGCTGTGATCGTTAAGTCTTGCTTTGTCTAACAAATTTCAGAAGACTTCAGAATTTGGGAACCATATTAAACCACTGCCGTTGAAGTCTATGAGAGGTAGGGCCACTCTTTTCAAGGAAAATCTGATTTACTGAGAATATTCCAGGCTATTTCCCTCATGCCATGCTGAAAAATGAGAACGTCTTTATCCAAAAACAAAAGGCTGTCTGACTGAATATATTAACCTTTCTCTCAAACATATTAAGCAAACTGAATTACTCCTAGGCAATTTTATGCTCAATTTCATGCTTAGAAGTTCTTTTTGCAAATAACTATGTGAGCCATGGTAGACTCTGATTTACAGGCAAATCAAAAGCGCTTTATAACCACCAACGACAGGCCAGGGGCTCTGACACAATCACCAACATAGTCACTTTGGAAAATTAAAAATACACTCTCCCCAACTGAGCAAAAATGGATTCCAGCCCACCTCCGCACACTGCAGCCAGTGAGTTCTATTTTTTAAACTCAAATCCAACCATGCTGTTTTGAATCCTCACTGCCCTTAGTAAAGACCAAAATGCTCATCTTACTCCCTTTGCTTTCACACCCCATTGCCCCAGCCTGTTCTTCTCCCATGTCAAGTCCTCCCACCCTCTCTCCCCTTTGCAGGCTCCTCCCATCCCCCATCCCGGTCCAGGCCCATCCCTCATTTGCATCTGAGCTCAAGGGTTCCTTGTTCAGGGAAGCCTTTTGACTCCCAGAGCCCTCATCAAATGGCAACGGATGAACTCTTAACTGCCGAAGCCTTAGGACCCTGGGTGCGTGGGGCAGCGCCTTTACTCATGGTGCCTTCTCAACTGCACCTGCAAAGTGAGGCTGGGACATTCCCCCGGTCACTCCCTGCACGTCAGCAAAGCCTCTCTGGCCTCTCCCCCGTGGCAGATCTAGACATGCAACAACAAATACAACTATCTTTAAGTATTTCAGAGTCAGTCAAACTAGCAAGAAGGCAGTGACAAGTATTTCCCTTGCCTATACAGAAACGATCATCACTCTGAGAGCTGGTATCAAAAGGGGAAAAGCACATCTCAAACTTTAGGAAATGATCCTTGAACCTAGCCCATCATATTAGCAAAACAAAGCTGCTAATGTTTCTCTCCCAATAACTTGTTCCTGAAATTCATCTTCTATTAACATTTATTAGAAACACACACAACCCTGAGATTCCTGTTTCACTTTTTGTAAAGACAGGGTCTCGCTATGTTGCCCAGGCTGGAGCACAGTGGCGCAATCTTGGCCCACTGCAACCTCCTCCACCTCCCGGGTTCAAGTGATTCTCCTGCCTCAGCCTCCTGAGTAGCTGAGATTACAGGTATGCACCACTGTGCCCAGCAAATTTTTGTATTTTTAGTAGCAACGGGGTTTCACCATGTTGGCCACGCTGATCTCCCAACTCCTGACCTCAGGTGATCCACTCACCTCAGCCTCCCAAAGTGCTGGGATTACAGGCGTGAGATACTGTGCCCAGCAATAATTTTTTAAATAAACAAAAGTAGGTTAGAAACGTACCTCCTACATCAAAAATCCACATCTAATTCTGCCAAAAAAAGGAATGAAATTCTGACATATGCTACAATATGGCTGAGCCTTTGAAACATCATGTGTAGTGAAATATGCCAGACACAAGTGGACAAACACTATGTCATTATGTCCTTCCACCCACGTGAGGTCCCCACAAACACTGTGTCATTCCACCCGCGTGAGGTCCCTACACTGTGTCACTCCACCCACGTGAGGTCCCTACACTGTGTCATTCCACCTGCCTGAGGTCCCTACACTGTGTCACTCCACCCGCGTGAGGTCCCTACACTGTGTCATTCCACCTGTGTGAGGTCCCTACACTGTGTCATTCCACCCACGTCAGGTCCCTACAAACACTGTGTCATTCCACCCGCGTGAGGTCCCTATACTGTGTCATTCCACCCACGTCAGGTCCCTACAAACACTGTGTCATTCCACCCACGTGAGGTCCCTACACTGTGTAATTCCACCCGCGTGAGGTCCCTACAAACACTGTCATTCCACCCGTGTGAGATCCCTACAAACACTGTGTCATTCCACCCGCCTGAGGTCCCTACACTGTGTCATCCCACCCGACTGAGGTCCCTACAAACACTGTGTCATTCCACCCGCCTGAGGACCCTACAAACACTGTGTCATTCCACCCGTGTGAGGTCCCTACAAACACTGTGTCATTCCACCCGCCTGAGGTCCCTACACTGCGTCATCCCACCTGAATGAGGTCCCTACAAACACTGTGTCATTCCACCCACCTGAGGTCCCTACAAACACTGTCACTCCACCCGCCTGAGGTCCCTACACTGTGTCATTCCACCCACGTGAGGTCCCTACACTCTGTCATTCCACCCACGTGAGGTCCCTACGAACACTGTGTCATTCCACCGGCCTGAGGTCCCTATAAACACTGTCATTCCACCCGCGTGAGGTCCCTACACTGTGTCATCCTACCCGCCTGAGGTCCCTACAAACACTGTGTCATTCCACCCGCCTGAGGTCCCTACAAACACTGTCATTCCACCCACGTGAGATCCCTACATTGTGTCATTCCACCCGCCTGAGGTCCCTACAAACACTGTGTCATTCCACCCACCTGAGGTCCGTACAAACACTGTGTCATTCCACCCACGCGAGATCCCTACACTGTGTCATTCCACCCGCCTGAGGTCCCTACAAAGACTGTGTCATTCCACCTGCCTGAGGTCCCTACAAACGCTGTGCCATTCCACCCACGTGAGGTCCCTACACTGTCATTCCACCCGCCTGAGGTCCCTACAAAGACTGTGTCATTCCACCTGCCTGAGGTCCCTACAAACGCTGTGCCATTCCACCCACGTGAGGTCCCTACACTGTCATTCCACCCGCCTGAGGTCCCTACACTGTGTCATTCCGCCCGCCTGAGGTCGCTACAAGCACTGTGTCATTCCACCCACGTGAGATCCCTACACTGTGTCATTCCACCCGCCTGAGGTCCCTACACTGTCATTCCAGCCGCCTGACGTCCCTACAAACACTGTGTCACTCCACCCGCCTGAGGTCCCTACACTGTGTCATCCCGCTCGCCTGAGGTCCCTACAAACACTGTGTCATTCCACCCGCCTGAGGTCCCTACAAACACTGTGTCATTCCACCCGCCTGAGGTCCCTACACTGTGTCATTCCATCCGCCTGAGGTCCCTACAAACGCTGTGCCATTCCACCCATGTGAGGTCCCTACACTGTGTCATTCCACCCGCCTGAGGTCCCTACACTGTGTCATTCCACCCCCGTGAGGTCCCCACACTGTGTCATTCCACCCGCGTGAGGTCCCTACAAACACTGTGTCATTCCACCCGTGTGAGGTCCCTACAAACACTGTGTCATTCCACCCGCCTGAGGTCCCTACAAACACTGTCATTCCACCCGCGTGAGGTCCCTACACTGTGTCATCCTACCCGCCTGAGGTCCCTACAAACACTGTGTCATTCCACCTGCCTGAGGTCCCTACAAACACTGTCACTCCACCCGCGTTAGGTCCCTACAAACACTGTGTCATTCCACCCACGTGAGATCCCTACACTGTGTCATTCCACCGGCCTGAGGTCCCTACAAACACTGTCATTCCACCCGCCTGAGGTCCCTACAAACACTGTGTCACTCCACCCGTGTGAGGTCCCTAAAAACACTGTGTCATTCCACCCATGTGAGATCCCTACATTGTGTCATTCCACCCGCCTGAGGTCCCTACAAACACTGTGTCATTCCACCCGCCTGAGGTCCCTACAAACACTGTGTCATTCCACCCACGTGAGATCCCTACACCGTGTCATTCCACCCGCCTGAGGTCCCTACAAACACTGTGTCATTCCACCTGCCTGAGGTCCCTACAAACACTGTGTCATTCCACCTGCCTGAGGTCCCTACAAACGCTGTGCCATTCCACCCACGTGAGGTCCCTACACTGTGTCATTCCATCCGCCTGAGGTCCCTACAAACACTGACATTCCACCCGCCTGAGGTCCCTACAAACACTGTGTCACTCCACCCGCCTGAGGTCCCTACAAACACTGTGTCATCCCACCCGCCTGAGGTCCCTACACTGTGTCATTCCACCCACGTGAGGTCCCTGCAAACACTGTGTCATTCCACCCGTGTGAGGTCCCTACAAACACTGTGTCATTCCACCCGCCTGAGGTCCCTACACTGTGTCATTCCACCCACGTGAGGTCCCTGCAAACACTGTGTCATTCCACCCGTGTGAGGTCCCTACAAACACTGTGTCATTCCACCCGCCTGAGGTCCCTACACTGTGTCATTCCACCCACGTGAGGTCCCTACACTGTGTCATTCCACCCGCCTGAGGTCCCTATACTGTGTCATTCCACCCACGTGAGGTCCCTACACTGTGTCATTCCACCCGCCTGAGGTCCCTACACTGTCATTCCACCCACATGAGGTCCCTACACTGTGTCATTCCACCCGCCTGAGGTCCCTACACTGTGTCATTCCACCCACGTGAGGTCCCTACAAACACTGTCATTCCACCCGCCTGAGGTCCCTACAAACACTGTGTCATTCCACCCGCCTGAGGTCCCTACAAACACTGTGTCATTCCATCCGTGTGAGGTCCCTACAAACACTGTCATTCCACCCGCCTGAGGTCCCTACAAACACTGTCATTCCACCCGACTGAGGTCCCTACAAACACTGTCATTCCACCCGACTGAGGTCCCTACACTGTGTCATTCCACCTGCGTGAGGTCCCTACACTGTGTCATCCCACCCGCCTGAGGTCCCTACACTGTGTCATTCCACCTGCCTGAGGTCCCTACAAACACTGTGTCATTCCACCCGCCTGAGGTCCCTACAAACACTGTGTCATTCCACCCGCCTGAGGTCCCTACACTGTGTCATTCCACCCACCTGAGGTCCCTACAAACGCTGTGTCATTCCACCCGCCTGAGGTCCCTACACTGTGTCATTCCACCCACGTGAGGTCCCTGCAAACACTGTGTCATTCCACCCGTGTGAGGTCCCTACAAACACTGTGTCATTCCACCCGCCTGAGGTCCCTACACTGTGTCATTCCACCCACGTGAGGTCCCTACACTGTGTCATTCCACCCACCTGAGGTCCCTACACTGTGTCATTCCACCCACCTGAGGTCCCTACAAACGCTGTGTCATTCCACCCGCCTGAGGTCCCTACAAACGTTGTGTCATTCCACCTGCGTGAGGTCCCTACAAACACTGTCATTCCACCCGCCTGAGGTCCCTACAAACACTGTCATTCCACCCGACTGAGGTCCCTACAAACACTGTGTCATTCCACCTGCGTGAGGTCCCTACACTGTGTCATTCCACCCGCCTGAGGTCCCTACACTGTGTCATTCCGCCTGCCTGAGGTCCCTACAAACACTATGTCATTCCACCTGCCTGAGGTCCCTACAAACACTGTGTCATTCCACCCGCCTGAGGTCCCTACAAACGCTGTGTCATTCCACCCGCCTGAGGTCCCTAGACTGGGCAAATTCAGAGACAGAAAGTAGAATGGTGGTCGCCAGGGGCCGGGGAAGGGGAGAAGGGGAGTTATTGTTTAATAGGACAAAGTTGTGTTGGTAATGAGGAAGTTGTTTTGGGAACAGGTAGTGGTGATAGCTACACAACACTGTAAGTGCATTTACCACCACGCAACTGTACACTTATGAACGGCTAAAATGATAAATATTATGCCATGTATATTTTACCACAATTAAAAAAAATTCCTAGACCTCAAAAAAAAAAAAAAAATCCCAATCTATGCCAACCTGGGTGTCACATTTCTCTCTGTAGGTCAAGTGAAACATGGCCCAAACCACCCTAAGTTGCTGACATATAGATGCGAACTCCACAGAGCCCGCCTCTGGGTGCTGTGTGTGCGCCTCCACCACAGCCTGTCCTGCGGGGAACACGGAGGTTATCAGGGCGCGTGGCCAGAGAAAGGTTCCATCTACTTTTTAAATAACCCAGCAGCAGACATTTAATGGATTTCTATGGTTACTATTTTACCTACGACATATTTGACTGTGATCAGTACTTTAGGGCGTACACAGAAAGCCGTATGCTGATACCTTCATAATCCAAATAGATTACGCCTTTTACTACTGAATTCTTTAATGAACAGTAAGCAAATTGAGAATGGTTAAAGTAAAAACTTTCTCATTCTCTCCATTTTAAGATCACTATTACACACCTGAACTTAACCGGGGCTCTATGGCAGAGGAGATTAATAATTTTGGTTAATACTACTTCAACGATTATCTAATATTTCAGATGCCTTTAACAACATCTATCTGTTACCATAAACGAAGTCAACATCTAAGAAATGTGACCTGTGACACTGAACAGATCTCTAGGGTCTGACAAAGTTGCAGGGAGCTGGAGAAGCGCGGCCACGGCAGAGCTGCAATTCCCCATCGGCCTCTGTCTGATAAAAGGCAACCCATGGATCTATTTGGATAAACACTCAAGAGCAGGGACAGGCTATGAACCAATTTCACAGACAGTGCCTCCAGTGAGGAAGGAGTGCGGGCAACGGAGTTGGGGAGTTAAAACGGAGATGGACAGCCTCAACATGACCGTAGCCTTCATCTCTTCAAAAACCCAAAACAAGATGGACCGTTGTTAAGTGTGGAGTATGTGGGTGTTTATTTATTTTATGCAAATAATACATAATTATTTATTCTAAAAGCAACCTATCCCAATGTGAGGTGGCAAACAACGGAGCCTCCCGTACACAGGTTACTGCAAAGGACGGGAGCAAAGCTGAGACGCAGCCTTCAATGCCTACGAAAGCCAGGAACGTTTACAAACGCACTGGTACACGTAAGGCACGAATCCCCCCTTTTCAATCATTATTACTAGCTGAGTTTTTGTTTTGCTTTCTTTTAAATCTAGTTATGTACTAGAGCTTTTGTAATGAATACTCTTTTAGGGATACTACTTCGCCATTCTAGATTCTGGAACAGAACTATTGAAATTAAAAAAAAAAAATTTAAGGTATTTTCAAACATGACAAAATGGCAGCCTAAAACCATTAAAATTCCAGAAAACCGGAGCACAACAGAAGGTGGGGTGCTAAGCAGTGCTGAGTCACTATTAGGGGTGCACGGAGAGAAAAACCTTCCTCCTTCGAGTTGCTAGAACTCCCTCTTTACCTTTTCTTAAGGGCACTTTTCTCCTTATACCTACAAACAATGCATTCTTGGTGTGGAACATAAAATAATACAGAAATGTGCAGAATAAAAGCCAAAGTCTCTGTTCAGTGAGGCGTGACCACCCTTTCCCCACAGGCACCCCCGATGTCACCCCTGGATATCTGCTTTCCAGAGCAGCATTTACAACCACACTCAGCTTCGCCTGGGGTCACCGTTCTTCTGCAAAAGCTGCTGTTTTCACCCAATGTGTCACAGACTGCTCTCCGAGGGGCCCAGAACACTCTTACTCCACAAAGTGTGTGTTCTAACACATGTAACCGCCTCACTACTTTTAGGCATTTAGTGTTTTCAACGTTGTATCACTGCAGTGCACATCTTTCTGAAATGCTGGCCTATTTCCTGTAGGATTCCTACAAGTGGAACCTTGGGGTCCTAACCCTTGTGTTAAGTTTGAGAGAGAAATGTCAAATTACCCTCCAAAAAATGAGTGTACAGACACTCCTTCCAGAAATGACTAGGAAAAATGGAACATTATTATTGCTTTAATTAGAATGTCTTTGCTTATTTGAGACAGGGTCCACTCTGTTCCCAGGCTGGAATGCAGTGGTGTGATCACAGCTCACAGCAGCCTTGACCTCCTGGGCTCAAGGGATCCTCCTGCCTTGGCCTCCCAAAGTGCTGGGATTACAGGTGTGAGGCCGGTCATATCTTTGCTCATTAATACCATTTCTATGATGATTAATGTTAACTCTTTTACTCACCACCCACTTAAAACAAACCAGCCATTAGATGCGGTTAAACATGCAGACCTATTGTCTGTGTTTTTTTCACTCAAATGTTGCTAATTATCAGCAAACCTGCTGCCCCTTTCAGGCAGGTATGGTGACTCACCCAAGAATTCATAAAAGCCCTTCCTGTGTGCCGGTGCAGTGGTAGGTGTTGTGCACGATACAGAAAAAGATCAGCACAGCCTGTGTCTTCACACGGCTGCATTCCTATTTTAGTTGTGGTTTTATCATCTCTGGAGATCCAGATAAAATAAGCTCAAGTCTCTTTCATGCTCTGAGATATCTAACATCATTAGCAAGACTTCTGTCACTACTCCAGGATTGCCTGTTTTCATGGTTGCCCCTGCCTCTGAGCTCTAAACTCCTGACAGTCCACACCTGCCATGGCGTTCCCATGAGACAATAATGGAGGCCTGTAACGGAGTGAGCCCTACCACCTGGGCTTGGTAAGTGTACTCTCAGATGCTCGCATGCCAAAATCGCCTAACGACACATTGCTCAGAAAATATCCACCCCCATCATTAAGCCTCACATGATATTTCAGTTCAATTCACCAATCGCCTTTTGTCCCACACATTATTCCTCTTCCACCCCATTACTGACCCAAACATGGATCTCAGCCCTTTTTCTTCATTTCCAGAGTAGCAACAGCAATACAAAAAATCTAGTCAAAGACACATGTATAATAAATTCAGCTGTACTCGGAGAGGAGAGTGTGGAATGGGGGCAGAGGAATTAAAACTCAAGGTCAACAATTTTTAAAAACTCAGGAGACTAATATTCATAATGCATAAAGAACTTTTACAAGCTGGGTGCGGTGGCTCACAACTGTAATCCCAGCACTTTGGGAGGCCGAGGTGGGCGGATCACTTGAGCTCAGGAGTTCGAGACCAGCCTGGCCAACATGGTGAAACCCCAACTCTACTAAAAATACAAAAAAAAAAAAAAAAAATTAGCCGGGCATGGTGGCATCCCTGTAATCACACCTCGGGAGGCTGAGGCAGGAGAACCGTTTGAACCTGGGAAGCGGAGGTTGCAGTGAGCCGAGATAGTGCCACTGCACTCCAGCCTGGGTGACAGAGCGAGATTTCATCTCAAAAAAACAAACACACAAACCAAAAAAACCACTTTTACAGACTGACTTTTTTAAGTTCAGCAGAAAAATGGACAAAAGATGTAATCAAAGCAATTCAAAGAATAGAAACAAGAAATGTGCACAGCCTCTGACACCGTGTACCCACTCCTGGATGTCTGCCACCCAGGAAGGGCAGAAGGATGGACGAGACTCTCCTGCACTGTCATTAGAAACAGTGGACTAAATAACTAAGGGAATACTATGCAGCCATCAAAAAGGATAAAATGAGCCACATAAAAAGGCAGCCTGGTTAAAAACTTAAGTATGGGCTCTGGACTCAGAATGTCTGCATGCAAATAATGGGTATAGCACCTATTAGCTCTGAGACCTTCACCAAGTAACTTCATCTTCCTGATACTTGATCGTCTCATGTGTATGATGAAGGCAACACAGTAGTACTTACATTTCAAGGGGCAGTGGCCGGGGGTCAAATGAGCTCGAGTATGGCTGAGCAGAAAGCCCAGTTCCCTGTAAGATCTCCAATTATAGACTCTTAATGAAAAAAGGCAAGTGGCGGCCACATGCCATGGCTCATGCTTGTATTCCCAGCATTTTGGGAGGCCGAGGTGGGAGGATCACTTGAGTCCAGGAGTTCAAGACCATCCTGGGCAACACAGCAAAACCCTGTCTCTACAAAAAATAGAAAAAAGCTGGGCATGGCAGTGCAAGCCTATAGTTCCAGCTACTCAGGAGGCTGAGCAGGGAGAGGATTGCTTGAGCCTGATCAGGCTGCAGTGAGCTCTGATCGCACCACTGCACTCCAGCCTGGGTGACAGAGGAGTAAGACCCTATTTCCAAAAAAGGAAAGGAAAGGAAAAGAAGTAGCAAAAAACAATACTGACTAATACAGAAAATCTTATTCAAAGTCTAGAATAAGATTCCACATTTGTGGATTAAAAAAGATTGCTTATACACAAACTAGGTTTTAAAATATAAATAAATAAACACATAGAAAATGATCTACAAAGATACAGTTAGGAGCAGTGGGTCCTGAGGAAGACTCCAGGACAGCAGTGGGATGAAGAGGAACTTCCGCTCTGTGCTCTTGATCCAGCTGTTCTCAGCTGTTCTATCATTTGATTTTCTTTACATAATAAACACTCTATTTTTGTATTTTGAGACAAAACCAGTACAATCTGGTAAAGATGAGAAGGAACAGTTAATCCTGAAGTCTGCCCTGTCCTTGACACTCCTACTGCTAATAGCTTGCATTCAAGCAGCAGTTCTCAAAGTGCGGTCTGTGGGCCCTTGAGGGTGCAACGGTCAAGAACCTCTCAGAGGGTCCGTGAGGTCAAGACTATTTTCATCATAATCCTTGTACATCATCTGCCGTTTTCACGCTGTTGTCATTTCCACGGATGAGCAAAGCCAAGGGCAGGTGGAGCTGCTGGCGGCTCAGCATGATCTGTGGCAGCAGCCCCGAGCTCTCCTCTCCACGCCCTGCACAGGCAGGGAAAAGGGAAAGAAAAAGGAAAAAGGCCAGTTTTGCTTAGCTTATTCCCTGATGAACAGTTAAAATAATTCACCACTTTATTCAATTCCAACCCTGTGATAAAATGTGCCACAAAAGAACTTTTGCTGCATCCCCAAGTACAACTGTCTCAAGAAAAAGCACACGGTACAGTTGTTGGGGTTGAAAAACAAAAAACAAAATTCAGTTTCTCCCATCACATCCTCACAGCACACTTAGGACACCAGAGGTGTGGGGACCTCTCCCCAGCAGCAAGGAAGCAGTCAGTTCTGCAGCCGGACACTGGCTGGGGTCCTGATTCCATTAAATCTTGATGCTGGGAGAAAGCATCAAATCCCATAGGTTGAGTGCTCTGTCCCACAAGACTGCCCCCCACTTCGAGAGCCAACGGCAAGCCTCAGGTTGTGTTACTTGTGCTTCTGACTGACTGGCTATCAATCAGAGTGTCCACAACCCTCACTGAGCACGCAGATCTCAGGGAAACACTTTAGTTTAGCGGTTTATTATAAAGGAGACTACAGAGGACACTGAGGTGATGCACAGGGCGAGGGACGGGGGCTGAGACACAGAGCTCCCGTGTCCTCTCTGGGTGGGCCCCCCTCCAGAAACATCTGGAAGCTATCTTCAAACCCAGTCCATACATAGGCAAGACTGTTTGGCCACTGGTGATCAGCTTAACCTTCAGCTCCCCCACCCCTCACCACTCCCCGAGGTTGGGGATCGGGGCTGAAAGTCCCAACCTTCTAATCCTGCCTAGGTCTTTCTGGTGACCAGCCCCTGTTCTGAAGCTACCCAGGGGTTGCCGGCCCTTAGCCAACGCATTACGAAGACATCACTGACGAGCCCGAGGATTTTAGGAGTTGTGTACTAGGGAAGACCAAATACATATTCCACAGTATCACACAAGCTGAACTAGCCCTTTTTTTCATGGAATGCCATTTTTATTTGAAAGAACAACTGACCAACTTTGGTTATTAAGAATTTGGTATCTGGCAGAAATTGACTTGAAAATGAACACACTGCGTCCCTCACTTCACAGAAAGTAACTGACAGTATTTGTTACCAATGATAAAATCCAAGCTTTCAAGAGAAAATTAGAATTTTGGAAAACTTTTCTCTACTACTGCTAATTTGACAGTTTCTCACTTTTTCTTCTGATGAGATCAGTGATGACATTAAAAAATAGGATTTTCTTCAAGTTTACATAATGGAATGTGTTAACATTTAGAAAAAAAAACAACTCCATGTAACAATATTTCCAAACAACCCCCGTGTGATGTTACCAAATCATGTCCATGAGCAAAAGACCCACTCTGAGCACAAGACAGACCTCAGGGTTCTGACGGAAGAGAGTACAGAAACGTCACTGACTCCGAAAGGCCGGCACACTCAAACACGCTGCCACCTGGCGAGTTATGGTGCATCGCTAAGAGCCTCCAGGATGACCCCTCTTCTGCCCACATGGAAGTGTGACGCCACATTTTCCTTACACATTTCAATAAAGCAACTGGAACACACGGAATGCAGAAGCAGGTCTGAGAATCCAGCCGTCACCTCTTAAACCTCATATTTTAAAAGGATGTGCAAAAGTGTAAAACAACACTGTTCTTCTTGCTTAATCTTTTTGTTTTTGAAAAGTTGTTTCTCATTAAAAAGGTTATGTTAACATGTAGTAGATTCTTTTAAAGTAAAATAAATATTGTAAGTTGTTCTGTTTTAATTTCAAATATAGAAAACATCAACAGCGATAACCAGCACAAACAAAGGCTCTCTGGATCCTCAATATAACTATTAAGAGTATAAAATTATTCCAGCACCAAAAGACTTTGCAAACCAACTCTAGGTCAGGGTTTAGCAAACCACAACCTGGGCGACATCTGGCCAGCTGCCTGTTTTCTGTAGGCATGCTCCTGTGGAAGCAGGGCACAGAGCCACGCCCATCCATCTCTGCAGGGTCTATGGCTGTCTTCCTGCTAAAGGCAGAGTTGAATTCAGTCGTTGCAACAGGGACAGGATGGCCTGAAAGTCTAAGATACTTACCATTTGGCCCTTTACAAAAAAGCTTGGCCACCCCGAAACTAGAGTAAGCCCATTTTCCCAATCTTTATTATTGCAGTAACTTCCTATCTCCATTCTTACCCACCACCATCCACTCTCCAAAGGGCAGAGTGACCTTGTTAAAAACAAAGCTGATGTCGCTCCTCCGCTTAGGATCTGAAAAGCTCACAATCACTCAGAGTCCTGAGCACACGATTCAAGTCCTTTATTCATCATCCTGTGGCCCCAGCCAGCCTCCTGCTCATCACAGCCACTCCCTTTTCTGCCAGAGGACCATGCCAAGCACTGACCTCTCAGAACATACCATGCTCTGTCCAACCTCCACACCAAGCACTCTCCACCTGGAACATTCTCCTCCCCTTCCCTTCCTCCCTCTTCTTATACCCTGATGTCCTCCCCTCCACTCCCTACCCAAGTCTGTGTACTGGGTACTTCTTCACATTGCCTCAGTGTGCTCTGGTCCAGCCATGGTGCAAGGACCCACCTGCTTGTCTGTGTCCAAACAGCGTTTCCTGAAGGCAAGAACTGCATTTCTATTTCCAACAGCCAGCACTAGCAGCCCTTTGGTATGCTGTCGTGAACTTTTCAGATGTGCCAAGCTGAAAGCTGGCCCCTGCATTACCCTTCATTTTTCTTAAACTGGCTCCCTGAAGTGACAGAGTCAGCTATTTTCCTATGCAAGAGGGTCTCTTAAGACAACAGCCTCTGAACAGTTACCAGTTAACGTGTTTGTTTGTCAGAGCTTTCCATACATTTTCTGGAATCTTCACAGCAACCCTGTAATGGTCACAAGTAATAGTACCCGTTTAACAGATGAGAAAAGAGTAAGTAACTTCCCAAGTTAACACAAAGCCTGAAGAGGGTGAAAAAGGGATGTGTACCAAATTCCACGTGCACAATTCCTCTCCATCACCTGGTAATATCATGACATTCCATATGCTGACTGACATCCAGTGGGAGAGACGAGCCTAATAATACATGTGATAAAATAAGGGAACCACAAGCAGGACACAGCCAATTGCTAAACAACATGGAACACAGTGTGAAAGGGAAATCTGGAGTCTAAGACGACACTGAACGCTGAGGGGAGCTGGAGCAGGGACTCGCCAAGTGGGATTGGAGGTGGATTTAGAAGGATCAGCAGGGCTTAGGGAATGGACAGGAAGCAAAATAAATACTCTAGGCAAAGAAAGAAACAGGAGCAAAGATCAAGGGATGGGAATAATCACTGAATAATAACGTAAACATTAAGAGGCCAGGCCCAGTGGAAGGGATCTGGGTAGATGGACATGAAGCAGGTAAGGAAAAACAAGAAACTGCTATTTTTGTGTTTAAATATAGCTAAAACCAAGCCCCAATACTTTAAAATACAAGAGAATTAACAGTTGTATCTAATACTTGAAAAGCACTTTTCAAGTTGCAACAGCACTGCACATTGTTTGATCTTAACAAAAAGCTTCTGATTTAACTTCTAGATAAGCGAGCTGAAGCTCAGAAAGGGGCCCTCAGAGTTGAAAACAGCAGACACAAACCCAACCTGGAACTTCCCATCAGAACAGCAGACTGCTTAAAATCAGGGAACGTGGAAAATCACCAGGTATGATTCAATACCACCACATATCTTGTAAACTTAACTTCACGATGTAACGATGACCAGGCCAGCCTCCTGAGCGTTAAGATGTGGCTGTACTAAGCATGATGAGTCTGTGAATCTTTTTTTTTTTTTTTTGATATGGAGTCTCGCTCTGCTGCCCAGGCTGGAGGTGCAGTGGCGTGATCTCCGCTCACTGCAAGCTCCGCCTCCTGGGTTCATGCCATTCTCCTGCCTCAGCCTCCCCAGTAGCTGGGACTACAGGTGCCCGCGACCACACCCAGCTGATTTTTTGTATTTTTTTTAGTAGAGACGGGGTTTCACCCTGTTAGCCAGGATGGTCTCGATCTCCTGACCTCGTGATCCGCCCGCCTCGGCCTCCCAAAGTGCTGGGATTACAGGCGTGAACCACTGCGCCCGGCGAGTCTGTGAATCTTAAGGCATACAACTGACTTCCTAAAGGCAGAGGCTTCCTATGAAGCTCTCATAAGTCAAACTGCAAAATATTACTAGACTGTTTGCTTGTTTGATGGCCTTCCCCAGAGGATGCTTTCCTGAAGGTTCTCTTCAATGGCACAGATATAAATATTAAGTAAATGAAAATTCTACAATGGAATATAGAAATCAGACCGGAAATAATTCAAATAAGCAGACACCATGTCCCATTAAGACCAAAAAAAAAATATAAATGAATAAATACCAAATGCCCATTATCTGTACACAGAAGAAATCAATAAATATGACTGACAAGTTTTGCATTCACCAACACCGTATTTCATTGATTCTAAGTACATTTCCCCACATCTTAGTATCTCTGAAATTAGATGTAGATTTTATATATACATATAAAAGACATTATAGGAGATTATATATAAAAGACACACCTAATTTCAAAGATTATATATATACATATATAATTATTATTATTTTTTCTTTTTTCTGAGACAAGGTCTCACTCTATTGCCCAGGCTGGAGTGCAGTGGTGCAATCATAGCTCATTGCAGCCTCAACCTCCCTGGCTCAAGCGATGCCCCCACCTCAGCCTCCTGAGTAGCTGGGACTACAGGTGTGTACTACCATACCTGGCAAACGTCCCGAATTTCTTTCTTTTTTTTTTTTTTTTGGTAGAGACAAGATCTCACTATGTTGCCCAGGCTGGTCTCAAATTGCTGGGCTCAAGGGATCCTGCCATCTTGGCCTCCTGAAGTGCTGAGACTACAGGCGTGAGCCACCGAGCCAGACATTATCTTACATTCAATGAAACAGTAACTTTCTGGTGCTGATGCTACAGTTAACTTAATTTTTGTTACCTTTCTGCGACTTAAAATGTTTCTTTCAAAGTACCAATGTAAACTCCCTTGGAAAGGCTATCCTACCAGATTAACCAGATATCTATGTTACTTACATAACTCCCCAGACTCAAGCTTGACTTAAGCAAACAAACCTTTAGTTTTGTTTAGTCTATCTCTTTAGAAACAGGTTAATGTCTAATTCAAAGCAACAGATCATGGATTAAGAAACTGATTAAAGCAAAATCAACAAATAAAACCCCAATACACTTAAAACTACAAATTCTGAGAAGAAAGGAACCAGCTGTTATCAAGCTATAAAGCTATATAAAACCAGGTTCAATATAAGACCCTCCTCCCCCAACCCCTCCCCACGGTTTCTCCATAGGAGCAATTAGTGTAATATATAAAGGAGCAAGACCCATAGCTTCCCTGCAGGTAAGCAGGTTGCAGTCATGTGGAAAGTGACATCACAGGCAAAGGTGCTGCAGCACTTGCTTGACGTGCAGGTGTTTCACTTACTTACTGTCTCTGTGGTATCTACTCTTCAAATAGTTTGAGAATTGGTTGGAAAGTGATGCTATTCTTGAATCCTTGTTACTAATCTTCTATCATTTTGACACAGACTTCCTTTAAAGGCATTCCATTTTCATTTGCCTTCAAAAGCATTTTCACACGCCTCTTGGTAGTAAGATTTTCACCGAGCTTTAGAAGAACAGCTCCATCCCAAGGCTGGACGGCCGCATGCCACAGTGGGGCTTCATCAGTACTGTGCTGGCTGCAAATGGTCGCTGAAGCAGTACAGCGCTCCACGGCTCTGCGGCCAGTCGGCGTGGCTCCAAACCCTGGCCCTGCCATACACTCGCTTTGTGACCCAGGTTAATTGCTCCCACGCCTCGGATTCTGCATCTGAGACTGGGAAGAACAGTATTTCCTTCCTTCTTCGGTGGTGTGAAGATTCACTGACATAGGAAAAGCACTGCGAGCAATCTCTAGCACAGAATGACCACTCAGCAACTGTTACCTATCATGACCTTCGTGCTGGGTCCTCTACAAGGGCTGGGGTGGGAAGGGGGACAGCCAGCCTTCAAGCTTGAGGAGCTCAGTCTACCAGAGAGAGAAGCAAAGGATGAAATACCATGTGACATTGCAAAACACATCACATGCTGAATGAAGTACGTTCCAGGAGAGGGAGCAGGGGCTGGGTGAAGGTGATTCCATAACATGCAGAAAAAATCTGCACAACAGTTAACAATTTCCAGAAAGGAGCCACCGTTTAGAACCGCAACATCGTGGAATTAGAAGCTAACAAACAACTTTTCTACTTGCTTCCTGCTGGAAGCCCCCTGGTTTTACTATTTTAACTCTTGGTCAACTCAGCATATAAACTCACCTAGTCCCACCTTCCAGCAAAGGGAGGAGATGCAAGTCACCACTGACTGCTGCTTATACACCTGCTCATCAGCAGGACACTTAATAACTTCCTTGTGAGCTCAGCTCTACTCCTACCTGCAGGGGGATGGGAAGTCTGATGACCCAGTGGAATCACAACTCTTAGCAAAATGACCTGACCCATAGCTAAACCCAATTCTTTTAAAAAAAAAAGGGGGGTGGGGTGCGCATCAAATTTTACATAGGCCAGCACTTTCACCATAGGTTGATTCTGATTCCCCAGCCCAAAACTATTAGTTTTAAAAACAAAACAGAAATCAAAACAAAAACCAAAGGCTTTTCTATGTCACTCACTTCATGACCTCCAAAGTCAGGAGTGCCTACTCCTAGCCCTGCACCACTTCCTGTGCACTGGGCATCACCCCACTGAAGTCAGGAGAGGACCCAGGCCTTAATCTCTAAGGCTCCTTCTCCTTACCCATTGCAGAGAGGGCAGAAAGACGGCCAGAGTGCAGGGCTGTAGTAAAGCTCTACAGAGCTGAACTTGGCCCAGAACAAAACCTTCAAGAACAAAATGCCTCACAAGCCACAAATCTAAACAAACAAAATCTGCTATACCTTAAGTTCTACAGCCTGAGCAGCAGTGCACGATAAAAACCCCTGTGAACTGCCCATCTCTCTTTTTTTTTTTGAGACAAAGTCTTGCTCTGTCGCCCAGGCTGGAGTGCAGTGGCACGATCTCGGCTCACTGCAAGCTCTGCCTCCCGGGTTCATGCCATTCTCCTGCCTCAGCCTCCCAAGTAGCTGGGACTGCAGGCGCCCGCCATCACACCCGGCTAATTTTTGTATTTTTAGTAGAGACGGGGTTTCACCGTGTTAGCCAGGATGGTCTCGATCTCCTGACCTTGTGATCTGCCTGCCTCGGCCTCCCAAAGTGCTGGGATTACAAGCGTGAGCCACTGCGCCCGGCCATCTCTCTCCTTTTTTTTTTTTTTTTGAGACGGAGTCTCGCTCTGACGCCCAGGCTGGAGTGCAATGGCACCATCTCGCCTCACTGCAACCTCCACCTCCCAGGTTTAAGCAATCCTCCTGTCTCAGTCTCCTGAGGAGCTGGAATTACAGGCCGGCCCTGCCACGCCTGGCTAATTTTTGTATTTTTAGTAGAGATGGGGTTTCGCCATATTGGCCAGGCTAGTCTCAAACTCCTGACCTCAAGTGATCCACCCGCCTCAGCCTCCCAGAGTGCTGGGGTTACAGGTGTGAGTCACCGTACCCAGCCACCCATCTCTTATCTCTCACCAACATCTCTCCCTCAAGGTTGCGTTTGGGCATGACCAGCTTCTTGATCCTTGCTGCTCAGCAATCCCTGGTGACTAACGACTACACTTCCCTTCATCATCACTGACTCTCTGGTGTTAATACAAAGCAACGGTATCACAACTATGGGACAAATCGATGGTGACTTATAAATGTGTTAATCTGGATGGGTTACTATGGCCAAAGCATACATGGATTAAAATAGACAGCTCTGAATACACAGAATAACCAAAACACATGCAGATAATTACCACAAAGCAATGTTACAAAAGAAACCACGACAACTCGAAATACCAAACTTTTGGATTTACTCAAAATTTAACTTAAAATAGGGATTTAAAACTGCAAAAAGTTCCCATCAGTTTAATTCAGAGAACAAAGTATTTGTCAAGATTTTTTTTTTTTTTTTTTTTTTTTGAGATGGAGCCTTGTTCTATTGTCCAGGCTGGAGGGCAATGGCACGATCTCCACTCACTGCAACCTCCACCACCCGGGTTCAAGTGATTCTCCTGCCTCAGCCTCCCAGGTAGCTGGGATTACATGCATGTGCCACCACGCCCGGCTAACTTCTGTATTTTTAGCAGAGACGGGGTTTCACTGTGTTGGCCAGGCTGGTCTCAAACTCCTGACCTCAAGTGATCTGTCCACCTTGGCCTCCCAAAGTGCTGGAATTATAGGCATGAGCCACAACACCCGGCCCAAGATTTTTTTTAAAGAAAGAATACTATTTTCATATGTGTACAGTCACATTTAAAATATACTACCTTAGTTATACTTAAATTTTAATTCATTCAGCTTATCAATAATTTTTTTTTTTTTAAGTAAAGAAACCAGGCAGGTGCGGTGGCTCACGCCTATAATCTCAGCACCTTGGGAGACTGACGTGGGCAGACCACTTGAGCCCAGGAGTTCAAGACCAGCCTGGGCAACATGGCGAAATCCCCTACAACAATACAAAAATTAGCCTGGTGTGGTGGTGCACGCGTGTGTGTGGTCCTAGCTACTTCAGAGACTGAGGTGGGCGAATCGCTTGAGCCTAGGAGGCAGAGGTTGCAGTGAGCCCAGATCGCACCACTGCACTCCATCCAGCCTGGGCTACAAAGTGAGACCCTGTCTCCAAAAAACAAAATAAAGAGTTAACAGAAATTAAGGCAAGCATTAAGCCCTCTCACTTTCCTACTCCCAAACAAGTTTTGCTTTACTTGCGACAGAAATCACACTTGAGTAAGGCTGAACTGTCACTTGCTTAGCATATGCAAAATCAAACAAAAAAAGTAATGCATTTTAAAGAAATAAAATCAATAAACTTTTTAGATCACATAAAATGCACCTAGTTTTAATCTCAAACCATATATATTACGCATTTCTTAGAGCCCAGTTTCACCTGCTTAATAACCTAGGCCCTGTTTGTCCCAGGGGGCGCAGAATCTCCAGATGTCCTCAGGGGTCATGTGCCAAACCAGACACTGCCAGGGAGAGGTACAGGGTAGGGAAGAGGGAGTAAAAGTTCACGGGGTTGGGGGGGCCGAGATGGAGGGAAGTGAACAGGACGTCTGACAAGGGGCTTTTAGTAACTTGAGGCAGGGAAGGTGTATTTGGTGCAAACACCAATCATTTTTAAGAAAAGGTTAAAGGTTTACAATGTTCAGTAAGATGTATGAACAACAACAAAAAAGTCACTATGACTCTGAATCTGAAATATTAATCAAACTTCTAAGACTCGACCAAGTTCTCCATTCAACGGTGAAAAAGGAAAGCTACATAGCTTTTTAACTTTAAGGTGACAGGTAAGCTTCATGGGAAGCTGGGGTGGGAGGCACTTCCCAGTTCCCTCCCACCACCCTAAAACTTTGTGCCTGGGCCAATTTGAGAGTATGATTTAAGGAAAAGACCAGTGAACTTCAAGTAATACCATGAAGTTCAAGACTAAAATCTGGAATAGAGACCTTAAAATATATCAGTAGAGAAAGTAGCAGTACCTCACAGTAAAATTCAAGGATTTTAGAACCGCAGAAAGCAGACCTTAAGAATCAGGGAGCCGAGGCAACCAGCTCGCTCAAGAGCGCACCGCCGATGAAACGCAGAGCCTGGTGGGGGCCGAGGCCCCGACCCAGCCCTAGGCGCGTTCCCAGCCTCTGGGCCATTGTGCCGCGCTGCCCGAGCGCACGATATGGACTCCGTTCCCGTCCCCGGCTCCGCCGCGGTCTCCTCAGTTCCGCCCCAGGCAGGAGGCAGCCCCGGGCTTCGGTTCCGCCCCGGGCAGGAGGCAGCCCCAGGCGCTGGGTTCGGAGGACCCGGCCGCCCGTGACCTTGGTGACTTACATAAGTCCCGCCGCGGGCCCGACGCCTCCGCCCGTGCCCCGCGGGCCGGGACAGCGGACAGAGGACGGCCGCCCCCCGATCACGGCCCCCAGCTCGGCCCCTGGCCCCTGCCCCGCCCGGCCCCCATCCTCCTGCCTGCCTTCCACGGACGCTTGGGGCCCGGAGGCCGCGCGCGGCCGGGCTGGGAGCTGTCCGCGAGGGTCCCGGGGCGGGGCGCGGCGCGGGGCTCACCTTCGGCCACGTCCTCGTCGATGGCCCCCTTGACCTGCGAGAAGCACCACTGGAAGTCGTTGCCGCCCGCGGGGCAGCCGCCGCCTCCGGCTCCTGCAAACACAACGGGGCGGTCAGGCCGGCCGCGGCCCCCGCCCGCCCCCGTGGTCCCCGCCGGCCCGCGCAGACCCCTCACCTGCCATGGCAGCCGGCGGCGGGACGGGCGGGGACCGCGGCAGACCAGGGAGACGGCCTCCGCGCCGCTGCAGCCGAGCGCTCAGCCCCGGGGCCGCCACCACCGCCGGCGCCGCCGCCGCCGCCGCCGCCGCCGGGGAGGGATTTTTTTCCCTTTTCAAAATGGCGCCCAATGCCCGTCGCCCCGCTCGATGACGTCATCGCCCTCCGCCTCCTCGGACGGGCAGCGGACGGGGCGGGCCGCGGGGGCTGCCGGGGGCGCCCAATGCGCCTGCGCCCGGCGCCGCTCGGCTGTAGGGGGGAAGGGACGCCTGGGCGACTGCGGAGGGAAGCCGGGGTCGCCGGGCGCAGGCCAGCTCCTCGGCCCTCGGCCCTAGGCCTCCCGCAGTGGTCCGGTGTGCACCCGGCGCTCCCCAGAAGACTAGCGCCGCCGGCCGCCCCTACTCTCCGGGGACTCCCGGAGAGCCTAAGCTGCGGCCGGACACGCCTTCAGGGCGCCGCTTGGCCGGACACGCCCCCATCCCGCATCGGCCAATGGAAACGTGGGTTCTCCGTGGAACCGCCAATGGAGGACGCGCTTGGCGGCGGTGGGCGGGCATGTGGGCCGGCCTCACCTGAGCGCGCCGTACCTGAGCGCTGCCTCCCGCCCACTGCCCCCGACGCGGAGTCTCGCTCTGTTCCCCGGGCTGGAGTGCGGGGGCGCGATCTCGACTCCCTAAAAGCCTCGACCTCCTGGGCTCAATCCATCCTACTGCTTCAGCCTCGGAAGTAGCTGCGAGCACAGGCACGCGCCGCCAGGCTCGCTGATTTTTAAATTTTTTGTAGAGACGGGGGTCTATGTTGCTCAGGCTGGTCTCGAACTCCTGGGCTCGAGCCATCTGCCGGCCTCGGTCTCCCAATCCTGTCCACCTCCCTTTCGGAGCGCACCGTTGCTCACCAGATGGCTACCTTAGGGGTTCTTGGAGCTCCCAGTGCAGTCTTAGGGAAACAGGGCCGATCGTTTCATTTGCGGGTGGTTTTCTCTGGCATACTGAGCGATCATGGGTGCTCCTCGACTTACAGTGGGGCTACCCTCCCCGCAAATAAGCCCTTCCTAAGTCAAAAATGCATCTAATACCCAATCTACCCGTCGTAAAGTTGAAAAATCTGAAGTCGAGCTATCATCAGGGGGACTGTCCCTATGGGATTGATGTCCGGAATCAGAACTTCTTTCAGGGTAGCTGCGGTGGGCACTGATGGTATTGCACCACTAAAAGACAGTCGCTGCAAATCAGGAACATTCGTCCACTCCATTAATATTATTTATTGACAGCTCCTGCCACGTGCGGCACACTCCACAGCCCTGGGGGTGAGAGGTTAACAGAGCAGAGAAATCTCAGCCCTGGTAGAGCTTACCTTTCAGTGGGGGAGACAGACAATAAGGAAATAAATACATAATAAGTCGGAGCTGGAGAGAAAAATCAGGGAAGAAGGAAATGTGTATGGGGAGAGTTGGAGTCTTGCACGGGGTGACTGGAGAAGACTCAAGGATAAAGAGCAAACCATGCAGACGTCTAGGAAAGCTTGGCCAGGAAGGGGAGACCACCAAGTGCCAGGACAGGAAGGAGGGCCATGCCTGGCATGGGCAGGAGGCAGCCAGAAGCTGCGTGGGTGCAGAGTGAGTGGAGGGGAGGCCAGGGGTTGGAGTCAAGGCAGGGAGGTAAGTGGAGGAGGATGGACAGTGGGCAGGCCATTTAGGGGACTTGGACTCTGAATGAGATGGGCTCATGAACAGAAGACGATCGTGATGGACTTGGGCTTTTGGATGCTCTGCTGAGAATAGCTTGTGGGGACCCAAAGAGGGGAAGCAGGGAGACCAATCAGGTGGCCAGCTGGGCTGACCAGGCATGGGGATGAGGATAGAGTGGTGAACATGGGGTGGGGTGGTGAGAACCAGTCAGATTTCAGAGAAAAGTGCTTCGACAGCAGAGCCCCTGGGATTTGCTGATGGAAAAGATGCGGTGTGAGAGAAAGCAGGGACTTAGGAATGCCTGCTCTCGGGTGGTCTGAGCACCTGGAAGGATGGAGTTTCTGCAGCAGAAGGCACAGCTGGGTGGGGGCGGTGCAGCCCGACCAGAGGTTCGCTGTCAACACATAGTGCTGTTGCACAGACAGGCTGGGAGCACACAGGGAAGTCAGAGCCAGAGCATCAAGGTGAGAGCATTTAGAGGTCATTTCAAGTCAGGAAACTGGGTGAGGTCACCTCAGGAGGGAGGACAGATGGGGGACAGGACCAAGGACAGAGCCCTGAAGGGGTGAGGACGTGGAGGATGAGTGAGCAGCCTGCGAGGTGGGCTCCTGGAGAACCCATCTCCAGGATCCACTGAAGACAGGAGGGAGTGGCTGCTCTGTGATGCTATGTGATGAGTATACAGGAGTGACCATTTGGTTGTAGGGACTGGGAGGCCATTACTGACTTGGACGGAGCGGTGGCTATGGAATGGACTCAGATCACAAGTTTGCAGAGGGCTCTGGGGACAGTGGCAGGAGAGGAACTAGAGGCAGTGAATACCTACTTCTCTGTTGAGGAGAAGAAGAGCAGAAAAATGGGGCTGTAATCTTGTTTTTAAAATGTAGATTTAGCCTATCTGCCCAGGAAGACACTTGAAAACCTGAATTAATGACCAGATCTCTTTTATTTGTTAACTTAAAAACCTGACAATTTATAAATTTAGAAAAAGAGGAACTTTATTTCTTATAAATGGTTACAGCCAGCAAGGTGGCCATCCCCCAGGCCAAGATGGGAGATGGCTCTTCGTAGGAGGAGGAGTTGGGGCAGGAGCTCTATGCTGAACGGGTTGGCTAAACATACATAGACAACAGGCTTTGGGAGGAGCTATGAATACTCAGGAAGGGGCTCCTGACACGTGTATTATGTAACATAGGACCCAATCTCACTCTGTCGGGGAGACTAAACATTTGAATATATTACGACTGTAATCCCAGCACTTTGGGAGGCCAAGTCTGGCAGGTTACCTGAGGTCAGGAGTTCGAGATCAGCCTGGCTAACATGGCGAAACCCCCTGTCTACTAAAAATACAAAAATTAGCTGGGCGTGGTGGCGCCCGTATGTCTGTAGTCCTAGCTACTTGGGAGGCTGAGACAGGAGAATCCCTCCAACCTGGGAAGCAGAGGTTGCAGTGAGCCGAGATCGTGCCGTTACACTCCAGCCTGGGCGACAGAGCGAGACTCCGTCTCTAAATAAATAAATAAATAAATAAATAAGTAAATTAGGACTAGGCCCTGTACCTCAAGAGGTCTTTTCAGGACAGGAAGGCATGCAGATGTGCAACCTCTGTAAACCGGCCAGAACCAGTCCAAGGTCGGTGGTTTCTTATCAGGAGACAGTTACAGTCTTCTGTCCAATGAAAGCTGTAGTTACGGCTGCTGGAGCAGGGCTGGGGGTCACTTAGTGGCTGGTGGAGCTGCAGTTGCTTAATGTTGCTCCTATCAAGGCCAGTGCTTATTTAGCTGCTGGAGGGAAGGAAAACCCAACAGCAGTGGGAACGACGTTTTCTCTGTAAGTGTGCGGTGCGTGGCTTCACCCTCCCCCCGCACGGCCTTAGGCCCTGTTTATGATTTGGCATCTTACTGCCACAGAGTCCGTTCTGTCAGTCTTATGGTCTCTAGTTTAACGTTAACGCTGGTCTGTTGTGTCCAAACCACAAAAGGGCGGGGGTATCAGGAGGCCTGTCTGACCTCCCATCCCCCATTATAGCCTCAGTGTTGAGGTTTTCCTGGGGCCCCCCCTGGCCACAGGGGTGTTCGTTCAGCCAGTGGGGGATGTAGGATTTTATTCTTAGTTCCTATGTAACTGCTTTAATGTGTGTTAAATATGTCTTTTGAAGTGATGACAAGATAATTAGTTTTTGTTTAGAATGTATTTTCTGGTTCATTAGCTCCCATTAAATTAAACTAAAAACAAGATATAGCCACAAAAGTAACATATTCCTGAGACTGGGGGGCTGCCTTCCCTGCGTCCCACTGTGCATCAGCTGACCAGCAAGAGATTTTTAACTATTTTTTAAAAAGAGATTTTTAACTATTCTTCTTATGATGCTAAAAACTTAAAATATTTGGCTAAACCACAATGACTTTTGCGCCAACCTAATAGCTCAATGAATTTCTCTGTTTGGATTCTAATTGGTGTTTACAAGTTTCTGAGTATTGACAGCAATTTTATTTTTTAAAATTGTTTTTCAGATCTCACAGCTGAATTGAAAATGCCTGGTGTGTATTAGAATCTAGCCTATTGTAATCATAGAAGGCAGTACTGTTCAGTAACTAAAAGGCATGAGCTACTACTGATACAAACAGCAGTCCCAAATGAGTCCCCGAAATATTACGAAAATGAAAGGAGCCAGACACGGAGGCGTGCAAGCTGCATGCGCCCCTTTATTTTATCATACTTAGTCTCATGTGTCAATGTAGCGAGGGTATAGTATGTAGTTATTTCATCAGAACTAAGCCAAGTATTGCCACGAGGGTGTTTCGTGGATGTGGTTAACACCCACAGGCAGTTGACTTTGAGAAAAGGAGATTACCCTTGATAATATGAGTGAGCCTCATCCAATCAATCAAAGGCCTTCAGAACAAATACTGAGGTTTCTTGGAGAACAAATTCTGCCTCCAGGCTGCTGTATCAGCCCTTGCCTGAGCTAGCCTGCCGGCCTGCCCTGCTCACCCTGTGCACCCTCTGTTTTTGAACTTGTCAGCCTCCACAATTGTGTGAGTGAGTTCCTGAAAATAAAGCTCATTCCATACACGGTTTCTCTGAAGAATCCTGAAGTTCTAGAACAGGTGAGACTGCTCTACAGTGATTTTAAAAATGGCACAGGGGCTGGGCGTGGTGGCTCACGCCTGTAATCCCAGCACTTTGGGAGGCCGAGGTGGGCAGATCACAAGGTCAGGAGTTTGAGACCAGCCTGACCAACATGGTGAAACCCCATCTCTACTAAAAACACAAAAATTAGCCAGGTGTGGTGGCGCACGCCTGTAATCCCAGCTACTCAGGAGGCTGAGGCAGGAGAATTGCTTTAACCTGGGAGGCGGAGGTTGCAGTGAGCCGAGATCGCGCCACTGCACTCCAGCCTGGTGACAGAGCAAGACTCCATCTCAAAAAAAACGGCATGGGGCACGAGTGTGGGGATTGACTGGAGAGGGTGGGGGATGGACTGGAGAGAGTGGGAAAGAACTCCCTGGGTTGATGGAAGTGTTCTGCATCCTGATGGCCGCAGCTGTTAATGCAGCACGAATGGTTGTCAAGACTCATTGAAAAAGACACTTAAAGTGGACCCATTTTATTGTATGTGAATGATACCTCAATAAAACAGATTTTTTTAAAGGATTGTTTTATTTTAATGGCTGATCTATGTAATCACGGAGGCCAGTATGTACGGACAACGGGGGAGCTTTTATTTTTTGGTATCTTCCTCCTTGGACAAAGTCTTGAAGATCTCCTCCTTCTTGACTTGGAGGCGCTCTTCACGGCGCTTGCGTGCTTCCTTGGTCTTAGACCTGCGAGCCTCAGCCTAGTCAGCCAGGAGCTTCTTGCAGGCCTTGTCTGCCTTCAGCCTGTGGCTGTGTTCCATGAGAATCCGCTTGTTCGTGAACATATTCCCCTTCACCTTCAGGTACAGGCTGTGATACATACGGCGATCAGGCTTCTTCGATTCACGGTATCTTCTGAGCAGCCAGCACGGAATCCTCATTCTCCTCATCCACGTGACCTCCTCTGGCATTCGGGCATTGGCTGTACCCTTTTGCTTACCTATGCCTATGTGCCTGCCCTTCCGGCGGGCCAAGGTGCTTTTCCGGCATCGAGCTGGAATGGACAGTCACTGGCTTGGGGATGATCAGCCCATCTTTGATCAGCTTCCAGATCTGCTGACGGGAGTTGGCATTAGCGAGTTCATTGGTCTCCTTGGGGTCCAGCCAGACCTTCTTCTTCCCACAGCGGAGGACACTAGCAGCGAGCCTCTTCTGAAGCCTGAGCGTGCTCATGGCTGCGGCCACAGCAGCAAAAGGAAAGAGCTCAAATGAATTATTTTAAAGTCTAACTTACCATAAATTTTCTTCAAGTCTATGAAGGACTTTATATCTTAAGAGTCTGCAAATCACACTTCCCCCAAATACCTTTATTTTAAAATATGTTTTATTTAATTTTCTTTTTTTAAATTATTATTATTATTTTACAGAGTCTCGCTCTGTTGCCAGGCTGGAGTGCAATGGCGTGATCTCAGCTCACTGCAACCTCCGACTCCTTGCTTTAAGCAATTCTCCTGCCTCAGCCTCCAGAGTAGCTGGGAACTACAGATGTGCACCACCACGCTCAGCTGATTTTTGTATTTTTAGTAGAGATAGGGTTTCACCATGTTGGCCAGGATGGTCTCTATCTCCTGACCTCGTGATCCACCCTTCTCAGCCTCCCAAAGTGCTGGGATTACAGGCGTGAGCCACCGGCCCGGCCTTTAATTTTTATTTTTTTTGAGACGAAGTCTCGCTCCGTCGCCCAGGCTGGAGTGCAGTGGCGCGATCTTGGCTCACTGCAACCTCTGCCTCTCAGGTTCAAGGGATTCTTCTGCCTCAGCCTCCCAAGCAGCTGGGATTACAGGTGTGTGTCACCACGTCCAGGTAATTTTTGTATTTTCATTAGAGACAGGGTTTTACCATGTTGGCCAGGCTGGTCTCAAACTCCTGATCTCAAGTGATCCATCTACCTCGGCCTCCCAAAGTGCTGGGATTACAGGCGTGAGCCACCGCACCTAGCCTAAAATAATTTTGATTTATTTAGATTTCAACTACTAAATATTATTTGAAAATACCAAATGTGGATTATTTTCAATTTCAGACTTAGTAACAATCTCAGTGTTATCATAGATGTAGCCTATTGGTAGGATGTGCAATCTTTCCATGGAAAACAAACCACATTTAGAAGCTTGCTAATAGGAGGCGGAGGCACCCTGTCTGCCCGGCTTGTGGGCTGGCTGGAAGAGCAATGGCAGGAGGACCTGCACTGAGACTCTGTGATTAGAGGGGCACGTGCTGGTTTGTGTCTCTGACTTTTGACACATGGCTGCCTCGTACTGCTGGAGCCCGGCAAGGCGTTAGATGTCATCCCATCATTCTTCTTTCCTCCTGCCAGAAAAGATCCGATCCTCATATTTTTGTCACATGCTGAAGGAAGGGAAGAAAGATGGGAAGAAATGAAGGAACAGAAAAAAGAAAGGGAGGTAGGAAGAGAGGGATGGACGGAAGGATGTGACTAGCCCTGTGTTGTGAATTGAGAAGGAAAACCCCACAGTCACCTGCTCCTGTCTCCTGGGCCTTTCTTCTCCGGCCTGGGGGCATTTGCCTGTCCCCTTTCTTCCTCTGCACTCCTTCCTTGTTTCAAACAAAAAAAAAATCTCTACACGCTGTATTGAATGTGGTGGAGAGAACATCGGTGTTCCAGGAACAAGAGAGATGTGTGCATGTGTGTGGTCTGCAGAATAATGACCCTCCAAATGTCCATGCCCCAATCCCCAGAGCCAACTTGTGGCTATGTTACGTTGCATGGCTAAAGGGACTTTGCAGATGGCCTTAAAGTTCCAGGATTTAACCTCGGCAGATTATCCTGGATCATCCTTGCGGGCCTAATCTAATCGTGTGAGCATTTCAAAGCGAGAACTTTCTCCAGCTGCAGTCAGAGATTCAGCAGAAAGGAGAGTCAGAGCGCATCAGAGCACGAGAGGGACCTGGCCGGCGGGTGGTGGAGGGGTGCGTGAAGGGCATGAGCAGGAACCTGGGCCGCCTCGGGGAGCCAAGACTAGCCCCTGACTGAGAGCCGGCATGAAGATGGGAATCTGACCAAACGAACAGCATTCAGACCACAGCCTGGAAGAGTCTGGGAGGAGATTCAGTCCGAGAGCCTCCAGAAAGGGGCGTGGGCCTGCTGTCACCTTGATTTCAGGCTCCCACCACCCTAAGCAGAAGACCAGTCAGGCAAAACTGCCCGGCCTTCTGACCTGAGGAACTGTGAGAGAATAAATAGGTGTTGTAAGCCGTTAAGATTGCGGTAATGTGTTACAGCAGGGAAAGAAAGCAAGTACGTGTACATGCAGAAATACGCGGGCTTTCATAGACTCACTCATCTTGCTGTCCCCTGCTGTCCTTGAGCCTCGGTGTCTTGTTCAGTCATTGATTCACGTTGACATGCTGACACCATAGCCGTGTATGAGCAGTCCACTACTAATTGCCCCTGCTTTTATTCAGCAGGGGCCACCTTGTGAGCTGCTGGCAGGTGCAGGTATGAAGAGGGGTCGACTGTGCTCTTAGCGGCACCCTGGACACAGCCCAAGTGTCCAGAATGGCACTGAGCACTTCACCTGCTCCTCATTCAGCGCTTACAAAGCTCTACGAGCTGAGTATTGTCATCCTGCTTTTTCAGATGATGAAACTGGGGCATAGAGGGATTCGATAATTTGCTTAAGGCTTCACAATCACCAAGAATCGAAGTCCAGTTTAAGGTAAGTTCTAACCTTGAGGCTGGGGCTTGTGACCTCGAGTCTGGATGTTATTAAACACGGCGCAGTCCTGGGGCTTTTATGCTTCCGACTCCACCGTCCATGGCGTGGGGAGGCTGCAGGGGAGCCTCAGCACTGGCTCTGCCTGGCAAGAAGGACACCCTCATGCAGTGACCTGGAAACTGAACCCTCTGGTCACTGCCTCCCGGGATCGTCGTGCGTGGGGACAAGAGGATGGTGGTGGGGCAGGATTTTCCACGCAGCTGCTGTGGCTGATTGCTTCGCCGGTGCTGCGGGGAACACACAGTGGATCCTGTGCCGTGGCTGGAGGGGCCGCTCCTGACGCCCCATCCTTGACCTTTGCAGATTGGCCAGGGGAGCACGTCATGTGAACTCCTTAGCCCTTCCTCCCAATAGCTCTCTCTTTCAAGGATTTCCTGTCTTCTTCTCCACATGCGTGGCTGCTGTAGGCTCTGCTCCCCTCGGATTTCTCCCAGTTGCCCTTGGAGCAGCCTCCCGGCAGTTTCTACCGAGGCCCTCTCTCTGGTTCCCAGCTTCCCTCCAAGCCCAGCCACCAGGAAGGAATCCCACCTTCCTGGAGTTTGGTGTTCTTGTCTTCTATGCAGAAGGTTAAGCCCAGAGTGCCTGGCGGCATGGCCCTTGGACCTCACCTTGCAATGGCAGAGGCAGAGGCATGCATTCCTGAGGTCCTTTCCCAGATAGCTGGAGGGGAGTAGAATTGTGGGGAACCGAACCCTGTCCCCTTTTCTTTCCCCGGACTCCTCCCATTGGGTGGAGCAGCTCCTTTTCTTCTGGGCGTGGCCCTTCGCACGGAACCAGGGGACACACTCTCAAAGCCTTCACTGTTCAGTTTAAGATAACGAGCCGAAGTACAGGTGTAAGACAGAAAAATGTGGAAGGCTCCTTGCCCTGTGTGCCAGCTCTCTGTCCCTGAGTCTCTGGGTTGGATGTCTGAGCAGATGTCTGAGAGGACAGCTAGAGGGGGGCCTCGGAGGAGGAGCCAGTCTGCCACAAGCGGCCCCCCCCCCGCCGGGCTGGGTACACTGGCACCTGTGGTCGGCTGGAGAACGGCCCCCCAAGGACGTCCACGTCCCAATCCCTAGGACCTGTGACAGCAGCCTCTGGAGCACAGGGACTGTGCTGATGTGATTGAGTGAAGGATCCTGAGACGGAGAGGATCCTGGGAGACGCGGTGGCCAGGGGGAGTCACAGAGTGGGCAGGAGGGCTGGAGAGGGAGGAGAGGTGACTCAAGCAGAGGCTGGCGGGCTGGCCACCGCGAGGAGGCAGGCGGCCTCACGGTGGGAGAGGCAAGGGCTGGCGACTCCCCTGGATCCTCCAGAGGGCACCAGCCCTGATTTCAGCCCTGTGAGGCTGCTTTGAGATTTCTGACCTGCAGAATCTTACGAGGACATTTGTGCTGTTTTAAGCCACTAAATTTTGGTCACTAGGTAGAGCAGCCACAGAGAATGAATATGCGTCCCCAGGGAAGTTGGAGAATGTGGGGGCTGGGGGCCAAGCAGCCACTTTAGGAGCCTTGGAGCAGTGGCCTCAGCAGAGGCCCCGGGCCCTCCTCAGGAAGGGGACGCAGCTGCAGGGCACCAGGTTGCCCCAGAGTGTCCCCGAAGGGCGTGGAGAAGCTCCTGCTCCCCTATGTGGGTGAGGACTGAACTCAGCCTGCCTGTGTGTGTCTGTGTCCATATGTGTCCCTGTTGGGGCGTGCGCCTCTGTGAGTGTATCTGTCTCCGTGTGTGTCTATCTCTGTGAGTGTGTCTCTGTGTGTCTACTGTGTGTGTCTCTGTTTGTGTGTGTGTCTGTATGTCTCTGTGTCTGTGTGTGTGTGTCTCTGTATATCTCTGTGTGTGTATCTCTGTGTGTCTGTCTCTGCGTCTCTGTCTCTGTGTGTCTCTGTGTGTCCATCTCTGTGTATATCCCTGTGCGTGTGTCTCTGTGTGTGTCTGTCTGTGTGTCTGTGTCTGTGTGTGTGTCTCTGTGTGTCTGTGTCTCTGTGTGTGTGTCTCTGTGTGTCTGTCTGTGTGTGTGTCTGTGTGTATGTCTCTGTGTCTCTGTCTCTGTGTGTGTCTCTGTGTGTCTCTGTCTCTGTCTGTGTGTGTGTCTGTGTGTATATCTCTGTGTGTGTCTGTCTCAGTGTGTATCTATCTCTGTGTGTCTGTGTCTGTGTGTGTGTGTCTGTGTGTGTCTGTCTCTGTTTGTGTGTCTCTGTGTATATCTCTGTCTGTGTCTATCTCTGTGTGTGTCTGTCTCTGTGTGTATCTGTCTCTGTGTGTCTGTGTCTGTGTGTGTGTCTGTCTCTGTATCTCTGTCTGTGTCTCTGTCGCTACGTGTGTCTGTCTCTGTGTGTCTCTGTGTATGTGTGTGAGTGTGTAGGCCCTGAAGAGGTCTTGTGGTCACCATGAGGGGCCCCCACCTGAGGGTGAAGAAGGGTGTTGGCAGAGGGCTGGGAGGGTAGATGTGGGTCTGAGAGACGCCAGTGTGGACGCCTGCTAACGGAGAGCCAGAGCCCTCCCCTGTGAGAGACCAACAGAGAGAAAGAGGGACGGGGACCCCAAACCAGTGTGTTTATACAGATTTGACAGAGCTCGGGCCTAATATGAACCCTGAACCCAGTTGTAGAATGGTGCCATGCTTGTTGCCTGATGTTTGCAGACTGAGAAAGACAAACCCCCTGGGTGTGTGTCTCACCAGCACACTAGCTTTGTTCAGTGGGGAGGCCACTTCAGCACCTGCTCCCTAAGGCCTCCCCCAGTGTCCTGGGCCCGGCAGTGAGCGCGGGAGTGATGCAGGGGCACAATGACCCCATGGACGGCTGCAGAAAGAATGGGAAAGACCTGCGTTTCACCCACCTCCATGCGTATGTGAGCCTTGAGGTACAATCATCCCACCGTCAGAGATTTACTCATGTGGCCTCAAACAAAGGAGAAGGCAGTGATGGCTTCTGAGCAGATGGTGCTTTTCCCAAGACGGAGTTGACAGGATCTTAGAGCATGTCTGGGATTTTAGTTACTCCAGGCAAGGGAACCCGCACGTGGATCTCAGAATTGTGAATATACTAGTGTAAATCTAGGGTAAAGGTTGTTGACATTTTTTAAACCAAGATGATACCCTAATTGTTTTTTAATTTTTCAAATAATTATTTTTATTTTGTTTTAGAGAAGGAGTCTTGCTCTGTCACCCTGGCTGAAGTGCAGTGGGATGATCATAGCTTACTGCAGCTTTGAACTCCTGGCCTCAAGTTATCATCCTCCCTCAGCCTCCCAAATAGCTCGGACTACAGGTGTACGCCACCATGTCCGGCTCCTAATTGCTTTTTAAAATTAATGGACTTTATTTTCTAGAGAAGCTTTAGGTTTACAGAAATTGAGCAGATGGTACAGAGAGTTTCCATATACCCCCTTCCTCCACACACAGATACAAATTCTGCTATTAGTCATGTTTTGTACTAGTGTAACTAGTAATTATTGACATTAACTACAATTGATGAACTGCTATTATTGATATCTTGTTATTAACTAAAGTTCATAGTGCACATAAGCGGCCACTCTTTGTGTTGTATAGTTTCATGAGTTTTCACAAATGCATCATGTCATGTATTCACCATTATAGTATCATATAAAACCGTTTCATGGCTGAGCATGGTGGTTCACACCTGTAATCCCAGCACTTTGGGAGGCTGAGGCAGGAGGATTGCTTGATCCCAGGAGTTTGAGACCAGCCTGGGCAGCATAAGAAAGGAAAACTTAGCTAGGCATGGTGGTATGCACCTGTAGTCTTAGCTACCCAGGAGGCTGAGGCGGGAGGATTGCTTGAGCCTCTTAGCTACCCAGGAGGCTGAGGTGGGAGGATTGCTTGAGCCTCTTAGCTACCCAGGAGGCTGAGGTGGGAGGATTGCTTGAGCCTGGGAGGTCAAAGCTGCAGTGAGCCATGACTGCATTACTGTGCTCCAGCCTGGATGACAGAATGAAACCCTGTCTCAAAAAAAAAAAATCATTTTACTGTCCTAAAAATAGCCTGTGCTCCACCCATTCGTCCCTCCCTGCCCCCAACAACCCCTGGCAACCATTGCTCTTTGTATTGTCTTTATAGTTTTGCCTGGAATGTCATGTAGTTGGCTTCATATAGCCTGTGGCCATTCCAGATTGGCTTCTTTTAATTAGTAATAGACGTTGAAGACTCCTCCAGGTCTTTTCACAGCTTGATGACTCATTGTTTCTATTGTTGAATAGTATCCCACTGTATGACGCACCACGGTTTTTTGATCCATTCACCTTTTGGAGGACACCTTCGTAATTTCGACTTTTGGCAATTGTAAGTGAAGTTGCTATAAACATTCATTTCAGGTTTTTGCATGGACATGTTTCCAACTCATCTGGAATAATTCCTAGGGGTGTGGGTGCTGGATCCTATGGTAAGAGTGTGTTTAGCATTGTAAGAAACTGACAAACTGTCTTTCAAATTGGCTGCACTATTTTACATCCCCACCAGCAATTAATGAGAGTTCCTGTTGCTCTTCATCCTTACTAACATTTGATATTGTCAAATTTAAAGTTTAGCCATTCTAATAGGCATGCAGTGGTATCTCATTGTTGTTTTATTTTATTTTATTTTTTTGAGACAGAGTATTGCTCTGTTTCCCAGGTTGGAGTGCAGTGGCATGATCTTGGCCCACTGCAACCTCCACCTCCGGGGTTCAAGTGATTCTCCTGCCTCAGCCTCCCAAGTAGCTGGGATTACAGGTGGGAGGCCACCACGCACAGCTAATTTTTGTATTTTTAGTGGAGATGGAGTTACACCATGTTGGCCAGGCTGATCTCGAACTCCTGGCCTCAAGTGATCCACCCGCCTTGGCTTCCCAAAGTGCTGGGATTACAGGTGTGAGCCACAGCACCCGGCCTGTTGTTTTGATTTTCAATTACTTAATTATGTATGATGCTGAGTATCTTTTCATATGTTTATTTGCCATGTGTATATCTTCATTTGTGAGGTTCAGATCTGTTGCCCATTTCAAAATTGGGTTGTTTGTGTTCTTACGGTTACATTTTAAGAGTTCTTTGTATATTTTGGATACAATCTTTTATAAGGTATGTGTTTTGCCAGTTCTTTTCCAGTATGTGGCTTATCTTTTCATTCTCTTAACAATGTCTTTCATGGAGCAGAAATATTTAATTTTAATGAAGTCCAACTTATCATATTTTTCTTTTATGGCTTATGCCTTTGGTGTTGTATCTAAAAACTCGTCTCCAAATCAAAAGTCACTAAAATATTCTTCTATGTAATCTTGGGGGAGTTTTATTGTTTTGCATTTCACATACAGGTCTATGATCTATTTTACACTTATTATAGCTGAAAGGCCAAGAAGCAGTCAGGTCTATGATCCATTTTATTTATTTATTTATTTTTGAGACAGAGTCTGGCCCTGTTGCCCAGGCTGGAGAGCAGTGGCATGATCTTGGCTCACTGCAACCTCTGCCACCCAGGCTCAAGCGATTCATGTGTCTCAGCCTCCCGAATAGCTGGGATTACAGGTGTGTGCCACCACACCCGGCTAATTTTTGTCTTGTTAGTAGAGATGGGTCTCACCATGTTGCCCAGGCTGGGCTTAAACTCCTGCCCTCAAGAGATCTGCCCACCTCGGCCTTCCAAAGTACTGGGATTACAGGCGTGAGCCATGACGCCCAGCCTAAGAGGTTTTGTTTTTGTTTTTTTTTTTGTTTTAGAAATAATTCACAGGTGGGGATAACTTCATTTCAAAAATAAAAATATCAGCTTTATGATATTCCAAAACATGGTTTTGTTCTCTAGATTATACAAATCAGGCAGCTCTAAGGCAGTTCTGAGCCTAAATATCAGCAGAAGGCACAGAACGGAAGGCATAGACTCTGTTCGAAGTGTCTGGTAATTTCCCTTCACTGGGAGCCTATTTGAATTCAAATTATGCACAATAAGTGTCAAGTCTTCCCCCATTTATCTGAGTAACTTAAAAATCCTGTGCAGTGAAACAAGATCTCTGTACATCAAAGTCCCCTTAACCATGTGAATCTTCTCACGTTCTCATGGGAGGAAGTGCCAAGTTGACTGATAAGATGACTTTCTGCTTGCTCCAGAAAGAAAGGCTCCTCCACTCCCAGAAGACGCAGCGTGGGCCTTTGTCTCTTCCCTTCTCCCGCCACCGGCTCGGATCCGCCTTCTCCCTGGGAAACCATCATGGCACTCAGCACTTTGCTGTCTGCCGAGTGGGTCACCTCCTGAGACGTGCCACTGACAGGGCAGTACACCATTAAGAGGGGTGACTCATTCTCAGGGGTCCGGTACTGAGTCTTCTGTCAATACATTCAAACAAAAGGCGTTATAAAACCAACTGAAAACAAGAAATTCTAGAATGTGCCCTTTCCAACTTGACCCACGCATGCTGGTTCAGGGAGCACTTCAAGTCCTCTGAGCTCTAAAAATAAGCCTCAGTGAGTGTCCATGAGCCTGGGGGTGTAAGACCAAGACCCTGGCTCCTTGGGATCACGGTGGATGGGAGTATAACTGGAGATGCATTGGCCCCAGGCGGCCCACCAGAAGCAGGGTGGACAGATAGCTGGGTGGAGCTGGGGCAGGGCCACCACCCTCCTGGCCAGGCTGGGGCTGGGCACTGGGAATCTAAGTCATGGTATTCCCAGCCCAGCTTTAATTCGAGGACCCCGCGTGCATTTCCAGCCTCTCCGGGTTTGTTTGCTCATCCTTGATAAGTCACAGTTCTTGCTCTGCTGACCTACCTGCCATAAAGAGTTATGAGGCCAAAAGAAAATAAATGAAAGCTCTCTGAACACTGGTGACGTGCTTCCTACCTGTGAAATGCTCTTACTGTGAATCTTTGCAGAGCTGGGAAATCATTTTCTGGGCCCAGCTCTTACTGTCGAAGTACAAACAACCTGAGAAACACTGCAGACCCGCAATCCTGCCAGCTGAGCCCAGGCCTGCAGATACACACCCTGCAGAGCGCAACCCTCCGGCCCTGGGCGCCTCCCAGCCAGGGCGCGGCTGCCCTCTGCTGCCTCCTGCTGGCCGAGTGTGAGCAGCCCCTCAGCGCAGACTTTCCTTCCAGTCTGGCAGGTTTAGCCCCAGCGGGAGGCGGCATCACCCCAGTTCCTACAAACGACCTCGGGAATGGAAAGCGCACCCGGGCCGAGGCCCGCGCTCCTGCCCGTGCTGACCATGTGGACACCCAGGGACTTGGGGCAGGGCGCGGAGGCTGCCTGGATGTGTGGCGCAGGCGCCTGCGTGGAAACACCAAGTCCAGAAACCCTGGCTCTGGCGTGGGCCGCAGCAGGTGTCTGTGTCCCCCCCAGCAGGTGTCCGTCCCTCCCCAGCAGGTGTCTGTCCCTCCTCAGCAGGTGTCTGTCCCTCCCCAGCAGGTGTCTGTGTCCCCCCAGCAGGTGTCCGTCCCTCCCCAGCAGGTGTCCGTCCCTCCCCAGCAGGTGTCCATCCCTCCCCAGCAGGTGTCTGTCCCTCCCCAGCAGGTGTCTGTCCCTCCCCAGCAGGTGTCTGTGTTCCCCCAGCAGGTGTCCGTCCCTCCCCAGCAGGTGTCTGTCCCTCTCCAGCAGGTGTCTGTCCCTCCCCAGCAGGTGTCTGTGTCCCCCCAGCAGGTGTCCGTCCCTCCCCAGCAGGTGTCTGTCCCTCCCCAGCAGGTGTCTGTCCCTCTCCAGCAGGTGTCTGTGTCCCCCCCAGCAGGTGTCCGTCCCTCCCTAGCAGGTGTCTGTCCCTCCCCAGCAGGTGTCTGTCCCTCTCCAGCAGGTGTCTGTCCCTCCCCAGCAGGTATCTGTGTCCCCCCAGCAGGTGTCCGTCCCTCCCCAGCAGGTGTCTGTCCCTCCCCAGCAGGTGTCTGTCCCTCTCCAGCAGGTGTCCGTGTCCCCCCAGCAGGTGTCCGTCCCTCCCCAGCAGGTGTCCGTCCCTCCCCAGCAGGTGTCCGTCCCTCTCCAGCAGGTGTCCGTCCCTCCCCAGGAGGTGTCCGTCCCTCTCCAGCAGGTGTCCGTCCCTCCCCAGCAGGTGTCTGTCCCTCCCCAGCAGGTGTCCGTGTCCCCCCAGCAGGTGTCCGTCCCTCCCCAGCAGGTGTCCGTCCCTCCCCAGCAGGTGTCTGTCCCTCTCCAGCAGGTGTCTGTCCCTCCCCAGCAGGTGTCTGTGTCCCCCCCAGCAGGTGTCCGTCCCTCCCCAGCAGGTGTCTGTCCCTCCCCAGCAGGTGTCTGTCCCTCTCCAGCAGGTGTCTGTGTCCCCCCCCCAGCAGGTGTCCGTCCCTCCCCAGCAGGTGTCTGTGTCCCCCCAGCAGGTGTCTGTCCCTCCCCAGCAGGTGTCTGTGCCCCCCCAGCAGGTGTCTGTCCCTCCCCAGCAGGTGTCTGTCCCTCCCCAGCAGGTGTCTGTGCCCCCCCAGCAGGTGTCTGTGCCTCCCTCCCAAGGCAGGTGTCTGTCCCTCTCCAGCAGGTGTCTGTGCCCCCCCAGCAGGTGTCTGTCCCTCCCCAGCAGGTGTCTGTGCCCCCCCAGCAGGTGTCTGTGACTCCCTCCCAAGGCAGGTGTCTGTGACCCCAGAGCAAGTGGCCAGTGCCTTTCCTGGCAGGCCTCACCAGGAATTCTTCTGTCCCTTTGAGCTTCTCCGTAGGAAGCCAGTGGCACTGCCTGACCTCTTTTCTGCCAGTACCACTGTTTCCTAAGGTGAGTGCCCTGGGGTGAGTTTTTCTGGGGTGAGATCTCCTAGCGTAGGTGCCTCTGGGGTGAGCATTCCTGGGATGAGTTCTCCTTGGGTCAACGCTTCTGAGGTGAATGCTCCTGGGGTGGGTGCCCCTGGTCCAGGAGCCCAGTGTTTGCCACACACTTCCTCACCCCTTGGAGAAGGCTCTGAAGAAGCTGGGCGTTCAGTAGGAGAGACATGGGTGAACCAGGGAAGGGACAGGGAACCCAGCAGGTACATCACAGCCGGGTGAGCATGGTCACACTACACACACCACAAAACAACATAGACACCCCACACAACACACAACACGCCACACACACCACAAAACCACACACACACCCCACACAACACACACACATGCCACACACACCACAAAACCACACACACACCCCACACAACACACACACATGCCACACACACCACAAAACCACACACACACCCCACACAACACACACACACGCCACACACACCACAAAACCACACACACACACCCCACACAACACACACACCCCCACACAACACACACACACGCCACACACACCACAAAACCACACACACACACCACACAACACACACACGCCACACACACCACAAAACCACACACACACCACACAACACACACCACAAAACCACACACACAACACACACACACACACGCCACACACACCACAAAACCACACACACACCACAAACACACACACACACGCCACATACACCACACGACCACACACATCACACACCACACACCACAAAGACCACACGCAAAACACAACCACACATACACCACAAAACCTCACACACAAAAACACAACCACATACACTCACCACACACACATCACCGCATACACCACACACACACCAAAGCACACACCACATGCACCACACACCACACACATACCACATACTACACACACGGCACACACACACACAAAACCACACACAAAACACAAACACACACATACCACATTCCCACCATACATCACACACACACCACACAAGCACACATCACATGCACCACACTCCACACACACCACACACACATTACATATGCCACACACACCCACATTTCACACGCCATGCACACCACAAAACCACACAGAAAACACAAACACACATACACCATAAAACCACACACACAAAACCCACCATACACACTACACATGCACCACACACACAGATGCACACCACACATCACATAGCACATACACACCCCACACATCACAGCCCTCCCACATACACACACCACACATACTGAAAACTATACACACACACACACTACACACACACGGCACACATCACACTCCCCACCACACACTGCACGTGTGCACACACACACACTCACATACACCACAACACTCAAAGGCGTGGGCTGGTGCCAATGTGCCAACCCCACAGGTGCCTGCCCCCTGGGATGAGTGTGCCCTGGAAGGAGGCGGTCAGGGAGATATGGGTGGGCACCCCTGCGACTCTGCACAGTGTTTGGGGCTGCCAGGGGCTGGCGGGGGAATGGGGAGCAGGATCCTGGCTGGGCCCTCCAGCCCCCCACTGACTTTTCAGGCCATCTTGGCCATTTCTAGCAGGGTCCATGTGGCGTGGCTACAGGTTTTGGGCCACTCACCATGCCGGGCATGGCCAACTCACTGCCCTCCAGCCTCAGGGAATGCTCCAAGAAGTGGTCTGCAGGGAGCCCTCGTTTTTCCTGTCATCAGACCAGACAGATGTAGCCCGTGTGGTACTTGGTGTGCATGGTGCTTGGTGAGTGTGGTATTTGGTGAGCATGGTACTTGGTGTGCATAGTACTTGGTGAGCCTGGTACTTGGCATGCATGGTACTTGGTGAGTGTGGTACTTGGTGAGCCTGGTACTTGGTGTGCATAGTACTTGGTGAATATGATACTTGGTGTGCATGGTATTTGGTGAGAGTGATACTTTGTGTGCATGGTACTTGGTGAGTGTGATACTTGGTGTGCCTGGTACTTGGTGAGTATGGTACTTGGTGTGCATGGCACTTGGTGAACATGGTACTTGGTGTGCATGGTATTTGGTGAGTGTGGTACTTGGTGAGCATGGTACTTGGTGAGTGTGGTACTTGGTGTGCATGGCACTTGGTGAGCATGGTACTTGGTAAGCGTGGTACTTGGTGTGCCTGGTACTTGGCATGCGTGGTACTTGGTGTGCAGCCACCTCGGGGAGTAGCCTTGCACCCACTCCACAGGGACAGGCCTCTCTTCTGCCAGCCTTGGACTGGGCTGGATGTGGAGGAAGTCTGCTGTATCTTACAGCAACGATTCTTCCCATTGAGGGGAGAGGCCATTTCTCTTACTGTCTCCTGTCTCCAAAGAAAAGGAGGAAGTTAGAACTGAAAAATAACAGACTGATCAGCGCCACTGGCCAGGCCTGAAGGTTAAAGATCAACCCTCACCCTAAATCACTTGTGCTATCTATAGATCACAGACAATGGCATGGAGAAATGCTCGCCTTGCTTACCCCCACCTAGTCACGTACCCCATGCTTGCTCAATCTATCATGACCCTGTCACGTGGACCCCTTAGAGTTATAAGCCCTTAAAAGGGCCAGGAACTCTTTCTTTGGAGCTCAGTTCTTGAGACGCAAGTCTGCCGATGCTCCTGGCTGAATAAAGCCACTTCCTTCTTTAACCCGGTGTCTGAGGGGTTTTGTCTACGGCTCGTCCTGCTACACCACGATGTCCAGTGTCGGGGGGGGCATTGATTTCTCTGTTCTCTGGTGGATGTGGAGCTGTGTGAGGGTGGAGACCCCTTCCTACCATGGTGGTCTCCAGTCCTAAGCCCAGGGCTCAAAGCATGGTGTGGAGGAGGTGATGTTTGATATGGGGCAAGTGTCCCTGGTCATTCAGTCTCAGGATGTTTCCCCCCACCCTGTAACCAGGAAGCTCCCCAGTGCTTTAGAAGGTGGCTGCAAAGTTGCCCAGGGCAGGGCCGGCCTCTGCTCCACCAGAGCAGGGCTCAAGGAGGGAGAAGAGGAGCCTGGACCCAGTGTGGCCTCCCAGGGGATGTGGGCAGCCTCAGGGAGCGAGTATGGGGTGGGGCTGCGCTTCCAGGGAAAGCTGATTGGCCAGAGGCCTCCTGGTCCTCACTCTCTGCTGCCTCAGAGGGGAGGGAGATGATGGCCTTCTCTTCTCCTGCGCAGCCTCTCCCTGTTACTAGTACCCCCCCGAGTGATAGAAGCCCCCTGCAAACTAGCTGGGCCACTCTTGGGCAGAACCCACGTCAGCCTGATCTGACCTCTTCCCAGGATTTCTGACGGGACCTGGTAGGGGAGGATTTGGGTCATGAGGCTGTTGAGACATAAAGCCCAGTGTTGCCTGGAGCTGTTTCCCGGCTCCAGGCAACGTTGAGGGTGGGGGGTCAGAGGGAAGCAGAGAGATGGGTCAGAGTGAGAAATGCCCTGAGCCCAGGCAGGGATGGAATCAGCTCAGCCAGTGGGGCCGGAGAGTGCCGGAGCCCCCAGGATCCTGAGAGGACAGCGATGGTGTTAGCGGTGGGGAGGACCTCGCGGGCCTGGAGTGGAGACCTTGGCTTCCAGGACTCTGCCTGTGTGGGGGAGGACTACACTTTGGTCATCTGTGTCTCAGCCTGGGATGCTCTGGGGCCTGCCCAGGCCACTCCCTCACCCCATGCCCATGCCTGAGGCCAGAAGGAGGGTCAGTGGACCCAGGCAGCCCCCACCCATCAGCACCTGGGTCAGCCCCTGGGCCCCACCCTGCCTGCCTCCAGGGCTTTGGCCACGTGGACCTATCCGAGGGTCCTGGCTGGGCCCCACCCACACCCCGGCCCTCCCTGCAGACCAGCCTCCGGGCTAGAGCTACCTGCATCCACCTCATTGTTTGTGACTTTTCCGATGAAAGTTTTCCACACGCAGGCACACCTCCTTCCCCTCCTCTTATCACGCTTCACTGTATTGCATTTTTCACACGCTGGCTGTTTCCGGCATCACCACACAGGACAAGTCCATAGGCACCATTGTTCCCAGAGCCTGTGGTCACTTCATTAGTGTTTTTTTGCAATGAATATTTCAAGATGAAGGTATGTACATTTTTTAGACATAATGCTATCACTATCACACTTTATTAGGCCGCAGTGTAGTGTAAACATACATTTGACATGCACTAGGAAACCAAAAAGTGTGTGTGGCTGCATTTGTTGTGATCACCACTGTGCTGTGGCCTCTGGAACTGAGCCCACGATGCCCTGAGGTTTGCCCGTGCCGCCTCATCCTCCAGGCGTCTCTCTGAGCTCCACCTTGCACTTGGAAGAAATGCAGCGAGAGATGAGCTGACACCCAAAAGGAATAAAAAACCACGGAAAATCTTTGCTGTAGCCTCTCGAGAAGTGTCTGAGAGGAATGGTGCTGCATGAACAATGGATCCTGCCACTCCCCAAAACGTCTGTCCACCAAGCAGGGCGCTCTCTTCTCGGACTTCATCCAAACCCAGCAGTCCCCAGCCTCTCCCTGTGGGTCTCGATGTGCTGTCTTCTCTTCGGCGAGAACTCTTTCTTTTTTTTTTTTGAGATGGAGTTTTACTCTTGTTGCCCAGGTTGGAGTGCAATGGCACCATCTTGGCTCACTGCAACCTCCACCTCCTGGGTTCAAGCGATTCTCCTGCCTCAGCCTCTCAAGTAGCTGGGATTACAGGCATGCACCACCATGCCCGGCTAATTCTGTATTTTTAGTAGAGATGGGGTTTCTCCATGTGGGTCAGGCTGGTCTTGAATTCCCGACCTCAGGTGATCAACCCGCCCCGGCCCCTCAAAGTGTTGGGATTACAGGTGTAAGCCACCTACCTCGCCCAGCCAAGAGAACCCTTTCTAATGCTGATGTGGTTGGTCAATCATGGCTTCCACAGGTCAGTCCCCGTTGTGATTCTCAGAACCTGTGAATGTGACTTTACTTGGAAAAGGGGTTTTGTAATGTGATTAAGAGTCTTGGGATGGTGAGATCATCCTGGATCATCCTGGTAGGCCCTAAATGTCACTACACGCATCCTAATTAGAGAGAGGCAGGGGGAGACTTAACACACGCAGGGGAGGAGGCAGCGTGAAGACGGTGGGGAGAGTGGAGTGATGTGGCCAAAAGCCAACCACTGCTGGTAGCCCCTGCAGCGGGAGGAGGAAAGAAAGCCTCCCGAGGGGGCACAGCCCTGCTGACACCTTGATTTTGGCCCTGTGAAACTGGTTTTGGACTTCTGGCCTCTAGAACTGTGAGAGAATACAGTTCTGTTGTCTTAAGCTGTAAAATTGATGGTAGCTTGTTACAGCAGCTGTGGGAAACTGAGACACCCTCCAACCTGGTTTTGCTGGACTTCTCTGCGTACTTTGGATACAAGCCCTTTATCAGATGTGTGTTTTGAAAATATTTTCTCCCAGTCTGTGGCTTGTTTTTTCATTTACTTGACAGCATCTTTTACAGAGCAGAGGTTTGAAATTTTAATGAAATCAAACCTCAATTTGGGGTTGTATCTGAAAACCAAACCCAAGGTCACATACATTTTCTGTATGGCATATTCTGGAACTGTTCATTTTGCATTCTACATTTTGGTCTGTAATCCACTTTGAGTAAATTTTGTGAAGGGTAGAGGATCTGTGTCTAGACTGATTTTTTTTTTTTTTTGCACGGGGTATGCAGTTATTCCAGCAGCGTTTGTTGAAAAGATCGTCTCTGCGCTATTGTATTTGCTGGTGTGCCTTTGTCAAAGGTCAGTTGATACTTATGTGGGTCGATTTCTGCACTCTCTGTTTTACTATGTTGACTTGTTTGCTTGTTCTTTAGCCAATACCACACTGTCTTGATTACTGTCACTTTATAATAAGACTCGGAGTTGGGTGGTGTCAGTCCTCTGACTCTTTTCTCCTTTAATATTGTGTAGGCTATTTTAGGTCTTTGCCTTTCTGAATAAACTTTAAAATCAGTTTGTCAGTATCCATGAAATAACTCACTGGGATTTTGATTGGGAGTGCATTGAATCTATAGAGGAAGTCAGGGAGAACTGACATCTTGACAATATCGAGTCTTCCTATCCATGAACACGGAGTGTCTCTCTATTTATTTAGCTCTTAGATTTTTTTCATTAGAGTTTTGTTGTTTTCTTCATATGGGTCTTATACATATTTTGTTGGATTTATACCTAAGTATTTCATTTTCTTGGAGCTTACATAAATGGTGTTGTGTTTTTAATCTCAAATTCCAATTGTCCAATGAATGCTATAGAGGAAAGAAATGGACTTTTGTATATTAACCCTGTGTCCTGGAGCCTTGCTATAATCACTTATTAATTCCAGGATTTTTTGGGGGGTGATTCTTTGAGATTTCCTACATAGAAAATCATGTCATCTGTGAACAGTTTTGTTTCTTCTTTCTCAATCTATACACGTGTTATTTCCTCTTCTTTTCTTACTGCACTAGCTATGACTTCCTATACGACGTTGAATAGGAGTGGCCAGAGGGGACATCCTTGCCTTCTTTCTGATCTTAGAAGAAAAGCATCTAGTTTTTCACCATCTAATGTTAACTGTAGCTTCTTTGTAGATGTTCCTTATCTACTTGGGGAAGGTCCATTATGTAAAAAGTTTATTAAGTTACTACAGCCGAGCGTGGTGGCTCATGCCTGTAATCCCAGCACTTTGGGAGGTGGAGGTGGGCAGATCACCTGACGTCAGGAGTTCAAAACCAGCCTGGCCAACATGGTGAAACCCCATCTCTACCAAAAATACAAAAATTGTCCAGGTATGGTGGCAGGCGCCTGTAATCTCAGCTACTCGGGAGGCTGAGACACAAGAATCGCTTGAACCCGGGAGCCAGAGGTTGCAGTGAGCCGAGATCGCATCACTGCACTCCAGCCTGGGCAAGACAGCAAGACTCTGTCTCAAAAAAAAAAAAAAAAAAAAGAAAGTTTACTAAGTTACTATAAGACGTTCTCTTCTTAAAAAACCTATTTAGAAAGTTAGTTTCCAGAATTAACAGTGGAAACGTGGCAGGGAGCATCTCTCTCCACATGGCTGCCTGTAGATTCCCCTTTCCTCTTTGCTCCAGGACAGACCCCTCCTCCCTCCGGGCAGACCCTCCAGCTCCCACCCACTTGGGCCTCTCCTGTGCGTCTCCCGCAGCACCTAGGCCTCTGCCCTCCCCTTGCCCGCTGGTCTCTTCACTGTCAGAGTCTCCCGTGCTCCAGCCTTTCCTTCGGTCTGGAAAATTGCCAGATCACTGAAGTGACACCTTTGGATTTAATCAGCCTTTCTTAAAGGAAAAGTTGTTTTTCTAAAGCAGATTGGAAGAATGAGGTTTTATATGCTGGGTGTTGTAATACCTGATGAGGCTTTGTTCAATACCCTATTAGCACCTTCACGGGGCAACTAGTGTGTTGGGCCAGGATTCAGGGTCACCGCCCCTCCCCTCCCAGGGAGTCCCGTGCCTACCGGAGGAGGGGGGGAGTCTCAGGAGACAAAGGAAGGTGGAACCTAGGCAGAGTCCCAGTGACACTCCTGGCCGGGGGTGCAGCGACCTGGTGGGACGTGGCCTCCTATTATCTATCCCCTCTTACAGATGAGCAAACTGAGGCATAGCAGGAGGAAGTAACTTCCCAAAGTCACATGGCTAATTTGTGGCAATCCAGGCCTGGAGCCTGAAACCCGAGTCCGAGCAGGAGAAGGTGCTTCTCTATCTTCCCCTCCGATCCTGGCCCCCAGGCGAGGGAGGGCGGGCCAGCTGGGTGGGGAATGGTTCGGGGCCTGCAGTGACCACTGGCAGGGAATTGGCCATCTGTCCCCTCCCTCTCTGGGCCTGAAGAGACAAGAAGTCTGCCTCGAAAGACAGGAAGAGCTAAGAAGAGAGAAGTGGGCAGCAGGGCCTGTGGAGGGGAAGCAGGGACTGTGGGGTCTCCTCCGGCCACCGGAAGGAGAGCCTGAGCTCGACCCCTGAGGCTGTGTCCAGGATGCCAGCCTCCCTGCAAGGGAGGGGAGGGAGAAGCCTGGGTCCAGGTGGAAGCCCCTTCAGGCCCTGCGTGGCTCCTGGGGACTGTGCCCTAATGCCTGCTCATGTCCACCCTCCCACACCTGGAGGATTGGGGCTGGGGCTCTAGGGGTCCTGCTGATGGCCTGGAATGGGGCCGCCTGCAGCCGCCCAATGGGAGACAAAGCCCTGCATGTGTCACGGGCCGGGGCCTGCCCCCAAAGACACAAACCGTGCAGAAACAGAGGGCAGCATCCCCCTTGAGGCAGAAGCAGCTGAAGGTGTTGGGGGGCAGTGGCCTGTGGCTCAGTTTTCCTTAAGATCCACCCAGGCCCCTCAGCGCCACTGCCGTGTCCTCTGGGGAGGGGCAGGCGGGGCCAAAACGCTCTTTGGTAGGTTATGTAGACAAGGTCTAAATAATTTAGACTCGGGACACATTCCAAAGGCAAACATCCTCCCTGGCTGGGAGATCCTGACACCTGCCTCTTCCAAGGGAAAGTTCCCATGGAAACAAACCGCCACTCCCACCCGCCCCAGCTGAGAGCCCTCCACCCTTAGACTCCATTCTGGAGGGCTGGAGCTTTGCGGGGCACCTTCACACTCGCCCAGCTGGTGCTTCCCTGGCTGGGGAGGGCGGGCAGGGCTCGGGGCTTGGCCGGCAGCCCCTGGGGAGGTGCATACTCGCCTCCTGGCTCCTTCCTGGCATGGTCCCGGCAGCGGGAGGCAGCTGCACCAGGCCGGAGGAGGGGCTCAGAAAGCAAACGCAAGCAACAGCAATGAGAGGGACTTGCCGCGGGGTGGTGCTCTCGGACCTCATTTGAAAGGATTGGGAGCCGGCTCTTTCAGGCAACTTCCCTTTTCGTTGGACTTCTGTTAAATTGTCTGCAAAACCCACAGGAGGACATCTGAAATGAGATACAGCATTGCTGAAATTTATCACAGCTTTCATGTTCTGTTTCCCAAGACTACTCTCCCCTCCTCCTCGAGCTCCTCCTCGTTCTCCTCCACCTTTGTCATCCGTCATCACCTTTTAACTTTCATTGTTTTAGAGAGGAGGAAACTGAGGCATTTTCCTGACAGTCTTTGAAAGAAAGAGAAAAATCAAACAAAGAGAATGCCCGTTTCATTCACCTCATAAGAAACAGGTAGGAAAAAAAAATGCTCATTTCTCCTGAGTTTGGACACAAAATCTTCCTCCTGGGTTGGCCACTAGGGAACAAAGTTCTGGTCTCTGAGAAATGCTATTAAAATATTCCGTGACTATTTCATTTTAAATGTTAATCTGGTTTCCACTCGAGTTGTGAAGAAGAAAGTGGGAGATTCTGTCGCGATTCAGTCTTCAAAAAGGTTTTGTGATGTTAGGTTTAGAGCTTTGCTTATTGATGTCACCAAATCCGGCCAGTAAAATTAAGAGAAAAGAAGTAGGTTTGCCAAATCACGGGTGCAATTGCAGATGTGTTGTTGGTTACACGGACACCTCCACCGTTTCCATGGGTCCCTCAACTTTGCATTTCTGGAGCAGGGCTGGGCATGTGTAGCATTGCTGAGCCTCCCAGGAAGAAGCCAGGAGGTGAGTGTGCACCTCCTCGGGGGCTGCCCTCCAAACCCTGGGCCCTCCCACCCCCAGCCAGGGAAGCATCGGCTGGGTGAGTGTGGAGATGCCTCTCTAAGCTCCAGCCCCCAGAATGGAGTCTAAGGGTGGAGGGGTCTCAGCTGGGGGGTAGGAGTTTGTTTCCGTGGAATCTTCCCCTCGGAAGAGCAGGTGTCAGGATGCAGGAATGAGGGTCTCCCAGATGGGCCACGGGGACCAGTTTCCTGGGAGAAGTTGCACGGGGTCCGGTTCCAGCGCCCTGAGGGAAACAAAGCCATTTTCTAGCACAGAGGAAAGAGACACTGAGGCATTTTCCTTCTGGGGTGGGCGTGGTTGGGCCACTCTGCTTTCTCCTGGTGGATTTGGTCAGAGCCTCTGAGGTCTCCCTGCATGGCACTGGGCCTGGCCTGAGCACCATGTCCTTGGCCTCAGCCTGTCCTTCCCGGCCTCCCAGGAATTCCCCCCAAGCTCCGAGGTAGACCAGATACACGTTTGTTGAATTAAAGAATTAACGTTGGCCGGGCACGGTGGCTCACGCCTGTAATCCCAGCACTTTGGGAGGCCGAGGCTGGTGGATGGCCTGAGCTCAGGAGTTCGTGAACAGCTAGGGTAACACGGTGAAACCCTGTCTCTACTAAAGTACAAAAAATTAGCTGGGCATGGCAGCATGTGTCTGTAGTCCCAGCTATTCAGGAGGCTGAGGCAGGAGAATCGCTTGAACCCAGGAGGCGGAGATGGCAGTGAGCTGAGATTGCGCCACTGCACTTCAGCCTGGGTGACAGAGCAAGACTCTGTCTTAAAAAAAAAAAAAGTAGAATTAATGTCTGCTCTGAATTCCAGAGCTCCAGGAAGCTCTGATTATAGAAACAGGCCTCCTTGTTTATGGGGGTCCCCTACTGAGGAGACTCAAAGCCTGCGGCATCCTCTGACTTTGAAGGGGCTCCTGTAGGGAGTGGTTGCAGGGTGCAGGTGCGGACATGCCAGGCTGTGCAGGGGAAAGTGGCCAGGTGCTGTCCAGAACTAGCTCCAGCGCCTCAGGCCTCCGCTCAGTGCTGCCACAACCCGGGAATGAGGGCGTCCCCACAGCGCCCAGGAGCAGAGTCCACCCCTTCCAAAGCCAGCGTCCAGGGTTGCTGCGTGACCCGCTTTCCCCCCATGCCGGTCACACTCGGTACCACTGTTGACTCAGGAAACAGCTCCCTAGCAGGGGTGGAACCTGGAGTTGGGCTCCCTAGCCACAGCCACTTGAGGTTGTTCTGTGAGGGAGCTGGCAAGCCTGGGCTGCCCTGCTCCTGCCTGCTCGGAGTGCAGCACGAGGACGAGCCGGGACCTCTCCCCCGTGTGGTTAGTAAGAGTGGATGTGCAGCTCCAGGGAGTGAGCAGCAGGCTCTTTGGTTTCATGGAATCACGGACCAGCGCTGCCTCACTGAGGTCCCCGGGAGGGCATGACAGCCTGGGAACCTCTGGAGGATGGGATCCAGTTAGAGATCTTTTCCTCGTGAGGCTCAGCATTCGGGCAGCTCCTCTGTTGGATTAGGAGGGCCCTGACTTAGATCCCAGGCAGGGCAGGACCCGGGGACATCACAGGGTGCTTGAGGGAAGGGAGAGCCTGGGGTCTGGCTGAGTAGGAGGCGGGTTCGGCAGGCATGGTGACGCCTGGGCCTGTGAGGCCGCCCTGATGCACGGAGTGTTTGGGGCGGTGGCTGTGGCCATAGCACGAAGGAAGGAAGCACTAAGCCCAGAGCCCAGGGATGGGCACCGCTGAGGACCTGCAGGGACCCCCGTCCTTGAGGGGACTTGTCTACAGCAGTGGCACCCGGTGGCAGCAAGAGTGACAGTGGTGGATTCAGAAACCCACGCGGGCTCCTGGCATTTTGAGGGTGGGGTGGAGGTGGCGAGAGGGACTTCCTGGGAAGACATTATCTGGGAAACAAAAGGGAAGGGACCAGAATTATGTCCCAGGACACAGCACGCTGCCCTGTGTTCTCCTGGAGGGCCAGGGTGGGCCTCCACCTCTCTGGGGGTGCTCGTTCACAGAGGATCCCCTATGTAAGCCTCGGGTGAGTTGAGTTGGGGTCTGGCCAGGGCTCCCACTGATTGCCATTGTCTCCGCCTTCAGGGACCACAGAGACCCCCGGGCCTGCTCCGGGTTTGCCATGGGCTCTGGCTGCTGGGAATGGGGCCTGTGTGCCTGTGTCCCCGGCTCGGACTAAAGGCTCCCGCGTTGAAGTCAGGGGTTAATACCCTGCTCTTGATTCCAGAGCTGGAAAGACTCCACGTTCTCCTCTCTCTCTTGTCCCCTAGCTCCCTGTCATGGTGAGACCCCACTGGTCTGAGACAGCAGGGATTTCTGATTCTTCTGGTTACAGGTTGACGAACTCAGTTCCGACCTCTAGTCCCCGGGAGGACTTTCCAGAACCCTCTGTGCCACCAAGTTTCTCCTCTGGGTGTCCAGCATCCTGCCCTGAGGGTTGGCTCACGGCCCACTCCTGCTCCCGGCTGTGAGCCCTGGAGCCCCGGCGTCTCCCCAGAGCTTGGTACACCCAGCTGGTCAGAAAACCTTTGCAGGACCCAAGGGCAGGCCCTGCATGGACCCTGGGCCCAGGCTCCCGATTTCCTCTTGGTTGGACTCAGCCTGTGAGGGTGTCTGAAATCTGCAGCTGAGAATAGTGAGTGCCCCATGCTGTAGACACTCGAGACCCCTTGGTGCTGTGTAACCTCACAGTTCCTGCCACAAGGACGCTTCCAAGGAGCACGGAGTGTGACTCATTACATTTCACTGCATCTCTCAGTCACCTGATATTTTAAGTACACAGATTTCAAATAGGCTTCCAGGAACTTCTATCACTAGACCTGAAGATTCATTTGTCTTTATCTGGGAGCTCATTTTGTGTTCACTGTTTTAATACTTGTCATTTCAAACTAATATATCAGAGTCAAGCAGAGAATAATTTACTTGGAAAAATGAGACTCCATAGATAATATAAATAACAGTAAAAGAGTAATTTGGGTGCATTTGCAGGATATTTGAGGACTTGAATGGTGGTCTAGAATGGTACATGTTGTTTATTGTCACTAGTTTGCCAGGAAGGACATGTGATTCCACGAGTTGGAGGCATGGATGCTCTGGGCCCCGGGCCGCACCCTGTGACTTGCGGGCAGTGTGCTTCATGGGAAGGCGTGTGAGTAAGGGTGCTCTCTCGTTGGAAGCATCCTTGTCTCATCCCTAATCCTGCCATCTAGGCTGATAAGAAGTTAATGCCAGGAAAAGAAAATGTGTGTCTTTCGCCAACTCCGTCTGCTGGGTGGAGCTCCCATCTGTAATCCAGCCCCAGGCCAGATGGCTTCCCTCACCGCTGTATAACAGAAGCACACAATGTATACACAATGTATACACAATGTATAATCTGCATAAAAACCATGCATCTTCCCGGAGCACCGATCTTACTCCATGACAACTCACGGAAGCATTGTTTTCTATATTAAAATGAATAAGTATGTTATACATAGTGAAATATTGGCATTAAAAAAGAGTTAATAAATTTCGTAGGACGTTTTCTTTGTGTGGCTGGCAGGTCCAGGCCACATTCCAGATCCCTGGTGCAGCAAGCTCACTTGCCCAGAATCTGGGGAAAGCCCCGGCAGGTGTCATCCTGCCCAGCTTGGCCAATGGGCCCCGTAGTTACTCCCTGGGTGATCCTGGACGAGTTGCTCGGGTTGGAGAGCCTCCGTTTCCAGGCCGTGTTCCCTGGTGTGATCCCAGCAGGTGAGGGTGAAGGGACCTGGTCCTGGGCAGGCTTGCCCCTGCCTGGCCCCTCAATCTCCCCTGGCTGGAGGGTGGCTTCAGCTTCAGCCATTCAGACCTTTTGATTTAAACCAACTTCTGTTGTTTATTCAAGACATGACAATCCGAAGGTTTTGAAGCTTTTGCCTGGGAATTGATCTGGGTTTTAGTCTTTGGGCTCATTTTTACCCTTTAAAGATGACAGCATGTGCCATGTCGGGGGAAGAAAGGGGGATATTGTTGGTGAGTTGAGCTGTGGAAAGTATTTGGCAAGACAGGTCCTGGGGACCCAAGGACCCCCACAGAGCTCACCTGCACTTGCCTCCGCTAGACATGTGCTTATTCAAGGGGAAGGCAGTGCTTTGAAAATGCTGCTTCTCAGATGAGTGAGAAACCATGGACAGGCGTGTGGGAAGGCCCCGCAGCCTGGCCCCGCCAAAGGCACTTTGTTGCCTGCCCCCCGTTCTTGTGTCCTCCCCACCTCCCTGCCGAAGGATTGGTGGGTGATGGCCTCATGTTTATCACCACAAATTAAATACACTTATTTTGGACAACATTAACATGTTCATCAACTCTGATTTTTAAAATATTTGTTAAATTAGCAGGAGTTCAATTTTACTCCTTAAATGGGCTGAAAGTCAGTATTGATTTATTTAGTTGGCTCAACATAATTGCAAAGTAAGGTCTTAAACACAGCTTATTAACACTTTTAATAGGATGCAAAAAACCCAACATTTCAACAGAGATAACATTCTAGCATAAAAATAAGAGCAATTATGAAGGCTTTAGGAGGTGAAAAGTCAACTCTACCTTATATGGATGATGCTGGAGATTTTATTAGTAAATGTGGGTTTACGTCATCTGAGATTACTCACCAACAACGTCATTCTTCCGAGCCCGGCTGAAGCTGCCCTCCATTTTCCTGGGAGACCAGCACCGCTGCAGCTTCATTTTTGACTTCCACACTGTGGAGTATTTGGGGAGCGTCCACCCCGCATCTGGGCAGGAAGGCGGAGTCCTCTCAAGTTTCTCCTCTTGCTGCTGGGATTGTGCAATCCTTGAAGTAGATTTGAAACAACCAATCCTCCAGATCTGGGACCTTCATTCCCAGGCTGGGAGAATGTGGCCCTGAGGTCAGAATCCAAGTTTTACCCCCAGGAGAGCTCTGTGAATAGAACCTTCTAGAACTTCCCACCAAGATGAAGTGTTCTAGGTCTCTACTGCCCAGTGCAGCAGCCACTAGACACACAGAGCTGCTGAGCACTGGCAATGTGGCTGGTGTGGCTGAAGAAGTGATTTTCAGATTTCATTTCTTTATAATTAATTTGAATTTAGGCCAGGCATGGTGACTCATGCCTGTAATTCCAGCACTTTGGGAGACTGAGGCGGGTAGATTACCTGAGGTCAGGAGTTTGAGACCAGCTTGGCCAACGTGGTGAAACCCTGTCTCTACTAAAAACACAAAATATTAGCCAGATGTGGTGGTGGGCACCTGTAATCTCAGCCACTTGGTAGGCTAAGGCAGGAGAATTGCTTGAACCTGGGAAGTGGAGGTTGTAGTGAGCCGAGATCGTGCCATTGCACTCCAACCTGGGCAGCAAGAGGAAAACTCTGTCTCAAAAAAAAAGAAATTTAAATGCAATAGGCCTGTGTGCTTGGGAAAGTGCACCTCTAGCAGATGGCTTAGAGCTCCTCTCTCTCTCTTTGTAGGGATGGGGCCTCTCTATGTTGCCAGGCTGGTCTTGAATTCCTGGCCTCAAGTGATCCTCCCACCTCGGTCTCTCAGAGTGCTGGGATTATAGGCATGAGCCACCATGCCCGGCCATCTCTCTCTCCCTACAGCTGGCCTACCCTTCTCTCTGCAGCAGTGGTCCAGGTCACCGTGGTGCATGCTGGGAGAACCCCGGAATCTGGGGAGGGGACATCCAGCCACCCCTGTGCATGCTGGGAGCATTGGGCTGCCTTGAAGGGCAGCGGGAGGCAGGTGGCTAGGTACGACCACCACCTCCGCGTTGGCGAGACCACCTTTCCTCAGACCTTCCCTTTGATTCTTCTTCACGTGAATCAGTTTCCCCTCATCTCCATTTAAGTAGATTTAGGATGAAATTTACGACGACTCTTATTATGAACCACTGGTGAATCATGACCCCGTTTGCCCTCAGCTTTTCAACAAACCTCTGCAATCTCTTCCCAAGGCCTGGACAGAGCAGTGGCAGCTCTCCCTCAGCAAGGACAAGACTTTCAACTCCTCCATGGGGAGTAAAACCCACCTACCAGGTTTTAAGACTCAAAGGCTGCTCCAAAGTCCTTTTGCTTGTATCAGTCTATTTTTTGTAAAAAAGTCCTTAGTTGAAGAGTCCACATAGGTTTCCCATGGGTAAAGAACCCTATTAATATGGTCAAATAGAGAGTTTTCTTTTTTCTTTTCTTTTTTTTTTTTTTTTTTTTTTTGAGACAGAGTCTTGCTCTGTCTCCCAGGCTGGAGTGCAGTGGCATGATCATGGCTCACTGCAACTTCCGCCTCCCAGGATCAGGCGATTCTCTTGCCTCAGCCACCTGAGCAGCTGGGATTGCAGGTGCCTACCATCACACCCAGCTAATTTTTGTGTTTTTAGTACAGATGGGTTTTTGCCATGTTGGCCAGGCTGGTCTTGAACTGCTGACCTCAAGTGATCCACCTGCCTCAGCCTCTCAATGTGCTGGGATTACAGGAGTAAGCCACTGCACCTGGCCAAATAGAGACTTTTCTAGAACAGGACCACAAACCACTCCGCTCTCCCTGGGCCTAGCTCCCCATCTCCCCACCCCCAGCCACTGGAAACCACCACTCTGCTTTCTTTCGCTATGAATTCAAGTACTCCAGTTTCCTTCCATGAGTAGCGTAATGCGGTATTTGTCCTTTCGTGACTGGCTTATTTCACGCACCACAATGTCTTCAGGTTCGTGCAGGTTGTAGCATGTGTCAGGATCTCCTTCTTTTTAAGGCTGAATGATATTCCATTGTCTGGAGAGACCACATTTGGTTCATCCAGTCACATCCATCAATGGGCTCGGTGGCTTCCACCTTCCGGCTGTTGTGAATGGTGCTGCAGTAAGCATGGGTGTGCAAAGATCTGTGTGAGACCCTCTACTTTCAGTTCTTTCAGGTATATACCCAGCAGTGGACTTTTTTTTTTCCTTTGAGACGGAGTTTTGCTCTTGTTGCCCAGGCTGGAGTGCAATGGCACAATCTTGGCTCACTGCAACGTCCGCCTTCCAGGTTAAAGTGATTCTCCTGTCTCAGCCTCCGGAGTAGCTGGGACTACAGGTGCATGCCACCGCACCTGGCTAAGCCAGGAGTGGATTTGCTGGATCATATGGAAATTCTGTTTTTAATTTTGTGAGGTACAGCTACACTATTTTCCACAGCAGCAGCACCGTCTTGCACCCCCACCGGCAGTGCGCAGGGCTCCAATTACTCTACATCCCTTCCAACACTCGAGGACAGAAAAGGCAAGAATGAATGCGAGGGTCAGCAAATCGTGTGGAGTCGCTTGGAATTTTTAATGAGCGTGGCTGTCTTGATCTGCTCTGCCCAGAAGCACTTTGCAATTACGGAATATGGGTAGTTAATTTGCTAATTTCTGTCTTCTTGGTAGTGGCCATCAAGATGTGAGGCGTATCTCAGTGTGGTTTTGATTTGCATTTCCTGGATGATTTGTGATGTTGAGCATCTTTCCATGGGCTTATTGGCCGTCTGTGTGTCTTCTTTGATGAAATGTCCATTCAAGTCTTTCACCCATATTTGAATTGGATTTTTTTTTATCGATCCTTCTTGAACTTCAAACCCACTGTAAAACTCACTCTGCAGCATGTGCACCTGCAGGAAATCAGAGCCAGGATTTCTTTCTTTTCTTTTCTTTTCTTTTTTTTTTTTTGAGGTGGAGTCTCGCTCTGTCACCCAGGCTGGAGTGCAGTGGCGCCATCTCGGCTCACTGCAAGCTCCGCCTCCCGGGTTCACGCCATTCTCCTGCCTCAGCCTCCCAAGTAGCTGGGACTATAGGCGCCCGCCACCATGCCCGGCTAATTTTTTGCATTTTTAGTAGAGATGGGGTTTCACCGTGTTATCCAGGATGGTCTTGACCTCCTGATCTTGTGATCCTCCCGCCTCAGCCTCCCAAAGTGCTGGGATTACAGGTGTGAGCCACACACCAGGCCAGAGCCCGTATTTCTAATTTAAGTCAGTAAATGTTTGAGAAAACATGGGCCGGGGCTGTAGGGAATCGGTGTTTCTTTGGGACATCTTAAAGACTTGTTTTGATGCTCAGGTGCCAGCTAACAAGGTGGCCTTGGTTCCATTCAAAAGAAGAAATTGTGCTAAGGGCTTCCTCTCTGCTGTCAGCAGGAAGAACTCCTCGTACCATCCCAACCTTCAAGATAAGAATTTGGACAGAATGGGAGTCATTAGTGTCCTTTCACTGCAGGGAAGATCGAATCCCAACCTAATTATTTGTAAATGTGAAGTCCCCGCACCCCCCGAAAATTGCAAGCTTTTAATAATTGGTGTGAGAGGCACACTCTGTGCATAGGAGTCTGGGTGATTTAGTGATGATCGCCTAATCAGCCAGCATCGGCCACAAGTGCAACCGCATCCAGGGTGGGGGCGCCTGGGGCCAGAGCTGCAGTGAAAATGGGAAACACCTAAGCGAGTGATCCTGGGTCATTATTTAATCAGGGGAGAGGCTGGGGAGCTAATAACAGCTCCAGGAATAGGATTTAATGAGGAGAGAAAAGGCAAGAATGAATGCAAAGGTCAGCAAATCATGTGGAGTCGCTTGGAATTTTTAATGAGTGTTGCTGTCCTGATCTGCTTAGCTCAGAAGCACTTTGCAATTATGTAATATGGGTAGTTAATTTGCTAAGAAATAATAATAATAATAGTCCCGGCATTTATTTAGTTCTTGGCGATTGGCAAAGCCCTCTTGCACACACCGTGTTTGGTCCTTGCCAACACCGTTGTGGTGGGTGTCATGGGCCAGCCTGGCCCAGAGAGACCTGCCCAGGATGCTGAGCCTGAGGTCCGGTGATCAGGCTTCAGCTACCTGCCTGTCCCATCACTCCCTGGTGTGGCCACCGCCAGCCCCTCCAGCCCCCTTGGCCTTGTGGAGCCGCACAGTCTGGAATCACCTTCAAGGGCACACCCAGCAATGATAGTTCGTGTGGGCATCCCATGCCACAGCCAAGTAGACACGTTAAAATTGACTATCACAAAGTTCTTGACCACATATTTGTTTTGCAAATATCTCCCTCCAGTCAGTGACTTGTTTTTCTCATTTTCTTAACAGCGCCTTTCACAGAGCAGAAAAATTAATTTTAATAAAGTCCAACTTATCAATTTTTTTTCTTTCATGAATTGTGCTCTTGGTGTTGTATCTAAAAACTCATCAGTAAACCCAAGGTCACAGAGATTTTCTCTTATGTTTTCCTCTAGAAGTTTTATAGTTGTGCACATTACATTTATGTGTATTAACTATTTTGAGTTAATTTTATTTTATTGCCATATAATATAAAACTCATTGCAATACAATATAAAACTCACTTTGTTAAAATGTACAATTCAGTGTTTTTTTTTTTAGTGTATCCACAAGTTTGTGCATCTATCATCACTAATTTCAAAACATTTCAATCACTCCCTAAAGAAACCCTGGAACTATTAGAAGTAATTCATGGCCGGGTACGGTGGCTCATGCCTATAATCCCAACAATTTGGGAGGCTGAGGTGGGTGAATCACCTGAGGTCAGGAGATCGAGACCAGCCTGACCAACATGGTGAAACCCCGTCTCTGCTAAAAATACAAAAATCAGCTGGGCGTGGTGGCGCATGCTTGTAGTCCCAGCTACTCGGGAGGCTGGGGCAGGAGAATCGCTTGAACCTGGAAGGTGGAGGCTGTACTGAGCCAAGATCGCGCCATTGCACTCCAACCCGGGCGACAAGAGTGAGACTCTGTCTCATTAAAAAAAAAAAAAAAAAAAGAAAAAAAAGAAAAAAAAAGTAATTCATTTTGAACTCTTTACTTATTTATTTTTTTGTGAAAGGTGTGAGGCCCGTGTGTAGGTTCTGCTTTTTGCATGTGGGCATCCGGTTGTTTCAGCACCATTTGCTGAAAGGACTATCCTTTTCCCTTTGACTTGCCTTTGCGATTTTGTTAAATATCAGTTGGCTACATTTATGTCAGTCTATAACGGGGCTCTGTATTCCGTTCCATTGACCCATGTGTCTATTATTTTGCCAGTATTCAGCTGTCTTGATTACTGTAGCTTTATCCTAACTCATGAAATTGGGTAGAGTGAGCCCTCCAAATTTGTCCTTTTTTAGAATGGGTTATTCTAGGTCTTTTGCTTTTCTACATAAACTTTAGCATCAGTTTGTCAATATCTATAAAATGGCTTGCAGTGATTTTGATTGGAACTGCATTGAACCTATAGATCAAGTTGGGAAGAACTGACATCTTAACACTATTAAGACATCCAATCTGTAACCACAAATATTCTCCATTCATTTGGACCTTCTTTGACTTCCTTCACTGGTGATTTTTAGTTTTCTGCATATAGATGATGTGGTATTTTCTTACTTAAGTATATACTTAAATATTTCTGTTTTCAGAGCTATTGTAAATGGTATTGTTTTATAAATGTTAAATTCTAGTTGTTCATTGTTGGCATATAGAAAAGTAACAGCTTTTGCTTTTCTTTCTGTATGAGAAGAATGTGTATTCTGCTGTTGCTGGATCGAGTGTTCAATAGATGTCAATTAGATCCATTTGATGGATGGGGCTGTTCAGTTCAACTTGATCTTTGCTGATTTCTAGTCTGCTGGATCTGTCAGTTACTGAGAGAGTGGTGTTAAAATCTCCACCTGAGCGGTGGCTGCCTCCTTCTCCCTTCGGCTCTCCCAGTGTTTGCTTCATGGATGGTGACACTTGGGTGTCAGGATTATTGTGTCTTCTGGGGAATAGACTCTCTGGAATGCCCCACTTTTTTTTTTTTTTTTTTTTTTTTTTAAGATAGAGTCTCGCTCTGTCGCTCAGGCTGGAGTGCAGTGGTGCCATCTCGGCTCGCTGCAACCTCTGCCTCTCAGATTCAAGTGATTCTCCTGCCTCAGCCTCCTGAGTAGTTGGGATTACAGGTTCCCGCCACCATGCCTGGCTAATTTTTGTATTTTTAGTTGAGATGGGATTTCACCATGTTGGCCAGGCTGGTCTCGAACTCCTGACCTCAAGTGATCTACCCTCCTTGGCCTCCCAAAGTGCTGGGATTACACATGTGAGCCACCGTGCCCAGCCTGAATGACCCTGTTTATCCCTGATAATGTTCCTAGTCCAGGAATCTGAAATTATTACAGTAGTCACCCCTCATGTGCAATTTCACTTTCTGTGGTTTCAGTTACCCACAATCAACCATGGTATACAAGTATTAAATGGAAATTTCCAAAATAAGCAATTCATAAGTTGAACATTGCATGCCATTCTGGGTAGCGTGACAAAATCTCATGCTGTCCTTCCCCATCCTCCTGGATGTGAGTCTCCCTATGTCCATTGTACCCATGTCATTTACCCTACCTGTCAGTCACTCAGCAGCCATCTTGGTTACCAGATCCTCCCACGCCCCCTAAAAACCCCAAAAAACAGTATATACAGGGTTCAGCACTACTCTCGGTTTCAGGCATCCACTGGGGGCCTTGGATTGTAACCCTGGAGGACAAGGGGGGCTCCTGGACGGTGAATCTAGAGATCCCTGGAGGACAAGGGGGGGTCCTGGATGGTGAATCTAGAGATTCCTGGAGGACAAGGGGTGTCCTGGACGGTGAATCTAGAGATCCCTGGAGGACAAAGGGGGTTCCTGGATGGTGAATCTAGAGATTTTTCAATTACTGCTCCATGGAATAACTCTCTCCATCCTTTTACTTTCAACCTACTCTAGTCTCACTTGTTTTATGCACTCTGACCGTTTCTGTCTTATAATTGGTATATTGAGACCATTTGCATCCAAAGTGATTATCGATATTGTTGAATTCATGTTTGCAACTTTTTTATATTGTGATTATCCTTTGCTCCTTTTCCCTCCAACTTTTTCTGTCTTCTCTGGTTTTAATTGAGCATTTTCTATGATTCTGTTTTATCTCTTCTGCTCACATGTCAATCATACTTCTTTTTAAGCCACTTTTTAGTGATTGCTTCAGGGTTTACAATGGAGCAGGCCTTCCACATCTGTGGGTCCCGGGTATGTGGATTGAACTAACCACCAACTGAAAATACTCAGAGAAAGGAAAAAAGGATGGTATGCCTGCACCATGTACAGGCTTCTCTTTCCTGTTATCATTCCCTAAATAATACGTTATAACAGTGATTTACATAGCATTTACATTGTATTATATATCATAATATGGGAGGACGTGTGTGAGTTACATCAAATACTACACCATTTTAAATACGGGACTTGAGCATCTTTGGATATTGGTATCTGTGGGGGTCCTAGAACCAAGCCCCCAAGGATGCTGGATACACATTTTTAACTCATCTAAGTTCAGCTTTAAAGAACACCATTATCCCTTTCCACGTGGCACCTTCAACTTATAAGAAGGTCTTCTCAATTCCTCCCTCTCATTCTGTGACAATACTTTACTTTCATTTTTTTTTACTTGTCCATGTGTTATAATCACTTAATACATTGTTGCTATTATTATTTTATGCCGTTATTATTATTATTTTTTTGAGATGGAGTCTTGCTCTGTTACCCAGGTTGGAGGGCAGTGGTGCTATCTTGGTTCACTGCAACCTCTGACTCCCTGGTGAAAGCGATTCTCCTGCCTCAGCCTCCAAATTAGCTGGGATTATAGGCGGCTGCCACCACACCTGGCTAGGTTTTGTATTTTTAGTAGAGACAGCATTTCACCATGTTGGTCAGGCTGGTCTTGAACTCCTGATCTCAGGTGATCCACCTGCCTCAGCCTCCCAAAGTGCTGGGATTACAGGTGTGAGCCACTGCACCCGGCCTTGAACAGCTATCTTTTAGATCAATTAAAAATAATGAAAACAAATGCTTTTATTTAACCTTCATTTACTCCTCCTCTGACACTGTTCCTTTCTCTTTCTTCATTTATTTTAAGGATTTCATTAGTCTTATTTTAAGGATTGGCCATAGGATTGTGGAGGCTGCTGGTCTGAAATCTGCAGGGTGATTTGCAGGCTGGAGATCCAGTGAGGGGCTGGTGTTGCAGCTCGAGGCCGAGGGCCACCCTCTGGCAGAGCTCCCTCTTCTCCAAGGCACCTCAGCCTTTTTTCTATGAAGGCCTTCAGCTGATTGGCTGAGATCCACCACGTCCCAAACGGTAACCTGCTTTACTCCAACTCTACTGATCTAAGTGTTAATCTCACCTAGAAAGTACTTTCACAGAAACAGCTAGAACAATCTTTGGCCAAATGTCTGGGTACTGTGGCCTTGGCGAATTGACACATAAAGTGAGCCATCCCAGGGGCCGTAAGCAATGGCGCCCCCAAAGGAAGGCTCCGTGAATGTGCAGGAGAGCAAAATCCTTGATGTGAGACCTGAGCGGAAAGTTGAGCAGGTGCAGCTTCAAGAAAGGAGGCTGAGACCGGCAGGCTTGTCTGTGTGGAGGAGAAGCATTTGCAGATGGTGCGTGTACACAGAGCAACACCTGCAGAAATGCAGGGAGGTCACAGGTGAACGAGGTAGTGTCATGAAAACCTCAGTCCTTCCCCTATGGATGTGTGAACGGGATGCCACCTAAATAGAATTTCTAAAGAGATGTTTTCCATTTTCTTTTTTGAAATAAAAAGAAGTATTTAAATTCACATCGAGGAATAGTGTCTGAAAATAGTTGAGAATGTTTTCTAAAGAACAGTGAGCCAGGAATCACACCTTATCAGATACTTAGATCCCAACAGAGCCGATGGAATCCTGACGGCATGGTTTTGGCCCCAGGAACATGCAAGAAGAGCTGCCTGGAGTGGGTCCAAGTTCCAGGGGAATTTCAGGCAGCTCAGCGGGAACTGGGGGCTTGTATAACAGAAGGTGCTGGCATGATGGGCGATGAAGGAAAGATCCAGAATCCTGTATCGCACCATGCATAAAAATAAACCCCATCGAGAATGAAGAGTTGGATGTAAAGTGTGAAAATATTAAAAGATACCTAAAGATAGCATTCTATACCCTTGGGATGGGAGAGAGCTTCTCCCATAAGACGGGATATCTAAAAGCCATAAAGGGAATCAGACTTTGTCTTATGAGGTGCAAAATTTCCCCCTTCGATTATTTGCTTCTGGTACATTTTGCAACATTTAAACAAAAATTTTAAACAAAAAGTGAATATCTCTTATATTAAAGCGTTCTGACACCATGATAAAAAGACATCAATAGTAAAGCAGAGAATATGGAAAGGCATCCCACGGAACAGGAGACACAAATGGCTGGTGAAGAGAACAAAACAGGCTCCTGCTCCCAGCAGTCAGGACGTAGCTGTGGTGTGGAGGCTGCAAGTCAAGCCCAGCAAAGGTGACTGGGTGTCTAGGGACCAGGTTCCTATGCAGGTAAAGATGGCCAGTATTCAGTGGCTGGGGATCCCCAGACCAAAGCAATTTGTCAGCTCCATGGGAGTCGTGCAGGTGTGACTGGCTATCAGACTGCTGTGGAACGAGGCGACTGTATCAAGGTCCCCAGGCTCTAGTTACTTTAGGAGACAGCCTGGTGGCCAAAGAGAACTGGTTCTGTCCACCAGGTCACTGGGAGGGTCCTGGGCCCAGAAAAAGGCTTGTTCATGAAACTGCTTTCCAAGACAGTCACACTGGGAAAAAAATGTCTCTAAAATTCTGGTTCTTGAGCCATTTCATGAGGAGCTGAAGTCCTAAAAAAGGGATGGAGTTTGCAGTGACTCGTTGCAGTGACTCATTGCAGTGCCTCGTTGCTGTGACTTGTGAGGCTGAGTGGGCATCGCTACCTGCATACCTCTCCCCAGACTCCGTCAACCACCTAGGCTGAAAGCTGTTCTGATGGGAAGATTCCATCCCAAGCCCCTGGTGCCCTCCCCACTGGAGGATTTTTAGCGAGATGAGAGGCTGAGCCAATTCTGGACCAGCCTGGACAGCATCCCTGTGGATGACCTGAGACATACTCAGCTGTCCCCACTGGCCGGTCCTGATTCATCCCCAAGACTCTGAGGAAGAAACTCTGCACAGCTGACTGCTGCTTCATGTCCTCCCTCAAAACTACGTTTTTGGTGTTGCCACCCTCCTCCTGGCCATGTGGGTCTCCCACGTTCTCTGCTGCCGTCCAGCAGGTGACCCTGGGAGGGCTTCAGTTTCCCTTCCAGTGCGGTGGAGTCGCCTTAGCCTGATCTTTGCAGGGACCCCATGGCCCCACCCTTTGCCCTGCCTGCAGAGGGCGCCGGCCGAAGGGCCCGAGCACCTTTAAAGCCTGCCCTGAGAAACACCCGCCTCGACCGCTGTGGCTTGACACGCCTGGCTCACACAGCGTGAAACGGAGGCCTTTGGCCTACTTTAAAGAAAAGGGTGGATGTTTGGGGAAGAAAATGAGGTTTCCTGAAGTCTCCAGCCCCAGTCTCGATGCCGGAAACCTGCTCGTGTTTCAGTATCCGATGCCCCGCCCTCCTGGGCACCACTGCCCTGCTCTGCGATGAGCAAACAGTTGGTGCCTTCTGTGTGCAGCCAGGATTTCTCTTTCACCCTCCTCCCGACCGGCTGCCGGCAATGGCGCTTTGGCCCCACTGCTGAGGGGCCGCACTGCCGAGGGGCCGTCGAACCTGTATGGATCTAAGACCCATCACGCCTCCCGCCGTCACTCAGGGGTTGCGGCATCATGACCACACGCTTCAGAAACATTCTCTCTAAAAATTTGCCCCACATCTCTCCTGCTCAGCATTCCTTGGACTTGAACAGCTATCAGGAAGGTCCCTGTTCCCCCTACTCCACCCACTCACCATGCATTTGATTCTCTGAAGTCACTCCAGGCCCTTGGGGAGGAAATGGGGCGCAGTATTGTCTCATCCTGAAACCGGCTTAGAGCCTCCTGATGGGTTTGCAGCAGGGCCAAATCTGTTGAGACAGCTTCCTCCCACTCCGTGGCTCCATCCGTCAACACCAGCATCCTTTGTCTGGGTGTGAATGAGAGCCGGGAACGTTGGTCCTCGCTCCTGTTCTCGGGTGGCACGGTGGCGGCTGAGGCTGGCCTCCTGTCCCAGGCTTTAGAGATCGTGGTGCTGGCTTTGGAGTGGGCTGTGGCTGAAGGCTGTGCTGCCCCTGCCTGAGGACCAGATGGGGATGGGACCTCCACAGTCACTCCCCTGGGTGCTGCCAACCAACTCAGCATGGCCTCATGAGGACTCAGGGTCCTGTCCCCGCCCCCCCGCCCCTTGCCCTGTGGCCCTGGGCAGCCGCCTCAGTCAGAGGCAGGCTCTGAACCACTGCACGCTGACAATGAACTATACTAAGAGACCTGTTCGGGATGGGGGTGCCCAGGGCCGCCCCGGATGAGTCTCCGGTTTACGCATCTGCATGGACTTCTCAGAAAAGGCCATGGCTTCACCCCTCAGCACCCCCGACTCATGTGCCCTGCAGGTCCACGGCCTCAGTTTGACTTGCTTCTTCTGGCCATGCTGGGTCCATATCCTGCCCCAGGCGTGCACCCAGGCTTCTCCTCCATCTCTTCCTCCACACCAGACTGGAGAGTACCACTGGAGTTGGCAGAATCATGTCCCCAAGGATGCTGCTGTCCCACTACAGGACCTATAGATATGCTAGGCTATGGGGGGCCATGGGGGGTGCCGTGAGGGGCTCAATATGCTCATCAGCTGACCTTACCCGACGGGGAGGAGCGTGGAGAAGCCGAGGGGCTCAGAGCCAGGGAGGGCAATGTGAGGGCTGGGCTGGATGCTGCTGGCTCTGAGGACGGAGGCAGCTTCCTTCTAGAAGCTGGAAGGGGCGAGAGAAGGGATTCTCCCCTGGATCCTCTAGAAGGAACCAGCCCTGCCAGCACCTGGACTTTAGCCCAGAGAGCCCTGTTTCACTCCGTACGGACCCCTGGGGTGTGAAGAAAGATGCCTGTGCTGCTGTGAGCCACCAAAGTACGTGGCGGTTAGTTCCAGTGCCACAGGAAACGCGCATCGGCACCACCAAACAAAACACCAGGGCTGTGCCCGGCGCCCAAGGCCAGGTGAGATCCACTGTCTCCCTGGCTGGGCCTGGCCGCACCTGGGGCCGCTGCACTCCTGCTGCCCATCTCCACGTGTTCTGCTGGCTTCTCTCTCCCTGTGGCTGCCCGAGGCATTGATCTGAGCTCACGCCTGCCCTGACGGGTTTCTGGCTCACAGACCTCTACTGGCCAATCTCCACTGGCCTCTCTAAGTTCTGAGGCGTCTCTGGAGTGTCTTCCGCCTGCTTGCCTCTGGGAATCTGAGCTTTTCCTTCTGGATTCTTCTGCCATGGAGCTTACTCTGGGGCCACCATAGCTGTGCTCTGCCTACCCCACCAGTATTGGGGCTGTGAGTGTGGTTTAAGGGTCATTAACTGAACAATACGCAGCATGGGCCCCCACCCAGGCCATCTCCACGCAGCTGCCCGCGGGGCAGAGTTCAGGTCACTCCGGGGCTCAACACCCTCCTGAGGCTCCCATCTCAGACTCGGCCTAAAGCCAAAGCTTTGAAGGCCCACAGGGCCCTGCCCAGCCTCCCCCGCCCACCCCGCTCCTCTGATTGATTTCCCTCCCCTCTCTGCTCCCTCCTCCCCCAGGCTGGCTGCCCAGCCTTCTGTAGCCTGCACGTTGTAGGGCCCCAGGGCCTTCGCACCTGCTCCCTGCCTGGAAAGTCCCTGGGGTTCTGGAGGCTGTTCCTCACACTCCCGGGAAGCCTTTGCTCCTTTCCCTCCTCAGGAGGCACCACCCCGACCTGGGCACAGCTGTGACCATGGGCCCTCCTGCTCCAGCCTGTGAGGGCGACACCTCGCCCGCTCCTGACTTTCCAGGGCAGGAATGTTGGGGGTCGGTGACATTCAGAGTGTCCCTCTGGGGTTACAGACACCCAAAGATGTGCCCAAAGACACTGCCAGTCACACGCTCCGCCAGGGTGGGCACAGCCGGTCACAGCTCTTGATTTCCCCGGTGGAGATGCCCGCACCTGCATTTCCAGGGGGTCCAGCCTCACCCTCCTGGGCTCTACCCCACCACCGATTCCACCCACCTGTGCTGTTCGCTGTTGGCTTCTGCCCCAGAGCACCAGGGGCACCGCTGGCTCCTGCCGCTGCAGCTTCTGTGCTTCTGGGAGGCGTGGCTGTGGGAATGGGCTTTCAGCATGAAGGGTGCTTTGGTCTCTGTGCAGGGATGGGCACTGACAGGACAGGCCTCGGGGTCCTGGAGGGAGGAGCCACTCCCTGGGGACAGGCGGGCCATGGATGGGCCTGGTCCAGGGCATGGGCTCTGCCAAGGCCAGCGTCCGGAGGTGCTGGCTGTCCCAGAAATGCTGTGTCAGCCCTGAATGGGCCTCCGCTCGTCTTCCCCATAGCCCTGGGAAGGCAGACTTTTAAACTGGCCCCCAGGTGCCCGTCCTTGCAGGGCACACACCTTCCCCCTGTCATCCAATCACCACAGTCCAGAGGCTGCTGGGGAGGGATTCTGCAGGTGTAATGAGGGCCCTTGCTCAGTGAACCTTCAATGGGGGCATGTGCTGGGCCCTGAGCTGGTCAGGTGAGTCCTTAATGGGGCCTTGAAATTCTGGGCAGCTGGGGTTCAAAATGGGAGGGATCTGGCCCGGGAGGATTCCTCTGGGGCTGGGCTGGGTGACTCTGAAGATAGAGGAGACACGCTGACCTGGGTGTGGGCCTGGCTGACAGCCAGCAAGCAAGCAGTGACCCCAGTCTTGCAGCCACACGGCAGTGGACTCTGCCAGCACCCTGAGGCCAGCACAGGAGAACTCTGCCCGGCCCACACCTTGACCTCAGCCCTCGGCACTGGGAGCACGGTGCTTGGACACTTCCCACCCTCAGAACCAGTGAAGGGATAAATACTATTCTAGCTTTGAAGTTGGAGATGGCGTGTTTCCCAGTGGTGGATGGCAAATGCACCCCTGGGTGCTGGGGTCCACATGCCTGCCACATGGCCTGCTTGTCCTTTTCAGCCTCAGAACATGAAGGATTTTGGTGGCCGTCTTGTGTGTGTGTGGCACACACAGGGTAGTAGCCTCCTACAGTGACTTACAGGCAGCTCAGCTCCTTGGGGACACTGAAGACTGTCCCTCGGCCACCTCCCTGGAGTGGGCACAGCTCAGAGGCTTCCAGCTCCCAGCCCCACCTGCCCCCAGGCGTGTGACTGTCGCCTCCTGCCGGCTGGAACCCCTCGTCACTGTTCTCCCTGGCAGCAGCCAAATGACCTCTTGGACATTCTTTGTTTTCCCAGAAGGAAGCCTCACTTGGTAGGTGTGTCGGAGGGAAGGACAGAGAGAGGCTGGGGGTGCGGGGGAGATGTGCTGGACCCCCAACAAGTGATGTCAGAGAGAGGGTGGGTGTGTGGGGGAGATGTGCTGGACCCTCATGGTGTGGACAGAGAGAGGCTGGGGGTGTGCAGGACCCTCGTGGTGTGGACAGAGAGAGGCTCCGGAGTTGGGGAGATGCTGCAGGCTCCCGCGGGTGTGGCGTGAGGTCCTCGTGGTCTCTGCTGGCGTCTCACTCAGCCAGTCACGAGGAGCCACGAGTGTCCTCAGCTCCTCTCCAGGGTGTCCTGAAACTGGACCCGGCTTCACGCAGAGGTTTCTGCTGCGTCTCACCTGAGGGCCTGGACGGGTGCTCGGGGTCCCAGGTAGTTCCTGGAGGGGCCCTGTTGGAACCCTTGCCCCATAACCCAATACTTGGGCCTAGCTGTGGCCTTCCTGGGGGGCCGTGAGTTTTAAATGCGATGTTTCTGTGATTGGATTACTGTGGTATCTTGAAGACTGGGTGAAAGCAGATAAAACTCTACCTTCCCGCCTTCCTAAAACAACCAGTCGGTTTTCATATGCCATTTGAATAGATTTGTGATGAAGGTATAGATACAACTCTGTATCCGACTTCTTCCTGTGGAATGAGACCACCACTTCTCCTGTTGTCCTTCCCAGCTTCTCCCCCACCTCCGCTTTTCCCTCGTTTAGAAGACAGGAGAGAAGGGAGAAGGCAGAAGGGTGAAAAGAAACAGAAGTAAGATAAATAGCTGGACGGCCCTGGCGCCTCCGCCTGGCCGTGGTGGTTAAAATAATAACAATAATAATAATAATAACAACCCCTGACCAAAACTACTGGTGTTATCTGTAAGTTCCAGACATTGTATGAGAAAGCACGGTAAAACTTTTTGTTCTGTGAGCTGATGTATGTAGCCCCCAGTCACGTTCCTCACGCCTACTTGATCTATCACGACCTTTTCACGTGGACCCCTTAGAGTTTTAAGCCCTTAAAAGGGCTAGGAGTTTCTTTTTCGGGGAGCTCGGCTCTTAAGACGTGAGTCTGCCGACATTACCGGCCGAATAAAAACCTCTTCCTTCTTTAATCTGGTGTACGAGGAGTTTTGTCTGCGACTTGTCCTGCTACACCTGTATTTAAAAAATACTTACGTGTCACCATTTTTAACAACAGCTTACTCCTCACCCCCGACGGGCGGGCACTCGAGTCCCCGGTTGTCCCCAGATCATTGCGCACCCACGTAGGGGACTCTGTTTATGCATAAAGTGCTGTGGGTATTTAGCGTCAGCTCTTTACCTTTCATTCCCAGGAGTGCACGGACTGGGCCAGTGGGTCCTGTTACCTGTTTCTGAAATCCTGCTTGAATGGAAAACTCACATTTACCTTAGTGCCAGGTCCCCTGGAGAGGAAGGTGGGACCAGGGACTCAGGAGAAATGGAGGGAGAGGGGTCACCGGGGACCTGGGGAGACCCCGTCACCCTGCTCACGGGAGAGGGGTCACCGGGGACCTGGGGAGACCCCGTCACCCTGCTCACGGGACAGGGGTCACCGGGGACCTGGGGAGACCCTCCCATCCTGCTGACAGTGTCTGTTCTTGGACAGGGGTGGGAGGGACAGGACATGATCGTGGTGAGTGAGCTCACTGGAGGGCTGCTGCTGTGGGGAGGCCACGGGAGCCAGGGCCACGGCCTCTGCAGCCACCGCCTGGGTCTCCACCTGCCTCAGCCTCTTGGGGTCTGGGGTGGGTGGGGGACCCTGGGGGTTTGAGGTGCAGATGAGGGAAGGGGGCTCCCCGGGCCTTTGGGCCCACGGGCTGGGCAGCTCCTTTGCTGGCTGTGGAAACAGAGGTGCCTTTCACTCCGTGGGCGACAGAGGGCCCTGTCCCAACGCAAATGGCAGGCGGGCCCCGTGCCTCCCCTGTGTTGGGAGTTCCACGGGCAGAGGCAGAGCAGGGTGGGCTTCTGTTCCAGAACAGTCTTCGGGAGGGGGTGGTGATGGTCCTGGGGTCCTCCCGCACTTTGGGAGTGGTGTGCTGCAGGCCACCTTTGGGAAGGCTGGGGTGGCACTTGTGAGTGACAGGAAGGGCAGAAGTGTCAGAGCAACTTTTCTCGGCTTTCCCGAGGACCAGGCTGGGCAGCTGCAAGGTCTCCCTGGAGGGCACAGGGGTGATTACCAGCCTGGCGTCGGGGTCCTAAGGGGTGGTGGCACCTCATGGTGGGACACTGTCTGAAAGATGTAAATTGAACACTGTCTTGGACATAGCTTTTGGGTGCAAGAGTCATACATTATACTTCTCAAAAAAAAAAATCAGAAAACCGTCAAGGGGGCAGTAAAGTTCACCCAGGAGTTCACCCTGGAGATAAGCACCCCTGCTCTCGTGACGCACATCCTTCCAGATTCAGAAAAACTGACACAAAGGATCACACGGTAATACTCTTGGATAAGGCTTGGCCCACGTAGCAGTATGTTGTGCACATTAAACAAATCAGCAAACACAGATTTGCATAACCGCTTTTAACGGCTGCTCTTCACAGCACGCACGAGCGGCGCTGGTGTCGCATTAAATACTCCTCTCCGGCGGCCTGAGACCCAGAGCGCTGGGGAACCTCGTGCGTGCGGGAGCATGAGTGGATATTTAGATCGTCCCTGGCGATCCGTCGTGGAGAGTGAGCTCATCGCCGTTGTTCGAGTGCCTGTTTGTGCACCTCTCGGAGCACTTCCCGAGGATACATTTCTGGGAGTGGCGTGTGGGACGGAGCGGGCTGCATTTGAAGGACATTTGTTGGGGTTTGGATGCACCTCTCACCATGTATCTGCAGTGGGCTCTGTTGCTGGCTTCAAAGACGCCGGCCACGAGAGACACAGGCTGTGCGGGTGCTCGGTGGGAATGGGGTCTCCTCATCTTCTGTACCATCAATGGCCCCAGACATTAAACAGGGACAAAGCAACGATATGCCTGGTGCTGAGTAGAGACAGTCAATCCTGAGAAAGAGCTGCCCTTGGGAGGCCGAGCGTCTGATGGGGAGGGATAGAGAAAGGAAGGCTTGTTGAATGGATTGCGAAGCATCCTAACCTCCTCTGGACATGAATGTTTCTGGAATCCTCTTATGAATGACAAGTGCATATAGGATCGTGATTATTCCGGGGCAGACCCTCTCCCTGTCCCCAGCTGCTATGAAATCAATGGGGTTACTTTTGTGCTTGGACATTTAGGCTGCTTTAAAAAAATTAATGGACAACACTGTAGTGGCCATCCTTATACATATGTCTTTGTGAGCATTCACTCTACTTTTTAAACTTAATTTTTATTTTGATGTTAAAACATGACAAGTGTTTAGTTGGAAAAGTTACAAAGTACTGTAAGGCAACAAATAGCATCCACACTCCCATCCTCAGGCCTGGCCCCTTTTCCCGGAGAGAAACCCTTCGGGTTCTTTCAGCGGCATCATCTGGGTCTTTGCTCAGTTTTCATTTAACCGAGGCATTCCTTCCTGAGGTCTCTGGCCGACAGCGCCAACCTGGCTTTTGCTCACAGATATGCTATCGTCTTGGGATTTTCCCACGCCATCTCGCATTTTCCCGTGTCCTGTGTTGGGCCCCTTTTCCCGGATCCCATGTCTTTCTTTCTTTCTTTTTTTTTTTGGCTTTACTTTTTTGTTTTGATGGAGCATATTTTCCACTAGCTTCCTGTGAAAAGATTTGTGGCAGGTGGAAAGGTGTGCAGCAGGTGGAAAGATTTGTGGTAGGTGGAAAGGTGTGTGTAGGTTGAAAGGTATGTTCGGGTGGAAAGGTGTGTGTAGGTGGAAAGGTGTGTGCGGGTGGAAAGGTGTGTGCGGGTGGAAAGGTGTGTGCGGGTGGAAAGGTGTGTGTGGGTGGAAAGGTGTGTGCGGGTGGAAAGGTGTGTGTATGTGGAAAGGTATGTGTAGGTGGAAAGGTGTGTGCAGGTGGAAAGGTGTGTGTGGGTGGAAAGGTATGTGTAGGTGGAAAGGTGTGTGCAGGTGGAAAGGTGTGTGTGGGTGGAAAGGTGTTTGCGGGTGGAAAGGTGTGTGCGGGTGGAAAGGTGTTTGTGGGTGGAAAGGTGTGTGCGGGTGGAAAGGTGTGTGCGGGTGGAAAGGTGTGTGCGGGTGGAAAGGTGTGTGTGAGTGGAAAGGTGTGTGAGTGGAAAGGTGTGTGCGGGTGGAAAGGTGTGTGTGGGTGGAAAGGTGTGTGGCAGGTGACACAGTGGAGTCCTCCTATGTGTGAAATTGTCATCCCTTACCATCATGTCCAAGCAGTAGTTTGACTGAGTGTAGAATCTAGGCTTGAGATGATGTTGCACATTTTTTTTTTGTTGAGTCATTGGTTGAAAATTCTAGATTGACAATGAAGGTGAAGCTTCATTTTCCTATAGCTTCCACGGATGCTATTGAGAATGTGGATGTCATTCTGGTTCCAATGCCTTGTCATTCTCTGTGTGCATTTTCTTATTTGTGGAGGCTTCTCATTGGTTCTTGTTATTCTTGGAACAAGCCTGTTGGAGAAGGCGGCCCTGGGGTGGGAGGGTGGGCGCTGAGCCACAAGGGTTCTCCCTAGCGGGGCTTGGAGGAGCTCCGGGGCACTTGGGCCCCTGGAAGATGTGGTATTTCATTGTAAATGTCAGCACTTCGTTCCATCAAATCACGCGTGAGGGATGTGTCCTGGCAGGTACTTTGTTATGAAGGCACTGAGTCGGGTGAAGGCAACGTGTTTTCCTGTAACAAAGGCCTTGGGGGTCGGGGGGTGGCCAGGTCTGCCTCCTCCCGAGGTCCATCTGCATTAACTTTACGGGGTCGGGTGCGACTCACGCGCTCAAGGAGAATAGCTGCTCTGTCACGGAAGCCAGGCATCTACAGTCAAGCGCTCGTCTCTCTCTGTGATCTGGCCTTTCTGAGCCATCTCCGACCCACAGGCCTCTCGGTCCTCCAAGTAGGGTACTGCTTTTGACCAAGCCACGGGCTAAAGTCCTTCCCAAGGCCTCTCAGGAAGTGGCCTCCGGGGTGCCCAGGCAGCAGTTGCACTCTCAGCAGCTGACTGGAGCTTCTTGGGGGTCTTTAGAATTAGAGGAGGAGTAGGCAGTGGCATAGCCTCCCACAGCTCCTGGGCCCCTTTGTGCTGGGCGGCACCTGAGGGGCTACCTGCCTGCCACCCCCACCAGGGGTAACGCAGTAGGGCAGGCGTGAGCCGGCCTAGTCCTGGCCGGTTCTCATGAGCACCTGTTTAAGGGTGGCACACAAGCATCGGGCCCGGCCCGACACCCCAGGGTGCACAGCGAGGCCACTTCCTTTAGTTTTATTTCTTTTAATTTCTTTTCATTTTCAATGGTGAACTCAGGATATTTGGGTGATTATATTAACTCTTCCAGGAGTGTTGGTGGGAGGGGTAGAGATGGGACTGAGGTGGGTGGCAGAACCCGCAAGGGGCCGAGGGCCGCTCTTGAGGTGGGAGTGAGGGTGACCTGAGCCCTGGCCGTGGAGTCCCTGAGGCCACCTGGTCCAGAACCGCCCCAGCTCGGGACCTGAGGAGCTGCAAGGCTTGACCTTGGCTTTCTGCTGGAGCTGGAGTGAGTACGTGTCTCCTGGCTGCCAACTAGGAACCGCCGCCATCACCCCTGCACCCAGCCACCCTCAATGTAGCGCCCAGGGTCCTGGGTGTGGCGAGGCGGCTCCAACCCTGAGTGGCTTCGGCCGGCTCCGTGTCTCCGCACGGCTCTGGCTCTGGCTCCAGCAGTCGGATTTAGGGCCAGGTAACTTGATCCCATGAGATCGAGACCGGTCTGGGAAGGGGGACTTTCTCCCGCGTCCTCGGGGCCACCCAAGGGTGTCTGTCTGTGGGATCCACACGCAGCCTTGTTCATTCTAGAACAAGAGCAGCAGCTGCACCCTCCCCCTGGTTTTCTCAGGTGCCGGCGACACCTGCTTAATTGACCCCCCTGTGTGGTTTTGCACATTTGTGTGCAGCATGCACTTCTGAAAGCTGGGACTTGTGTTTTCTGCTTTAAATAGGCCTGGCTTCCAAAGCGGGCCCTGGACCTGCCAAGTCTCTGGCACCAGATGGGGAAGGGAAGCGCGGGCGGCCGTACACACAGGGATGCTTGGCGGCGCTGCCCGCTTCGTGAGGTCCTGGCACTTCTGCCAGAGGTGGGCCCTGCTGGAAGAGCCCACTGTGACCGCACAACTCCCCCAGGGGCCGAGAGACGGTAGCTTTTGTCTTCCTGTCACTTCAGCTTCGCTCCAGCCTCAGTCCAACGGAACAACCTTCCTTTGGTCCATGGTTCCCACCTGGGACCAGATGCTAGAAGTCAACTCCAGAGCTGGTTACCTGTGTGTGTCCCCCACACCTGAAGGAAGGCCGAGAGGAGGTTGCATCCATTTGACAGGCTGCCTGGTCCTCCTGAGAACATGCACGTGCAACTCAGTGGCTGACATCTCTTGTTCTGAGAGAGAGGCCTCGGCCTTTAAAGGGTGTGCCTCAAGTGCCTGGTCCTAGGAGACCTCAAGGGGAGGGGCCCGAGGCGGGCACCACACAGCACCTGTCCTGTCCCCGCCAGGCCCCAGGCAGCTCAGGGCTCCGCTTCCCGCCTCTGGAGCTGGGACTATGGACGCTTCAGTGGAGTTGTCCCCTGACCATGCATTGGCCAGATGGGGTGTGGGTGGCTCAGCGTCACCTTTGTCCAGTGACCAGTGGCTGGGCAGGCCTGGGTCGGGAGAATCAGTCGGAGCAGTGTCATCCTCATGGCGGCTGCAGCATCAGGTCTAGTTGTTAATTATCTGGTATTACTGAGTATTACCATTTTACCCCACTTAGGGTTTGTTAGAGTGGGAACAACATGGGTTATAAAATGTAGAAAATCCGTCTATTTTGTATGATTTAGAATTCCAACTCAATGACCAGCTTTGGTGTTTTCCTGCTTTGAGGAAACGACTTACCTGGTTAGAGTAGAAGTACCAAACAGACTTTCCTCCCTCCCCACTGTTGATTTCTGCTTGGAATTACTCAATTTTCATGATGCTGCCAAACATTTCCTGAGCGCATAGAGGGTGTGAGTGGAATAGTGGAATGCATCCTCTGATAGGATTAGGTAATGCATCACACTCGATGGATTGCAAATATTTAAGAACCAGGCAGTGTAGTTTTAAATCTCAGAATGAGGAGGAATGAGAAGAACTGATGTCTGTGTGCTGGGTGGGGGCCGAGGGGTGGGCAGGCAGGAGTAGCAGGCACTGCGTGTCACCCCTTGGTGTGTGTGGCCCCCACCAGCCTCGCCTGTGAGATGAAGGTGCAGAGGCTGAATGACTCCTGTCCCCTGCATGTGGCCTGGCTGGGTTGTTCACTCCAGGATGGCGAGGAGGCGGCCTCAGCGGCTCTGGCCATGTGGGGGATGCAGGAAGGACACAGCCTGTCCCTCCCTGGCCTCGGCCTTTGCCTGGCCCTTCCATGGTTCAGATGCTTCTCAAGCAGAGCAGCCTTTGAGGTCATTCACCCACACCTGCGGCGTTTTGCATTTTCCGTCCACACCCCTCACAGGCAGCGTGGCAGGCCCTGCGCTGTGGATTGACACGGAGCTGGCGTCCTGTACTGGTTACCCGGAGTCTGAGCTGAGACTGGCTTTCGTCTGGCGGCCCTGCTCATGAAGGTGGGGCTCTGCCATTTGTGGCTTAGCTGCTTTCCCCGGGAGTCGGAGGCTTAGGTTGCTGGAAGTAACCGGAAGCCACCCTTCAATGTGACGTCGTAACGGATCTTTGCGGCCAGAGGCGGAAGGGGCGCCCACTGGGCTGCTGGCGTTGTCTTCTGTCGTGACCTTTTACCTCTCAGCACCTTGCGCCCTCTCCTTGTCTGCTGTCATTTGGTGGCATTAACCAGATTTAAAAGTGCAACATTTGGGACCGTGCATGTAAAATCTTGATAGGAATGAGTTGGGTGCCGGCTGTGCCAGGAGCAGCCGTGGCCACCCTCCCTGCTGTCCTGGGGCTGGCGATGGGAAAGTGGCTGTGACTTTTCTGCCTGCTCTCGGGCCGGTGCACCAGGGGTCAGGCCGCAGCAGTGGAGCTGACCGTCACGTCTGGCGGGGAGCCCACTGGTCTGTTTCTCCTTTTTCCCACCCCTGCCCGGGCTGCCTGACCCTCTTCACCCTTTCACAGGCCATAGTCATTGCTGGGCCCTCCCCTCCCCAGCTCTCAACTCCTGACTGATCTGCCTGATCCTGGCCAGCTCACACCAGAGTCCCAGCCCAGACCCGGCTCAGAGTGTCACCTGAGGAGCAGGTGTGTGGGCGGTGTCCCCCGTGATGGGCAGCTAGCCAAGCTCTGGGCCGCCTGTGCTCCCCGGTCCCTTCCCTTCCCCTCTTATCCCCAGGAGGACATCAGGTGGACGTGGTGGGTGGGGTTGAGTGCACAGCTGGGATGGGCTGCCTGCACAGTCGGGCCTGGCGGAGCCAGTCTGGTGTGGACACCACTCGAGGGAAACTAAAAATACAGGTCTTCTTTGACCCAGTAACTCCACTGGGAGTCTTCATTCTACGAGGAAACCCCAAGGGAGCAGAAGGAACAGAAACTTGTGTCCTAGGAGGCTGCCTGGGACTTCGTTCCTGGAGCAAAGCCCTGGGAGGGAGCAGAGGATGGTGGACACGGAGGGCTGGCCACATGGGTGGGGCACGGGGAGGAGTGGGTTAGGAGAAAGAGCAACTCTCAGAAAAACGTGCAGATCACGTTCTTACGTTCATAGGACAAGCCAGGAGGAAAATCCTTTCCAAATGTGTATTTGCCTGAAGAGACGTGCATTTATGTGTGTATGAATGTGAGAAATTCATGTGCCACTGTTAACGCGGGTCACCTGGGGCAGGTGAGAGCTGATTGGTGGAGGGACAGGCAGCCAAGACGGAGGGAGGAGGTTGGTGAAACCTGGAAAGAGGAAAGCCTGGGCCTGCAGTGAGGTTTGTATGATGCAATTTTGCTGACGTGTACATCTGCAGATGTAAAGACATTAAAAATCTCATGTCACCATTAGACTTTACGTCTGGTCCATGGAGGGTAAACCCAAGGCCTGCGTCTGGCTCAGGCGAGGCCGACTCTGCTTCTCCCTTGGGCCTGGGGAATGCCTGGTCTCCCCCAGCGCTGTGTCTCCCAGCTGCTGACAGCAGCCCCAGGAGTTTCCATCCCATTGTGGTTTCTGGCTGGGACCCTGTCACCATGGTCACCATGGCCGCTCCCAAGCTGAGGAGAAGGCTTCTGACCTGATGGGAGGGAGCCAGGGAGGAGGCCTGCGGAGCTGCTCTTGGATGCTCTCAGAGGCCACGGGGAGGGTGGCGGGATGTGCCCAGTGATGAAGGTCTTGCCCAGGACGAGGCCTGCGGAGCTGCTCGCGGACGCTCTCAGAGGCCACGGGGAGGGTGGCGGGATGTGCCCGGGTGATGAGGGTCTTGCCCAAGACGTTGGAGGCGGAGGGTAGAATTCTGCTGTGGCCCACCCAGGCTTCCCTGGCGCGCTGCTTTCCAAAGAATGGCACCAAGGAACGAGGCTGAGAGACCGAGAATCGGCTTCTGTTACCGGATGCTTAAATGAAAACTTATGAAATAATCAGCTACACAACATAAAACCAAACATCTCCCATTTACTAGTAATTAAATGCTTAAACATTTAAATTATCCATATCTTATGTTTATCAACTTGCCAGTAGCCTTAAGGCTATAAAAACATGAGTTTCTCAAGCTTCCCAGATGTTTCATAGCTTGAGATGGTAAATCTCAAGTTATCAATTAAACCTCTCTCACAGCGGATTGGCACAACAAGTGGAGACATTCATTCCAGCAACAAAACCCGATCACGGCAAGATTTCCATTATTAAGAAAGTAAATCTCCTTCTTTGAGAATAAAGACATAAATACCATATTTTTTTGCTGGAGAAGTGATGTGGGAAGATGGCCTCCAGAGACTGTCTGTCAAACATCCTTGAAGAAACATGTCTTGCTGTGCTTATTGCAGCAAACATTCTCTACATTGAATGCCGACGGAAGGTCTGCTCTGCTAAACGCTGCACACATCACCCGCTTCTCCGAGCCGCTCGAAGTCGTAGCTTTTAGGAGCAGACGGGGCTCATCAATATCAGGCTGCCCAAGGCTTCTCCAGGACAGCAGGGTAAGCAGGAGTCCCGAGAAACCCCTGAGGAGGCCGCATTGTCGTCAGCAGCCTGTGAACGAATCTGAATTCAGAACAGCCGACGGCTGACATGGCGAAGCAGGGCCAACACCTGCCCATCTTAGCCAGGGTGGGAATGAGTGAATCCGAATTCAGAGCAGCCGACGGCTGACATGGCAAAGCAGGGCCACCACCTGCCCATCTTAGCCAGGGTGGGAAGAGGGGTGGTAGCTTCTGTAAGTGCCATTAACTCCCCTCTTTCGAGTAGGGAAGAAGGAAGCTGTGGAGTGGTTGGCTTGCCCTAGGAAAGTGTGTCCTCATTAGCACAGGGAAACGAAACACGTGTGTTGAGATTACTTCTCTGGTCTTCTCTCTCTTGCCCAAAGCTTTGGCTCTCTTGTGTAGAATGGAAAAATGAAACCATTGCGGTCACTGGCAGCATTTCACTTATGACTGCTGTGTAACAAATCACCCCAGAACCGAGCAGTCAGTTTATGGAGCTTTCTGGTTCAGAAGGTCAGAAACTTGCTGAGGGTGCAGTGGGGGTGGCTTGTCTACTCCAGCATGTTCTGGAACCTGTACTGGGAAGACTTGGGGCTCAGGACTGCTGGCGGGGTGTCCACACACGGCTTCTCCGGGTGGCGTGGCCTCCTCACTGCATGGCGGCCTCGGTGGGGGCGGACTCGCACCTGGCAGCTCATGCATGAGAGTTACCAGCAACACAGAAGCAACGTCATCTCATACAACCCAGCCTCAGAAGTCACCGTGTGGCCCCTCAGCTACCCAAATATGCACACCTTTCTTCTGTGGCTGATACCTGTGTGGACCTACCTGGGGAGGGACCGTCTCATAAACGCAGTCCCAGCCTCCAGCGACTGTGCTGCCCACTGAGGGCCCTGAAATCCCGGCCTCTAGCGACTGTGCCGTCCCCAGGGGTCCTGCTCTCAAGTGTTCTCCTGCCAACATGGACCTTTCTCTCTCTGGAGCTGGGGGTTTTATGAGTGGGGAGGCAGCATGGGGTAGACGGTGGGGGGTTCAAATGCCAGGGTCAGCCCTAGATTTACACCCGGGACCATTTTGTAGCCTATCTGGGTGGAGTCAGTGGACTCCAGTCAGTGGACTGATTGGTGAACTGGGAAAGGTGACTTCAGAGGGGTTTAGTGAGAGAATGTGCAGAGCCCTCACTGGTGTCTCGTTCAATATGCACCCACAGCAGTGGCTAATTACTGGGGACAGTGCATGCCGCAAAGCCGTGAGTTTGACATGTCTAGATTTCATGTATCTAAAGTGTCTCCCAGGAAGGAGTCACATGCTCAGGTAGAGGTTCTTCCTGCCCAGGCTAACAGAGAAGACACACCAGGAATGGGCTGAAGGGGTGTGCATACAGGACAGAGTTCAGGGACATGGTTGAAGTTGCTAGCTCTGACTTTGCAGGGGCTGCAGCTGGTTGGAAGAAAGGCGGCTGAATGCGTCCTGGTTGGACATCAGTTCTGTGGGCAGCGGAAAACATGTTTGCAAAGCCCGAGTGATTACATGGGCTGGAGCCACAGAGTGTTGGGTGTAGGGGATGGATGAGCCTGTGCCAACTCTGTGTCTGGGTGCCACCCTCGCCCGCCAGACCTGTCCCCACTCAAGCCCTCTGGGCAGCTGTCAGAACCTGGGTTGCTGTGGATGTGAGCTGCGGCCCCTGGCTGGCTGTGACCTGTGGTGTGGCCTGGCACCAAAGAGTGGCCCAGGCCCCTTGGTTTCTGGCCTTGGGGATGGCCAGGGGCAGCTATAAGGCCGAGAGATGCCCTGAGCGGGGGGCTGTGCTGACCCCACACCTAGGATGGCATCTGGTCTCTTTATAGTGAGGTTGAGGATCCACGAGTGAGGTCTGAGCTCCCTGCCCTGCTGGCCATAGGTCCGGTGAGCTGGGTCCCCAGGCTGTCGATGGCAGAGGTCGCCATGGGTGGGGTTGGGGAGGAGGTGGGGAGACAGGAGAACGAGGGTGCAAAGCCAGAGGGAGGGGGTGCAGCCAGGAAGGGCCCAGGCCTCAAGGAGCTCCCGGTTGGCTGCAGATGCCCCAGGTGAGCATACACCACGGAAGTCACAACCAGGAAGATGTTAAACGGGCTCCATGCCAAACATCCTGAGGGCTGGGCTTGTCCACAGGGCCGGGGCGCTTTCTGTGCAGGACAGTGTGTTGAGAAGCCTGCCCACGGCCAGAGAGTGCACTGCACCCTGGAGCCTGGTCCCCACCTTTCTGGTGCTTGAGAGCCCAGGGACTCAGCTTTGGGCAGGGACCCCTTGGACCTGACACGCCAGGCCCAACACTGAGGTCACAGGCTGACCTTTTCTGGACCCCCATAGTGGGAAACCCTGGGATCCATCCAGGTGGCTGCTGTCCCTGTGGGGCAGGGACTGGAACCCCAACCTGGGGAGGTGGGTGAGGGTCAGGACAGAGTGGCATCATCTTCTCTCTGGAGAAGGGGCACTCCCTCGCCACCTACAGGGGAAGGACTGGGCCTGTGGCCTGGAGGCCTTCTCCACGCATGACTGCTCTGTCTCTGTGGGTCTCAAGTTTGAGCCTGCGTGGCCCTCTACAGCCCTCTCTGGCCCTCTCTGGCCCTCTACAGCCCTCTACAGCCCTCTCCGGCCCTCTGTGGCCCTCTGCGGCCTTCTGTGGCCCTCTGTGGCCCTCTGTGGCCCTCTGCGGCCCTCTCCGGCCCTCTCCTGCCCTCTCCGGCCCTCTGTGGCCATCTCCGGCCCTCTCCTGCCCTCTCCGGCCCTCTGCGGCCCTCTCCTGCCCTCTCTGGCCATCTCCGGCCCTCTCCGGCCATCTCCGGCCCTCTCCTGCCCTCTCCGGCCCTCTGTGGCCATCTCCGGCCCTCTCCGGCCATCTCTGGCTCCATCTCAAAGGGCACGAGACTGGGGGCATTGTGTCCACCGAGCGCTCACACACGTCTCCCTCTAGGCCACATTCCAGGCACCTGGCACCCCAGGAGGCCCTGCACGGTGGGCCACGCCCCTTTCAGGGCCTGCATGGAGCTCCCCAGAGTCTGTCCTCCCAGGGAGGGAGGTGTCTCAGCACCGGTGCACACATGGCTGAGGGTGGCCGCGGGGCTGTCATGCAGGGACATGCACAGGAGTCCTTCCAGGTGAGTGGGGCCAGGGAGGAAGGCGGGGGCTGGCTGTGGGCAGTGCCCCTCAGGCTGCCACACCAAGGCAGGAAGCTGGACTTGAGCCTGGCCTTCCCTGTGCTGTGCAGGCTGTGTCGGGGTGGAGGGACGGCTGTATTTCATTGTTCCTGAGCTCGATGGCCGTCTCTCAATGTCGACACTGCATTCTCGCCCAGGACCCACGGAGCTCAAGGCTGGCCAGCCTCCCCAGCTCCCCTTCAACTCACGGAAGCCTGATCTGCATCATGTGCCACAGGAGGTGACAGCAGAGGGGAGGGGGAAGCAGGGCTGCGGGACTGCCTGCCAGGCAGCTCAGGACTTCCTCGTGTTTCCTGAGATGCCTCTGTGGCCTCATGCTTATTGGTGGCGGGAGTCAGGCTGGGCTGCAATTCCGTATCCTCTCCTTCTCCATTTAGTCCCGAGAGCTATCTGCACATCACAGGTGCTGCCCCTACACCCGGAGGGCACCAACGAGGCCTCTGCAGTGTGAGGCATTTCCCACGCCCCACGCGGGGTGTGCGGTGAGGCCCTGGGAAAGGGGCTTCTTCTCTGGGCTCAGCTGCCCCACAGTGAAGGCCAAGCCTCTTTGCTTGCCTGGGACAGCCCCACACCCCTGTGGACATCTGGAGTGTGTATGTGTGCTTATATGTGTGTCGTGTATGTGTGTCTGTGTATGTGTGTTTCTGCGTGTGTTTGCATGTGTGTGGTATGTGTGTTGTGTATGTGTGTTGTGTGGTGTGGGTGTGTGTGTTGTCTGTATTTGTGTTTGTGTGCATGTGTGTGCGTGTGTATGTGGTGTGTATGTCTGCATGTATGTATGTGTGTGCATGTGTGTGTCTGTATGTGTGGTATGTGTGTGTTTTTGTGTGCATGTGTGTGCATGTGTGTGGTGTGTGTCTGTATGTGTGGTATGTGTGCATGTGTGTGTCTGTGTGGTGTGTGTTGCCAGTTTGTGTGTTTGTATGTGTGTGTATGTGTGTGTGTTTTCCTGTTACAGGAGTGATGGAAGCCCTTGTTGCTCCCTGGTGTCCTGGGCACAGCCCCTGCTTGTGGCTGATTTGCCCAAGAGAAGGTTGATGGGATGTGGGCGGCAAGCCAGCCAGGTGCCGAGGCAAGAGACCAAGGGCACGAGCTGTTCCAGTGTAATAAAATATATAAAATAAGAATAGTTATACTAGATCTAGATCACAGATATGATTATATATGAATATCATTCATCATTAGTTTGTAACAATTATTCTTTATTCCAATATTATAATAATCCTCACTCTACAATCATAACCTAGGAAAAACCAGGCCATACAGAGATAGGAGCTGAAGGGACATAGTGAGACGTGACCAGAAGACAAGAATGTGAGCCTTCTGTCGTGCCAGGACAGGGCCACCAGAGGGCTCCTTGGTCTAGCGGTAACGCCAGCGTCTGGGAAGATGCCCATTGCCAAGCGGACCATGGTCTAGTGGTAGCGTCAGTGTCAAGGAAAAACACCCGCTACTTAGCGGACTGGGAGAGGGAGTCTCCCTTTCCCCGGGGGGGGGTTTAAAGAAGACTCTGCTCCTCCACCTCCTGTGGAGGGCCTGATTGATGGAGGGCCCACACAGTCAGGCCCGCCCACAGTTTTCCAGAGGCCTAACTGTGTCCCTGTGATGCTGTGCTTCAGTGGTCATGCCCCTAGTCTGCCTTCATGTTCCGCCCTGTACACCTGGCTCTGCCTTTTAGATAGCAGTAGCAAATTAGTGAAAGTACTAAAAGTCTCTGATGTGCAGAAATAATAGTGCAAGCTGTCTCTCTCTCTCCCTGTCTCTCTCTGCCTCAGCTGCCAGGCAGGGAAGGGCCCCCTATCCAGTGGACACGTGACCCACGTGACCTTACCTATCATTGGAGATGGCTCACACTCCTTACCCTGCCCCTTTGTCTTGTATCCAATAAACATTAGCGCAGCCTGGCATTTGGGGCCACTACCAGTCTCCGCGTCTTGGTGGTAGTGATCCCCTGGGCCCAGCTGTCTTGTCTTTTACCTCTTTGTCTTGTGTATTTATTTTTACACTCTCTGGTCTCTGCACATGGGGAAAAAGACCCACCGACCCTGTGGGGCTGGACCCTACAACCGGACCTGACTCCCCACTCACCAGCTGGCTCCAAGGGGATCAGGGAGCCTGAACCATGGCACAGGATGATTTAGGTCCCCTGCCTGCTGCAGGACGTCCCTATGCTCACAGACCACAGCGGGCTCAAGGCCGGGAGAGCCAAGCCACGGAGCTAGCTGTATCTGAACAGGAGTGGCCGGGAGTGTGGGAGCCCTGGGAAGGAAGCAGGCAGGTGAAGTTTGAGTGTTATGAATTCAGACGCCAGTGTTCTGTCCTCCAACAAAGGAACCATGTTTTACAAACGTGGCCTTCTTACTGATGTATTTTGCCCAAGCTCATAAATCCCGCTTGTCAGAGAAAAGGCCACAGAGGAGCATGCCATTTCAGACATTTAAGTGGGTGCTTAAGTCCGTCTGCTTAGCTTGTGTACCACGCCTCTGGACTTGCATAAATCTTTCCCCTTCATCACTGTGGCAGGAGCTTCCCGGCCAGCTTGGATGTATGTGCAGGGACAGCAACTGGGGGGGATCTGGGGACAGAGGGGCTACACCGGGGCAGGCACCGGCAGACCACAGGACTGCTTATATTGCCTTGGGAGGCCAGTCTTCAGTGAAAGGGCAAGAGAAACCATCACTGTCTATGTGCTTATTCTGTTATCTGCGTATCGTCTTTGCAAAGTATGTGTTTAAATTTTTTGCCATTAAAGAGACCTGTGCCAGGCGCAGGGGCTCACACCTGTAATCTCAACACTTTGGGAGGCCGAGGCAAGAGGATTGCTTGAGCCCAGGAGTTCAAGACCAGTCTGGATGACAAAGTGAGACTCTGTCTCTGTTTATAATAGAAAAACATATAAAAAGAATACCTGGGTTGTTAGATTTCTCATGATTGAGGTAGAGAGTTATTTATATATTCTGAATACAAATTATTTATCAGATATGATTTGAAAATATTTTCGCCTCATCTGACTTATCTTTTTGTTCTCTTAACAGTATCTTTCAAAGAGTAGATATTTCTAATTTTGACAAAGTCCAGTTTACCAACTTCATAGGGATTATGCTTTTGGTGTCTCATTCAATGGCTTTTTGCCTAACCTCAAAAGTTATATTTTTTTCTATCTTCTCTTTTAAGAGTATTATAGATTTTCAAATGATGCTTAAGTCCATGATCTATTTTGAGTTAATTTTTGTATAAGGTGTAAGATATAGGGTGAAGTTCATTTTTTGTATGTATAAGTGTTCAAATTTCCCAGAAATATTTGCTGAAAACACAATTCTTTCCCCATTGAATTGTCTTTGCACTTTTGTCAAAATTGATTGACCGTGTGTGTAGGTCTATTTCTTGACTCTATTCGGATCCATTGATCTATATGTCTACCCTTTCACCAACATTACACTATCTTAATCAGTCATGTTTAAAGTAAGTAAAAATATGGCATTGTGAGTCTGCCAGCTTTGTTCTTTTTCAAAAATATATAAATTTTAGAAGCAGCATCAGCATGTCTATAAGAAATCTTATTGGGAGTTCATTTGGAATTGTATTAAATTTATAGATCATTTTGGGAAGAATTGATGTCTTAACTAAATCGAGTATTCCAGTCCATGATCATGGTATGTTTTTCCATTTATATAGGTGTTCTTTTATTTTTATTTTTTGGAGACAAGGTCTCACTTTGTCGCCTGGCTGGAGTGCAGTGGCATGAACACGGCTCACTGCAGCCTTGACTTCCTGGACTGCAGTGATCCTCTTGCCTCAGGCCCCCAAGTAGTTGGGACTACAAGCATGTGTCACCACACTTGGCTAATTTTTGTATTTTTTGTAGAGACAGGGTTTTGCCATGTTACCCAAGCTGGTCTCAAACTCCTGAGTTGAAGCAATCTGCCTGCCTTAGCCTCCCAAAGTGCTGGAATTATAGGCATAAGCCACCAGACCCAGCTGAATTTCCATTCTTTTAAATTTGTGGTGGCTGTTTTATGATCCAGAATGCAGTTTGGCAAATGCTTTATGTACACTTGAAAAGAGTTTGTATTTTGCTGTTTCTGGATAATGTGTTCTATAAATGCCAGTTCAGTCAAGTTGGTTGATGATGGTGTTCAAATTTTCTATATATTTGCTGTTTTTCTCTTTACTTGTTTTATTGATCACTGAGAGAGAAGTTTTGAAATCTCAAAATATAATTTCAGATTTGTCTATCTTTCCTTTCAGTTCAATAAGTTTTTGCTTCATGAATTTTGCAGCTCTGTTCTTAGGTATATATACATTTAGAATTGCTATGTCTTCTCAGTGAATTGAGCTTTTTATGATCATGTGATATGTCTTGTTGTGTCTGGTAATTTTTCTTGTTCTGAATTCTGTTTTGTGTGATATTAATATAACTACTCCAGCTTTCATTTGACTAGTGTTTTAATCATATTTTAAAAATCCTTTTCTTTTAACCTGTATCATCATATTTAAAGTGGGCTTTTAGACAGCATGTAGTTGGCTGAAGTGAAGTATCTGAAGAATGAAAAACAAATACTGTATGTTCACACTTATAACTGGGAGCTAAGCTACGAGGACATAAAAACATACAGAGTGATATAATGGACTTTGGAGGCTGGGGGACCAGGTTGGGAGGGGGGTGAGGAGTAAAAGATTACATATTGGGTACAGTATACACTGCTCAGCTGGAAGGTGCACTAAAATCTCAGAATTCACCACTATAGAATTCATCCATGTAACCAAAAAACACCTGTACTCCAAAAGCTAATAAAAAATCAATTTGACAATATCTGTCTTTTAATTGGTATTCTTGACCATTTTATTTTAATATAATTATTGATCATTGGATTTACCTCTACTATTGTATTTTTTGTGCTACTTATTTCCTTTGCCTTTGTTTTCTGTTTCCATTTTCCTGCCTTATTTTGGGTTATTTGAATATTTATTTTGCGTTGTATTTTAATGTACTTATTTGCTTTTAATTATATCTACTTGTGTAAGTTTTTAAGTGATTGGTCTAGGGATAACTACACACACACATACACACATGCATATATACACGCATATATATGTGTATATGTACACACACACACTTATCTTTTCAAAGTTTACTGAAAATTAATATTTTACCACATTAAGTGAAATGTAGAAACCTTATAGCCATGTAAGGCCCTTTACTCTTCCCTTTGTGTTTTGTAGTTACCTTATATATTACAGCTACATTTCCACAGAGCAAGGTTTTTCTCATGTATATTTCTTTTAATCATACATATTTTAAAGTATGTAAGAGGAGGAAACAGCCTGAATGGGTAATTCTTGAAGCTTCACTTCCTTCTGGGATTCCTTTCCTTCTCTCTGAAGAACTTCCTTTAGCATTTCTTTAGAGCAGGTCTTCTGGTGACAAATTCTCTTTGCTTCTCTTAAAATGTCTCTGTTTTATTTTAATCTCTGAAGGATACTTTCTCTGGAGGTAGAACCCTAGGTTGACAGTTCTTTTCTTTCAGCACTTTAAGTGGTTGCATCTCTGTCTTCTGGCCCCCACGATTTCTGATGAGAAATCTGCCGTTATTCAGTTTGGTAGTGCCCTATACATAATATGTCTTTACTCTACTTAAATTTTTTTTTTGTATCTTTGGTTTTCAGTAATTTTATTATGATGTGCCTCGGTGTGGTTTTCTTTGAGTTTATTTTATCTGGGATTTACTGAGATTCTTGAATCTCTAATTTTTTTTCTTTTTCCCAGTTTGGGAAGTTTTAATTTATTATTTTATCATATATGTGTATATATATTTGTACCATTTTTTTCTCATTCTTTTTTATTTTTATTTTTTGAGACAGATCCTCACTCCATTACCCAGGCTGGAGTGCAGCGGCATGACTACAGCTCACTGCAACCTTGACATCCCAGGTTCAAGTCATCCTCCCACCTCAGCCTCCCAAGTAGCTGGGACTACAGGCATGTTGTAGTCCACCACAGCTGGCTAATTGTTTTAAAAAATGTTTTTGTAGAGATGGGGGTCTCACTCTGTTGCCCAGGCTGCTCTCTAACTCCTGGGCTCAACGATCTTCCAGACTCAGCCTCCCAAAGTGTTGAGGTTACAAACACCAGCCATTGTGCCTGGCCTATTCCCTCATTCTGAGATTTCAACAATATGTTAGACTTTTTGATGTTTTTCAGAGGCCGTGAGACTTTGTCTTTTTTTCTTTTAATCAGATTGGATAATTTCTATTGATTTGTCTTCAAGTTTACCAATAATTTCCTGTGTCATCTCCATTCTGCTATAATGACATCCAGTGAATTCTTTATTTCGATTATTATATTTTTAAGTTCTAAAATTTCCATTTGGTTCTTCAATGTAGCTTCCATTTTTCTGTTGACAATTTCTATCTTGCCATTCATTTTATGAGCATTTAGCCTTACTTCATGGAAGATGGATATCTTAGCTGTTTTAAAGTCTTTGATGATTCTAACGTCTATGTCATCTTGAGAGTGGTGCCTTTGATGGCTTTTCTCTTTTCAAATGGCTAGTATTTTAGTTTTTCTGTATTGTGAATAATTTTGTATCATATTTCAGAAACTTAGATTTGATACTAAGGCACCCTTGATGCCCTCTGGCTGCCAGGTTCTGGGCTGAGGCTGTGAAGACACGGCTTTAACCTGGAGGCTGTGGAGTTTCCTGTGGGGAATTTCACTAATGTCCTAGTCTTGGTCCTGGCTCCAGAACCTTGTATCGGAATCACCTGTGGGGGAGTTGGCACACAGAGGGCTGTCCCTGGGGTTGTAGCTGAGTAAGCTATATCAGGGTCACCCATGGGGGTGTGGGTACACAGAGGGCTGCCCCGAGGACTCCAGCACAGTGAGCTGTGCTGGGGTCACCTGTGGGGGTATTTGCACACAGAGGGCTGTCCCGGGGCAGCAGCACACTGGGCTGGCATGTGGCCACACAACTGGCCTTTTAAATGTTCCTTGGATGACTGTCCAGTCTGTGGGGTGGGTGTTCTGGGGCCCAGAGTCAGCCTGTGCCCTCCCCATCACCCAGCAAGGCCCTCCTCGACCTCCGTGGTCGTGCCCATGCTCTGTGGCTCCACATACCCTCCCGGTGGTCTCTGAGGCAAGGGGGCCACTCCCCAGGCCCTCACCCTGAGGCTTCCTGGGCCTCCAGCTCCCTAATTTTGGTAGGGACTCAGGACTGCCCTAGGCTGCTGTCCCTGTCAGGGAGGGATGACACATTTGGGGCTTCCCTGGCGGAACAGGCAATGGGCCCCTCTCACCCTGTTGCTGGAAGGAGCCAGGCTGTGCGGTGGCCTTTTGGTTTTACTGTGACTTTGAGTTGCTCCCCAGGCCTAGGTCTGACAAAGGTGAACTTGGCGTTGAGTGTCCAATGGAGGCCTCAGGGGGCAGGGTCTGGGACTGCTGTGGGCTGGACAGGGCAGCTGGTTTGGCCTTGAGTGTCCAATGGAGGCCTCAGGGAGCAGGGCCTGGGACTGCTGTGGGCTGGACAGGGCAGCTGGTTTGGCCTTGAGTGTCCAATGGAGGCCTCAGGGGGCAGGGCCTGGGGCTGCTGTGGGCTGGACAGGGCAGCTGGTGCAGCGGGAGCTGTCTGCAAGCCTCTCCCACCTCGCTGCACTTTATTGAAATCTGTGAGAAAGACAAAGGTTTGCGCTGACAGTCCCTTGGGGAAAACTGCCTTCTGGAATAGGTTTCCATGTCCCTCTCAGGTGGGTGTGTGGGTGGGGATGAGAGCTGTGGCCACAACTGCAACCTTTGCCAGGCCCTGGTCATGGACCAGCAGGGGCTCCTGAGGGCCGTGAGTCCCTGCAAAGGCTGGTGAGCGCCCATGGGCTGCAGGAGGAGCCCACAGGTCTGAACACCTGCTTCACACGCCAGGGCCTTGGGCAGGCAGCGCCTCTTTCAGCCTCTGTGTCCCCAGCTGCGATGTGCAAAGGGCGTGTCCCAGTAGGGTGATGTCACAGAGTGGGTGCTCTCCTGCTCGGCCTCCAGGGCTGTCCCTCTGAGAGGGGGTGAGCTGTGCTGGGCTCTCCCTGAGCTCCTCCATCATCAAGTGGTCATTGTGCTGGGCTGACCTCTACTCACAATGGGCTTCCGTCTGCCCAGTAGAGCCTTCTCTGGGTGCACAGATGCCAGCACTCAACGATGGGGTGGGGACCAGCCTGGGCACGGGGGACGTCCTGGCCCATCCCAGGGTTTCTGGAGGGCGAGGGAAAACTCCTAGAATGGAACTGCCAATGGGCATGGGATTTCTTTTGGGGAATGAGAATGTTCTGGAACTGGAGCTTGGGGCAGTCGCATGGCCTGGGAAGTGCAGTAAATGCCACTGAGCTGTGCAACTTGAAGGGTGCATTTCATGCATGTGAATTATGTCTGAATAACAAGAAAAGCAGTCCCCAAGGATTTGCACGATGACTCACAGGGGCTATGAGAACTGGACTCTCTTGGAAGCTGCTGCTGCACCACAATTCATGTGACACCCGCTGTCCAGTGCATAGCACGGTGGGAACCTGCCATCCAAGGAGGTTGGGATTGGCTGTTGGTCAGGTATGTGCTCAAGAGGGAAATCAAAATATGAACAAATGTGGGGTTTTCCCTAGTCTTTCATTCGGGAGAATTCAGGCTCTCAATGAGGTGAAGGCCAAGCCAGGTGAACCCACAGACGCTAGCCTTTTGCCATCTTTGCTTTTCCACATTTGTGTGAATAGAGCATTTTCTTTTTGTTGAGCCATTTGAAAGTGACCCACAGCATGACTTTCTGCCTGTGCCTCCCCAAAAGTACAGCTTTCTCATGCACGGCCCAGTCCCTGTGATCCTGCCTAAGGAAATTAGTGAGAATTCCTTAAATCTGAATTCAGATCGCCCCAACTGGGCAAATCAATTTTTTATGACCCTTTCCATTGAACCAGGATCCAACCAAGGCTGGTGCGTTTCATTTGGGGGTTTTTCTCTTTAGTCTCTTCTGTTTCTACCTTCTTTTTCATGAAAAAGCATGACCCAGACTTTTTGGGGTGCCCAGGCCGGGCCTGCTGGTCAACGGGGCTGGTTGCGAAAGCTCCCAGGTGTGCACACCCATCTTCTCCACACCTCCACGCGGCGCCTGGGGTCTCCCAGTCTGGGCTTTGTGGGCTGAAGCCTATCAGGGCAGGAGGCTGGGCCTGTCTGGTTGGAGCCCGGAGGTGGTGGCAGAGCAGGTATAGAGTGTTCCCTTCCAGTTCTCCGCTCCCCTCCTTCCTGCCTCTCTCCGCTCTTCTCCAGGCCCTCTCCCTCTGCTCCCAGCTGCCCCAGAGGCGATGCTCCATCATGTTCTCTCCAAGGGAGACTGGCAGCACCTATTTCTGAAACCCGAGGCCGGGCTGCATGGCTCATGGAAGGGGCTGAGGATGCTGGGTCAGCTCAGGTCAGCCTCATCCCTGCTGGCATAGGGGAAGGGCATCTGAAGTGACAGACCCGGGAGGCCTGCACCAGCCACTGCACAGGCCTCCCCAGCACGGCTTCAGCTTCCACGTTTGGCCAGGAGAGACTGGGCTCTTCCCCGGGCACTCGGCAGTCCACTGTCCATCCCTTTTTATCTCTTCTTGATTCCAGATTGGTTCCTTGTTGTTTTCCTTTGTCCCGGAGGAGCCTCAGGGCTTTGCTCAATCAGGGCAAGGCCCACACACAGTGCTCAGAGCACAGCCGCGCGGAGCAAATGTCACCTTGCAAATAAACCAATGTCCATGTGGTACACTGAGCTGGACTGGGGAACATAGGAAGGCAAGTTTACACCCCTGCCTCTCTGTGGGACCGGCTTCCCCAGGGCTGCACTCCCAGCCGCACAAGCGTGGTGAACTCTGCAGCTGCCCCAGGTCTCTGGTTCTCTCCTTGTTCTCTCTGCGCCCCGCCCTCCAGGTCCCCGTTTCCCCATAGCCCTCGTCCCCTGTTAGCACAGCATGTAGCTCCCTTCTGGGCGGGGCTTGCTCTTGGCTCCACCAGGTCAGGGGCCGTTGCCTTCCCGTTCACCAGCCGGCCTGAGGGCCTCCATGGAGCCCACGCTCCCTGAGCATGCAGGAGCCACGCCTGGGCTATTGTGAGTTGAGTGTGATGGCGAGTAAAGGAGAGGTGGCGGGTAAAGAGGTACCTGTTGATGGTTGCCCTGCGTTCATGGCAAGCCATCCTGGCTTTCTTTTTAGGGAAAAAATGTGAACCTGGCAAAAACAGAAAGTGTTATTGAATTCTCTCTAAATCCTATTCTTTCCAGAAAGCTGGAAGCCCGCACCTGCTCTCCCTTTGTTGAAGGAGAGATGAGCAAGAGGTATAGAGGTGCAAACAGAGACCTTCTCTCAGAGGAAGTGGAGGGAGGGCAGGGCGTGGGGCAGGGACCTGGCAGCACTCTAGGAGTGAGTCAGGCTTAGCTAAAGCCACCTCCATGTCCCACCTGGAATCCATGTCCACATCCTAGATTCAGGGAATACAGCCCGAGGCTGGCAGGGTGGTGAGCCTCATGTGACCATTACAGCCTCAGTAGGGTCTGAGGGCAGCATCCGTCCTCCAGCTTGGCTCCTGCCTCCTGTCAGCTCTGAAACTCTTTGATGTCTAAGTGGACATGGTGGTCTGGGATCTGGCCTGGCTGCCAGCCAGGGTTTTGAGAGCTGCCCTGGATGTGCTGAGCTCACAGTGCTGTGGGTGGATGCGGTCAGTGGAGTGGGCAACCCCAGCAGGTGCACGTGATTCTGTGCACAGAGGGCTGGTGCCCAGGACCCGCTGACCCTCCACAGCCCATCGTCAGCCCAGTGTCCCCTCAGCACCTGCACCTGGTTGCCTGTTCATTGGATGGCAACCATAACAGGTTTCAGAGCTCAACCGCAGGGCCCTGGGTCAGGCACACGCCTGCAGCCAGGGACCCAGGGACTCTTGCAGCCGCTGCTTCCTCATGCCAGAGCCAAACTGAAGGAACAGCCGCTGCCCGGGATGAGCCAAGCTGCAGTGACACTCAACCCTGGAGCAGGCGCAGCAGCACGGCCCAGCCTGGTGCCGTCCCCAGTTCTGCAGACATGAACAATGGAGCAGCAAGGGCCATTTAAAACTATGAGGTGGGCTGGACATGGTGGCTCATGCCTGTCATCCCAGCACTTTGAGAGGCCAAGGAGGGCAGATCACCTTATGTCAGGAGTTCAAGACCAGCCTGGCCAAGATGGTGAAACCCCATCTCTACTAAAAATTCAAAAAATTCCCCGGGTGTTGTGGTGCATGCCTGTAATCCCAGGTACTTGGGAGGCTGAGGCAGGAGAATCGCTTGAACCCGGGAGGTGGAGGTTGCAGTGAGCTGAGATCACGCCATTGCACTCCAGCCTGGGCAACAGAGCGAGACTATGTCTCAAAAACAAACAAACAAATAGACAAACAAACAAACAAATAAATAAACAACAAAAAAACTGTGAGGTGCCCCGAATGCATTTTTTTCCCTTAAAGTTATGAGCATTCTTTCCTAGAGCGATGATAGCCTCACACACGTCTTCTCTGATAGAGGAATGCTGCAGGGCTTGCGTGGTGATTTACGCAAACCTTCTGCGTTGGGCGGACGTAAAGTCGTCCTGGATTTTAGGTGGGGCTGTTGACCTTTGATGACTGGAATCGTTTTGAGCAGGGGGATCACAATGAGAAGTGGCGTTGACAAGAGCATTGTCTGGTCCTAGGCACATTGCACAGGTGAGGAACAAGCTGGAGCCATCTGGGGGAGAGCAGGGCTTGACCCAGAAGGTTCTGGTGGCATGGACATGGAACTCCGTGGGATGTGGGGGTGAGGGTGGGCGAGTCGAGGAGGACTTGACCCAGTCGAGTTGCTGGGGAGGGGGTGTGGGAGCTGATGAACGTGGTTTGGGAGGTGAAGTCTAGAGTCACACAGTGTCTTTGTGGCTTCCCCAGTGGCTGTCGTGGCCTGCAGGAGGCTTGCCAGCTGGTGCAGACTCACACTGAGGGGGATTCAGAGGAGCTCCCTGGAGTGGGGCTGCCCCGGGGAGCTTCCTGCCAGGGTGGGGGTGCTGGGATCCTGGGCCCACTGCAGGCCATTCGAAATCCTGCCTCCTCCAAATCTCAGTTCTAGGCTTTTAGGATGGCTCTTAGTTATCACCAAAAATGTCATGGCCAGAATGCAAGGTGCTGCCTGGGGTGACAGTGCAGGCTGCTGGCACTGTCCCCAGTGGAGGGACTGCCTCAAGGACCTACTGTGTCCCAGCAAAGGTGCAGTGGCCGGGACAGGAACCCCTGTGGGCAGCTGGCCCACATCAGTGTTCTGTGAGCCCGATTTGGACTCTCCTGGTCGGATTGCTGGCTTCAGACCTGCCTCCCTGTTTCCTGGTGGGTGCAGCTGGTGATTCCCCTGAGATCCCAGGTGGGAAGTCCATGCCCTGGAGTGCAGCCCTGGAATCCCGGCCAGACCTGGCCCTTGGCTCTTCCCTCCTTATGCCCTGGATTCCTCAGGAGGGAGACGCGAGTAAAGTAGGAAGCTGCGGCAGCGAACGTGTGGATGGGAAGTTCTCTTCGGTTGTGGGATGAGCCAGCACTTCTGGCAGAAGAAAAGTAAGTGGCATTGGCATCTATGACAAACCCACAGCCAGCATCATACTGAATGGGGAGAAGGTCGAAGCACTCCCCCTGAGAATAGGAACAAGACAAGGATGCCCACTCTCACCACTTCTATTCAACATAGTTCTGGAAGCCCTAGCCAGAGCAAGAACGCAAGAGAAAGATTATTGGAAAAGAGGAAGTCAAAATATCACTGTTTGCTGACGATATGATTATATACCTAGAAAATCCTAAAGACTCCCCCAAAAGACTCTTGGATTTGATAAACGAATTCAGTAAAGTCTCAGGTTACCAAAGCAGTGTACACAAATCAGTAGCACCAACAACAACGAAGCTGAGAATCAAATCAAGAACTCAATCCCTTTACAATAGCTGCAAAAAAAAAAAAAACTCCCACAAAAAACCAAAAAACCTAAGTATACACCTAACCAAGGAGGTGAAAGATCTCTACAAGGAGAACTACAAAACACTGCTGAAAGAAATAATAGATGACACAAACAAATGAAAATGCATCCCATGTTCGTGGATTGGAAGAATCAATATTGTGAAAATGACCATACTACTCAGAGCAATCCATAGATTCAATGCAATTCCCATCAAAATACCATCATCATTTTTCCCAGAATTAGAAAAAAAAATCCTAAAATTCATATGGAACCGAAGAAGAGACCTAATAGCCAAAGCCATCCTAAGCAAAAAGAACAAATCTGGAGGCATCAGATTAGCAGACTTCAAATTATACTACAAGGCTATAGAAACCAAAACAGCATGGTACTGGTATAAAAGTAGGCACATAGACCAATGGAATAGAATAGAGAACCCAGAAATGAAGCCAAATAGGTACAGCTAACTGATCTTTGACAAAGCAAACAAAAACATAAACTGGGGAAAAGACACCCTATTCAATAAATGGTGCTGGGAAAATTGGATAGCTGTATGCAGAAGAATGAAACTAGATCCCTATCTTTCACCTATACAAAAATCAGCTCAAGATGGGTCAAAGACTTAAATATAAGACCTGAAACTATAAAAATTCTAGAAGATAACAATGGAAAAACTCTTCTAGACATCAGCCTAGGCAAATAATTCGTGACTAAGACCTCAAAAGTAAATGTAACAAAAATAAACATAAATAGATGGGACCTAATTAAACTAAAAAGCTTCTGCAAAGCAAAAGAAATAATCAGCAGAACAGACAACTTACAGAGTGGGAGAAATATTTGCAAACTACACATCCGACAAAGGATTAACATCCAGAATTTACAAGGAACTCAGACAAATCACCAAGAAAAACACCAAATAATTCCATTAAAAAGTGGGTAAAGGTCATGAATAGACATTTCTCAAAAGAAGATATACAAATGGCCAACAAACATATGGAAAAATGCTCATCACTGCTCATCAGATAAATGCAGATCAAAACCACAATGAGATACCATCTCATGCCAGTTAGATTGGGAATCAGTAAAAAGTCAGGAAACAACCGATGCTGGAGAGGATGTGGAGAAATAGGAACGCTTTTACACTGTTGGTGGGAGTGTAAATTGGTTCAACCATTGTGGAAGACAGTGTGGCGATTCCTCAAGGATCTAGAACTAGAAATACCATTTGACCCAGCAATCGCATTACTGAGTATATACCCAAAGGATTATAAATCACGCTACTATAAAGGCACATGCACACGTATGTTTACTGTGGTACTATTCACAATAGCAAAGACTTGGAGCCAACCCAAATGTCCATCAATGATAGACTGGATTAAGAAAATGTGGCACATATACACCATGGAATACTATGCAGCCATAAAAAAGGATGAGTTCATGTCCTTTGCAGGGAAATGGATGAAGCTGGAAACCATCATTCTCAGCAAACTATCACAAGGACAGAAAACCAAACACCGCATGTTCTCACTCATAGGTGGGAACTGAACAATGAGATCACTTGGACACAGGGCAGGGAATATCACACACTGGTGCCTGTCGCAGGGTGGGGGCCTGGGGAAGGGATAGCATTAGGAGAAATACCTAATGTAAATGATGAGTTGATGGGTGCAGCAAACCAACATGGCACATGTATACCTATGTATCAAACCTGCACGTTGTGCACATGTGCCCTAGAACTTAAAGTATAATTAAAAAAAAATACGCCCCCGACTTCATCACTTTACTTCCAAGTGCATTTCCCTACTCTGGTCCTGGTTACAGCTTAAATGCAAACATATTCCTGGAGTAGGCAGAATTCAGCTACTGCTGTGGGAAATACTTTTATAAGTTATGCAGAAATGGAACTGAAGGGAAGTTTATTTGTTAGTAAGCGTAACTTGTGCCTGCAGAAGAAAAGCAAGATGTGGGAAGAAGCCTGTGTTTTGGGGAGTCTGTTTCCTCCCGCTGCAGCTGAGGAAACCTACGGGCCTGGGAGCGCATGTGTCTAGCACATGAATGGAGGGGAGAGGATGCCCTTCCCTCCCGTTCTGGTGGAGGAGCAGAGGCAGGAGAGGGCAGTGCACATAGAGCGTTTGGTCATGGTCCTTAGAGCCGTGCTTCATAGAGCATTGTGGATACCCAGCGAACAGAAAAAGGCAGCCACACCCGTGCATGCTTCGAATTGGGCTGCCATGCTGGGAGGGCAATGAGATGTCCCCAGAACTTGCCCTGGAGGCCCAGCACAGGCTGGGGCCGGGAGCCCTGTCTGCAGAACCATCAGGAGAGGCTGCAGCGGAGCCTAGTGATGCCTCCAGCAGGCCCAGCTTCCTGGCCAAGCTTCCACTGAGTCAGTGGACTTTTTTATTTGGGAGCAACTCGGCTCACAAACTGGCCATCAGGGGATGTGCAAAGAAACATCTCTAAGAAAACCCTCTGTGACACCTGCTCAAAGAGATCGATGCTTTCTGTTTGCTTTAGGATCAGACCTGTTTTTATTTACTTGAGCGGCCAGTCACCTGGGGAGAGGGCTGGAACGCTGAACTGACTTGGCCGTCCAGAGAGCTGGCAGCTCTGATGCATAGTTCATATTTCTCCACTGATTAAAAAAAAATCCGTACTAATTTTAAAAATAGAACCAAAAAGGACGTTAAATTCAATGACTTCATTAGTGGAATACATTGTTTAGTTATTTATCTTAAAGTAAACTATTTTCGTGACTATTTTCTACCATTTGGAGAACAGAATTTATTCTCTCAGGGAACACATTCATACATTCAGACATTTCAAAAAAGATGAGCTTCAAATGATTAAAAACTCAAGGGACTGCAAGTTCCAACGGAATCGTTGAAAGTTACCGCCAGTTCTGAGGGCTCTTGGTCTCTGTCTCCTGAGTCAGAGTTGCATGCAGAGCCGGTGCTGGAGGAAACGTCCCACTCAAACATTCTCAGCAAGTACAAAGGGACGCAGCTGGTGCTCCGTACACACTTCAGGGCTGCCTTGTAATAGGACTAGAAGGGACTATCTGCCCCAAAGCATCAGAATCTTTCATGTGAGCGTTCCAGCCCCGTGTGCGCACACACCAGTAACCTGAATTCTGATGTCTAGCACAGGGTGAAGAACACAGCTGTTTTCTAATATTTAGCATGCTGATGTAATCACAACACCCACTGTTTGATTTTGTTTTTCTAGTGTCATTAACATTCTGTGTTTCTTTTCCCCTGGAATGTGTCTGGAGAAAGTGGATAAAATCCAGGGAGGCTACCCTAGAGGGGCTTCAGGTCAGCCAAGTGGGTCTGACCGACTGTGTCCCCTAAGCTTGTGGAATGGGACTGGAAACCTGGCACGTGGTCTGTGGGTGGGGTCTGATGGTGGAGGTGGTCTAGGAAAGGTGGGAAAGCTGCCGAAGGAAGAGGCGGAGGAGGAACAGGGGGCAAGTGAAGGCCCCAGGTGCCGTGTGTGCTGCCTTGGTGTCTGGGGACATGGGGGTGGGGGGACATCACTGCTGGCTCCCCTCCCCCTCTGCTCCTGAGGACAGGGGCTCTCAGCCACACAGCCCAGCCTGTCATCCCCGAGCAAAGGTTCCGGCTCCCTGCTGGCCCGCAGGATGATTCAGAGCAGCTCACCCCATCCCCCTGCGGGGCCCGCGGACACCACCCTCTTGTTCCTGAGCTGTCCACCCCTGCAGCCCTGCGGCTCACTCTGCCCCGAGAGCTTCCTCCCTGTGACCCTGTGTGGCCTGAAGTTTCCTCCCCTGGGTGGTGAGCCTGTGGGACTGAGAAACTGTTGCCCCCTCGTCTGTCCAGTGCTGGGCACCCTGCGTCTGACCATCCCTTGAGCCCTAGGCGGGGAATCCCTTCCTCACCAGCCCCGTGAAGAGGACTCGGCTAAAACACAAGCCGCCTCCCAGGTCGCCCTCTGAGCTCTGCCGGAGCCCTGGGCAGGAACTCCCTCCTCAGGCTCCCTCCTCCTCAGGGGTCTTCACTGGCCTCTCGGGGCTTCCTCTGGCCCGCACAGGTCTCTGGGGCACACACTCTCGCTTCCTAGGCAGTCCTTCGGGTGCAAATGACAGATGGCACCTGTGGGCCGCGTGCCTGCCAGTGCCAGCAGGGGAGCCCCCCAGGCAGACACCAGTCTGGCCACTGCCCACCCATGGCTCCCCTCTTCACCCTGGAGGCTGAGCTGTCTGGGCTGAAGCCACCACAGGGAAGACCTCAGTGGCCCAGTTAGGCTCAGTAGGGAGAAGGGGAGGGAGGTGAGCGACGGAGGGGCTTGACTCCTTCAGCTCCTGCCCTGCCCAGCAGCGCAGGTGGACTCCCTATCTGGGGCCTGCGTCTCCTGTGGGGGTGCAGGTGACTCCCTATCTGGAGCCTGCGTCTCCTGTGGTGTTGTAGGTGGACTCCCTATCTGGGGCCTGCGTCTCCTGTGGGGGTGCAGGTGACTCCCTATCTGGAGCCTGCGTCTCCTGTGGGGGTTTAGGCGGACTCCCTATCTGGTGCCTGCGTCTCCTGTGGGGGGTGCAGGTGACTCCCTATCTGGGGCCTGCGTCTCCTGTGGGGGTGCAGGTGACTCCCTATCTGGAGCCTGCGTCTCCTGTGGGGGTGTAGGTGGACTCCCTATCTGGGGCCTGCGTCTCCTGTGGGGGTGCAGGTGACTCCCTATCTGGTGCCTGCGTCTCCTGTGGGGGGTGCAGGTGACTCCCTATCTGGGGCCTGCATCTCCTGTGGGGGTGCAGGTGACTCCCTATCTGGGGCCTGCGTCTCCTGTGGTGTTGTAGGTGACTCCCTATCTGGGGCCTCCGTCTCCTGTGGGGGTGCAGGTGACTCCCTATCTGGGGCCTCCGTCTCCTCTGTGGGTGCAGGTGACTCCCTATCTGGGGCCTGCGTCTCCTGTGGGGGTGTAGGTGACTCCCTATCTGGTGCCTGCGTCTCCTGTGGGGGTGCAGGCGGACTCCCTATCTGGGGCCTGCGTCTCCTGTGGGGGTGCAGGTGACTCCCTATCTGGTGCCTGCGTCTCCTGTGGGGGTGTAGGCAGACTCCCTATCTGGAGCCTGCGTCTCCTGTGGGGGTGTAGGCGGACTCCCTATCTGGGGCCTGCGTCTCCTGTGGGGGTGCAGGCGGACTCCCTATCTGGGGCCTGCGTCTCCTGTGGGGGTGCAGGTGACTCCCTATCTGGTGCCTGCGTCTCCTGTGGGGGTGTAGGCAGACTCCCTATCTGGAGCCTGCGTCTCCTGTGGGGGTGTAGGTGGACTCCCTATCTGGGGCCTGCGTCTCCTGTGGGGGTGCAGGTGACTCCCTATCTGGGGCCTGCGTCTCCTGTGGGGGGTGCAGGCGGACTCCCTATCTGGGGCCTGCATCTCCTGTGGGGGTTGCAGGTGGGCTCCCTATCTGGGGCCTGCGTCTCCTGTGGGGGTGTAGGTGGACTCCCTATCTGGGGCCTGCGTCTCCTGTGGGGGTGCAGGTGGACTCCCTATCTGGTGCCTGCGTCTCCTGTGGGGGTGTAGGTGGACTCCCTATCTGGGGCCTGCGTCTCCTGTGGGGGTGCAGGTGGACTCCCTATCTGGGGCCTGCATCTCCTGTGGTGTTGTAGGTGGACTCCCTATCTGGGGCCTGCATCTCCTGTGGGGGTGTAGGTGGCTCCCTATCTGGTGCCTGCGTCTCCTGTGAGGGTGCAGGTGGACTCCCTATCTGGGGCCTGCGTCTCCTGTGGGGGTGCAGGTGGACTCCATATCTGGCAATTCCTCTGGGCTCCACTCTGCTGGCCGCCCCCTCCACCTGAGTGATAGGAGCCATTGCCAGCCCAGGCACCGCGCTGACCTCATCCTGGAGGCCCCACCTGCTGCCCCACTCTCACCCCCACGGAGCAGTGTCTGGATCACTATTTATTGGCTGTGTTCATTTGCCTCAGACTGAAGCCTGATATTCCCTTCTGGCTGGGCATAAGGGGAGGATATATGAGGGTTGATTTGGAGGAGGTCCGAGCTCAGTCTTTTTATCAAGGGAAATGGTGATTAGTACTTCAAATAAGCTTGGAGGCCTGGGTGGAGAAGGCCACGTTTCTGTGCAGATTTGAGCTTACAGATCCGCGTTGCCGGCCCCTCGTTCCTGGGAAGACCTGGCTGGGGTCTGCGGGCTCTGAGTGGCTGCTCCAGCTTCCTCTCCAGTGCCCGGCTGCTGTGCCTCTGGTCATGACGGACCCTTTGTCATTTCTTGTCACTTCTGGGCCCTGCGCCTGCAGGCAGTCCTCGGCTGGAAGGATTTTTGTAGATCCCCATCTCCCCTTCTCTGACCAAGGCCTGCCATTTTCTTCTGATGACCTCGGCTGCCTTGGCTCTGGGAAGGGTGACCTCGTCCCTGCTGACTGTCTGTGGGGGTGGCTGTGTCCCTCATAGCTCAGACTTTCCTCCATCGTGAACTTCTTTGGGCTTCATGCCCTGGCATCTGGTCTCCTCTCTGTCGGAGGCCTTGAGGGCAGGGGCCATGTTCCTTTCATCCTGAGTCCTGGCCCCAGTCCCTGCACCCTCTGCTGCCTGGAAAAGGGGCTTCCTGGATGCTGGAGATGGGCGTGGTGGGGCACACACACTCCTGTGTACACCATCGCCACTCTTCTGTCTGTCTCCAGCAATACGGGACATGTCTAAGGCTGTAGAATGGTCCCATTCAGCCCTTCCAGTTTGGCGAAAAGGACAACTTTGCAGACTCTTTTGGGAAGTCTTGCTCATGCATCATGACTTTCAACTCTGAACGAAGACCCGAGAGATGAGACCACATGGAGAGCTGAGAACTCGACGGCTGTGCTGTGGGCATTTCCACCTGTGGACTGTCCAAGTGGTAACTCCCAACCTGGTGACTTTACCCACATGGGTAGAGGTCAGAAGTATTGATTGATTCTTGTTGAATTTTGAAATCTTTGTGACCTAGAGGTTCTTTTCTTAAACTTTTTTTTTTTTGAGACAGGGTCTCTCTCTGTGCTCACTGTGGGTAGGAGACACCACTGGCTTGGCCCAGGGCGTATGATGTGGGTTGGGGGTGTGTCTCTGATCCCTCCCCTAGTCTAACCCGCCATCCCTGAGGGGTGTGGGGCTGCTGGCTCGCTTTCTGAGCATCCATGTGCCCCATGCTGCCCACATCTCTAGCTTCTAGTATTGCTGCCATGAAATTCATTTGGTTTCATATATCTGCATAAATAATTTAATTTAAATGACTTTCATCACTGAGACCTGCCTGTTACTGTGAAATTTACAAAGATGAACCTACCCACTTTGAATATTGATCAGCATGGTAGAAATTTTTTTTTAGGCTAAACAGTGACATAATTGTGGCTAGGGAAAAAAAATCTAGTGAACTCTAAGCAAAATGGCCTCAGATAATTCCCAGGGTTCTGACTGCTAACATGAACCACTTAAAAAGCGTCAGAAAGGAGACTTTTAAATAATGGAGTAAAGTGAAGGTACCAGCTGCCTTTTACTGCTGTAACAAATGATCACAAACTTAAAACAACGCAAATTTATTCTTTTATAGTTCTGGAAGTCAGAAGTCTGAAATGGGTCTTACTGGGCTAAAATCAAGGTATCGGCAGGGCTGGTTCCTTCTAGAGGCTCCAGGGAGGATTAGTTTCCGCACTTTCTCTGGCTTCCACAGGCCACCCTGTGTCTTGGCTCATGGCCGCTCCCTGCATCTTCAAGGCCAGCCTCTTTCCTGCCCTGACCCTCCTACCTCTCTGGCATAAGGCCCCTTACAATGCCAAGGACCCAACCAGCAAGCCCAGGGGACTCTTCCTGTCTCAAAACCCTCAATTTAATCGCCTCTGCAAAGCCCCCTTTGCCACATAAAATAACATATTCCTGCGTTTCAGGGTTGAGACACGGACACATTTTTCAGGGCGGTGTTATCCTGCGGACCACAGGCTGGGTCTTCAGATCCATCACGAATCATCACTTTTGGGACAGGCCATGTAAATCCTTTTCCTGTGGGTGGAAAATGAGGCAGGTGGAGGGAATGGGGGTGCATGCTTTTGTCGTGATGCCGTCCAGCCCGGCTTCTTTAGAAACATTTCTAATTAGGAACACATTTATTGAAATCTTTGCAACCTAGAGATTTTTTTTTAAATTAATGGCATTCCCAGTGACCTGGATAGATTGGAGACTATTATTCCAAGTGAAGCAACTCAGGAATGGAACACCACACATCACATGTTCTCACTCATAAGTGGATGCTAAGCTATAAGGACGACACAATGGACTTTGTGGACTTGGGGAAAGTGTGGGAAGGGGGTGAGTGGTAAAAGACTACAAACTGGGTGCAGTGTATACTGCTTGGGTGATGGGTGCACAAAAATCTCACAAATCACCCCTAAAGAACTTACCCATGTAACCAAACATCACCTGTGCCCCAATAATTTAAAAAATTCTTCACCTTTTTTTTTTTCTTTGAGACGGTCTCCCTCTATCACCCAGGCTGGAGTGTGGTGACACGATTATGGCTCACTGCAGCCTGGACCTCCTGGGCTCAAGTGATCCTCCCTCCTCAGCCTCCGGAGTAGCTGGCATTACAGGTATGAGCCACTGCACAGGACCCTTTTAAAAAACTTTTTATTTGGATATAATTGTAGGTTTACATGCAATTGTAAGAAATGATAGAGAGAGACCCTGTGAGCCTTTCACCCAGTTCCCCCATGGAGCATCGTGCCTAACTCACTCCAGTACAGGGTCATAGCCCTTCACCCAGTTCCCCCATGGGGCATCTTGCCTAACTAACTCCAGTACAGTGTCACAACCCTTCACCTACTTCCCCCATGGAGTATCTTGCCTAACTCCAGTACAGGTTTGCAGCCCTTCACCCAGTTCCCCCATGGAGCATCTTGCCTAACTAACTCCAGTACAGGGCAGGGTTGCAGCCTGGAAGTTGGCTTGATGAAGTCCAGTGTGCTCATGTGATTTCACCAGTTTTATGTTCATCTACACAGTTTTATCACAAGTGCACACTCGTGTAACCACCGCTGCAGTCGGGTACGCAGCAGTTCCACCACGCAGACCTGCCCCCGCCTTTATGACCGTAGCCACCCCCGCAGCAAACCCAGCATGGTCCTTTCACTCAGGCCGATTCTGGGGAAACCTGAGTAGGCCCACGTGCGGAGGTGGGGCTGCCTGGTGGGCTGCGCCTGCAGAGCCTGGGGTCAGTCGTGATCGTTCTGCCCCTTGGCCTTGCACCCTCCCTGGGGAATGTGCGGTCACAGCAGCTTTAACCCACGAGCCCCTGCTGTGACACCACACGGCCTGAAAGAGAGAGTCTCGCCATATGGAGATGCCGTGCAGAGGGCAGTGTAGAAACCCGGCGCATGTTCAGTTGCAGAGGGGGCCGCAAGTCTCTGTGGCTAACTGCTCCGGTGTCCGGTGGTTTTTGTTTTTAGAGGACTGGACCCTCTTTAGTGGAAAGCTGGTTGAAAAGGAAGAGCCACCAGCCTGGGACTCCTGGAGCGTGTGGTCACTGCTCCGCCCCTGGGTCTGACTCCAGAAAGCCCAGATGGAGATTTGGGTGATGTCACTTGAGCCGGTGCTGCCGGAGGTGTTTCATTCAGAATATAACCTGGGGGCACTATCCTGCCTCCTCTTGGCTTGGTGCCAGGATGTTGTTCCTTCGAAGGCTCTCGGTCGTCCATGGAGGGTGGAGTGCCAGGTGCATCCGCAGTCTGGGGGCTGGGGCACGTGAGCGGCTGACCCCTGCGGTGTTCCAGTGGCTGTGATGCGTGCATGAAATTTCACACAGAGACCCCAGAGCTCTCAGGAACTCACCTTTTTGCCCACCCCCAGCCTCCTCACATGTGGCATCTGCATGTGAATTAGCCCAAGATCCTAATTGTGTTCAATCCCTACACACTGTGTTCTCCAAAGGGAAATGGAAAGGGACTGTCTTCACTGCCGCTTTCTTCACGCCGGAGTTCTCGGAAAGTACAGTAGGGAGGCCATGGGATCAGCACCTGACGGGGGACAGCCGGGCTCACACCGGAGGGCGGCGGGGTCTCCTGGCACCTAGGCCACTCTCCCCCGGCTTGTTGCACTCCCACAGTGTGGGGCTCTGCACCAACCTCTTTCCCTCTGTGGGTTTGCATATGCTGTTCCCTCTGCCTGGCATGCTGTTCCTGCCACACTTCACCTGGCCTGTGCCTGTGTGTCCTTAGAGTTCCTGCCTGAATGTTCATGGGAGACCTTTCCTGGGTGCACCACATCTGAAGTCATCCTCCTGGTCGTTCTCTACTTCAGCTCCTTGCTAGTTTCTGTCCAACCAAGTAATTACTTAATTCATGGACTTTGAGGGTGGTTTCTCCCACTCGACACACACTCTGTTGGGGAGACTGCATCCTCTCTGCACACTCCAGCAGATAAGAGGTGAGTAAACAAGCAAAGGGAGGGATGCACACCTTCCCCAACCCACCACACACCAGAGGGACACGCAGCAAGAAAGCCACTTCGCTGACCCTCCAGACTGCGGGGGAGCAGAGCTGGCCAGAGGCACCCGAGGCAGGGAGGAGTCCATTGTCCTCTACGGTCAGAGCACCTGGCCGAGGGCCCAGCCAGCATCTCAGCCAGGGGCCCTGCCTGTTCTGCTGTCCTCTATCTGCCCCTCTATCTTACTCACCTTCCTTCTTCCTGCTCCCCTTGCTTCCTTCCTTCCTGCTTGCCTGGCCTGAGCCCCTCGGGGAGGGGTGGGAAGGGCCTGGCCAGGTGCTCGGTTCGGTTTCATAAACTTCAGCGCAGTGGGTGCAGAGTGGGAAGTGAGCAGTCTCCACCAGCCCGTCTGCAAAATGTGCATTAGTGTGGACAACAGAAATCAATGCATGGATCAGTTGTGCGTCTGTTGAACATGTAGGATTTGGGTCTTTTGCCACCGAATTACATACGGGCAAAGCTGCTCTGTTCCTAACAGAAAACACCTTTTTGACAGATTCCGACTTTATCAGCAGGGATGTTTTGTAGAAGCAGAATCAGTTTTATAACTCATGCATCTGCCAGGAAAACTCAGCTTCGGGTGACTTCTGGTCTTCCCCTTTCCTCCCATCTGCTCATTTCCTTGTCCCAAATGCACGCATACCCACACACTCGGGCACACTTGTGCATAAACACACACTCACACAGATGAGCACATAGACACACCGTCCTCCCCTGTGGCCAGACACACTCCCCCACAGCCCCACACTCACTCTCTAACCCCTTCAGCTCTGAGTCACCACGTGGACATCATCTGATCAAGATTTGCAAAAGTGAGAGCTTCACTTTAAGGGCTGACATCCACTGGGATTTGGGAATTGTTGGTTTTTGCAGCTTAGCTGGTCTTTTCCTGCATAATGCCCACCCCACTCCCTGCATCTCTGACCTGGCATGTTTGTATCTGCCTTGCACACCCAGGACTATGGGAGATCCCACACCTGGTAGCGAGGAGCACCAGGTAAGAGGATGATTTATGCGACACTTGTGTGAAGGACCCACTCTCTGTGAAGATGTCCTTCATTAAAAACAGAGAGAGAGAGAGAGAGCGCAAGAGTGTGCCAACCGGAAGCAGTCAAGCATAGCTCTGTCTTGAACCGCGAGCAGCCTTCAGGGGCTGCAGTTTCTGGACTAATGGACATGGTCAAGAGGCCACTCCCGACCCCTTGTTTGTGAACTTGGAGTGATGCCCCTTGACTATGACCAGGCATTGCTTCAGCTGAGACTAATGTGAGCCGTGCGTGTCGTCTATCTTAAACTTTTGTGTGTTCCTAATCGCACCCTCAATCCATCTTTCTGATCATCATCATCCGTCTTTGCCAGCCTGTAGCTCAGAGAAATGTCTTCAGTGTGTCCCTTCACTTTGTTTTGTGTCTTTGGAATGTTTCTCATCCAGTGAAGTTTCCTCTCACTCCCGAAGCCTCCGCCTCAATGTGGAGCCGCTTTATCTTTTCCTTTAATCACCAGGGATGGAAAATGCCCAGTGGATCATTTCTTCCAATTTATGTCTGAGCTTTTCCCTGCTCCAGTGGGGCTGGGTGATCCTAACAGGACAGCAGTGAGGGACCTGGTGATGCCCCCGGCCTGGACTCCTCAAGGAAAGACCTATTCCCGGTCATGGGGCATGTAGTGGGTAGATGGGAGTCCCCCCGCTCCCCAAGCATGGAGTGCAGGTCTGCCCACTTTGGCCCAAAGTGGGACGGCTCTGGTGGCCATGGCCCTGTCAGCCCCAGAGCTCCGGGGGTGACCAGCTGCTGTTGGGGTTTGCGGTGCAGCTCCTCTCCTCCCTCTGCTCACTGTATTCTTCCCTCCCTTCCCGGGAGCTTCCCCACAAACGTCCCGGCACCTGACTCCACCACAGCTTCCGCTTCCCAGAGAACCCGACCTGCAGCCAGGAATGACCTTTGAGAGAGGCAGTGGTGGGCGCACTTGGCTGTTGGACACCTGTCGGGTCCAGGCGTCTGCAGGGCACTTGGAATATGTCACAGGCTTAGTGCTTCATCCCAGTGATCACACCAACCTTAGGAACTATTTCCACCCCTGTGTTTTGACGAGAAGTGAAAGTTCAGGAATGGGTGCGGCTGCATGGCGGGGACACAGGGAGGAGGGTTGGCTCCCTGGCTCCAAGGCCCTGCTCTTAGGGGATGGGCCAGCAGCTGCTCCTTCCTGTTGGTGTATCCTCTGCCTCTCCACAGGTGCTGCTGCTCCATCTGCCCCTGCCCCATGGGCTCTCTGACATCCTGGCCCCTTCTCGTGGGCAACCCTCACGCCTGTGACATCAGCCTGTGACATCCTGCTGCTGCCTGGACCCCTCCTGGTGCTCCTGGGCTCTGCTCACTTCTCTCCTAGGTGCTCACTCATCTTGGCCACCCCCATTCCATCTCGGAATTAGGGGGCACCTCCTGTGAATGCCTGGGGCTCTTCATCCCTGTTCCTTCTAAAATTAAAAATAAATTATAAAATACATCAAATAGGGAGAGAGTGTGAAAATGTGCAGGTTCACTTCAAGAAAAATAGTAAAATGAGGCCCCGTGTAGGCACCGCTCATCCTGAGGAAGAGAACACCCTGGGAGGTGAGACCCCTGGGACCCCGCCCCACGGCAGCTCCCTCCCTCTCCTCTCACCCCCGGGGAAACGCTACCTCCAGTTTCCTGATGATTCTTCCTTGTTTCTCTGCACAGTCTGCTGCATCTCTGTGTTTCTCTAAAGAAGGAATGGTTCTGCTCTGTTTGCTGCTGGCTGTGTGTGTGTGTGTGTGTGTGTGTGTGTGTGTCTGTCCCCGAGTTTCTGTATTTGCTGATGCTGGATTCTGAGATTCATCCCAAATGAGCCTCATCTGCCCCTGGGCAACAAGTTTAATTGGAGAGAGGTCACACCCACCCACTTCACATTGTCAACCACTAGGTGTGGCAGAGACCACAAGGACCCAAAAGCATAAACGATGTCAGCACTGAGGTGTCAGGAGGCCCCGGGCACCCACCGGACAGGGCGCGCCTGCCCAAGAGCTGCTGGCCACGGTCCCCGGAGCATAGCTGAGCTCTGAGCCCATCCTGCAGATCTCTGCTGCCTGGTTACTCTGCAGGTGCACGCAGGGCGTGTGATAAACTTGGCAAGTGGACAGCGATCTACAGGGCTGGGGGGAACTGGAACTTGGGGATCCCAGAAGTGGTCTGGGCTGCAGGTGAGGGGTTGCCAGGTTCCCCTGGCCCCATGCAGGACTGTGCCATTTCACTTGGGTAGTGGTGAGGGGGCTGCTTCCAGCCTGTTGCTACTGTGGCCATTTGCCTGATGTCCACGTGCACAAGTGTCTCTGTACCATGGGCCGGCAAATGACAACACTCCACCTGCCTCTGGGCAACAAGTTTAATTGGAGAGAGGTCGCACCTACCCACTTCACATTGTCAACCACTAGGCATGGCAGAGACCACATGGACCCAAAAGCATAAACGATGACCCGGCCCTGTATGGAAGAAGTTGCTGACCCAGCTCCTGCTGACGTGACTTAGCAGAGAAACGCAGGGCCCAGCACTTGTGCGTGCTCCGCGGAGGGGGAGGTGCGTGCGCCTTGCAAATAGGGCACTGGCGGTGACCTTGAGCCCTCGCCTGTGCCTAGGATTTGCTGACCTTTAAACTTTGCCAGCCTGATGCTGTGGAACGATCTCTCATTTTGTTTTTAATGTTCTGTCTCCTGATTACATAAAAGGCCAGGCAGCTTTTTTTTTTTTTTTTTTTTTTTTTTTGAGACCGAGTCTGGCTCTGTCGCCCAGGCTGGAGTGCAGTGGTGCAATCTCGGCTCACAGCAAGCTCTGCCTCCCGGGTTCACGCCATTCTCCTGCCTCAGCCTCCCTAGTAGCTGGGACTACAGGCGCCCACCAGCACACCCGGCTAATTTTTTGTATTTTTAGTAGAGACGGGGTTTCACCGTGTTAGCCAGGATGGTCTCGATCTCCTGACCTCATGATCCGCCTGCCTTGGCCTCCCAAAGTGCTGGGATTACAGGCATGAGCCACCGTGCCTGGCTGAGGCCAGGCAGCTTTTTACAGGCCTGTTGGCCATTCTTGCTCCCTCCTTGGTGAAAGGATTCTTCAAGTCTTTGCCATTTTCACATTGTGTAATTTGTCTTTTTCTTACTGGTTTGTGCCTTCCTTATATATTTGGAATACTGGCTGACTGTTCACTGGTTTTACCAGTTCCTTCTTTACATCTTTGTAATCACATCCAGAGCTCAGATCCTGTGACCTCAGGTCTGGATGTGGCATTTATGTGCCTGTGAGTGTCTGCTCAGTGTTTGTGTGTAGGTTTGTAGGCAGCCATACTCTACTCATTTCCAAGATATCTGAAGTGTCTTAGTATAATGCATAGAAGTGGAAAAGCATAGTGACAAATAAAAATAAAATGGCACAGAGAAACCAGTTTTATCCTGGAGAAAGTAAGAGTGCAGATATGCAGGATGCAGAGGGCCTTTTGAGTTTGAGAAAATGTGCTTTCTAGGGACCCACATGAAAAGGGCAACATGATCAGCTACATGATCTAATCTGTCCATAAAGAAACAACAAAGCTCATTTTACACCATTTGTTTGAAGGGAATAGTGGGTGTGCGTGAAGTGGAGGTGAAGGTTGCCATGACATCTGGGGAGCAAACAGTGAGAACTTCAGATTTCTTCCACCGATTTATCTTGAAAACTGAAAATGTGTCGGCAAAGACCCTCTGTGTGGGCCAATCCTAGGAGCAGGACAACACCTGCCTGTCTCTGATCTTGTGTCCTGAGCAGCTGCCATCCACGTCACGTTCTCCGAGGTGGCTTTGCCATCTCACCGGGCCTGGGGCGGAGGTGGGATTCCTCTGAAGAAGGACACAGGGGTTAACTTTGAGGAATCCATGCTTTCTTCATAATTTTCTGTTTTGAGGCTGCTTTATTTTAAAAGTTACAATCTTGCTGTTACATGAGATGACTCTTGCATTTCCAAATACAAGCCAGAGCGTACAGGGCAGCAGAACATGCCTGTACGTCATTGGAATAAACAGGAGCAGATTCTGCGACAGGGACTGGATGCAAGCTTGTTTTTCGGGAGCCAGTTCCAGGAAACAGCAGTGGGGGTGTGGAGGGGGGACGTGGGCTGGGGAGAATGCAGCCAACCAAGGCTCGGAACCTAGCGGGTTCCCAGTGCTGGCAACTGGGGCTCCATCCTCCTGGGGGATTCTGAAACTGGGCAGAACACGCCCCTCAAAGTCTTCCCCATCCCGAGGAGGTGGGGGCTGGGGACGTCACCCACCACTCCCATCGCCACGGGTGGACTGCCGCGCCTGGCACTTTCTGGCTGCCATATGCATGGGCAGAGCAGGCTCTGCTGCCAGAGGCGCCCAGGGCTGCCTGGGAGGTGGGGCCTGCGGACCTGAAGGTGGCTCCTGCTAAGCAGCCTGGGAAGTCCTGCTGGTGTCTTTGCCGGGCACAGTCTCAGGAAGATCGAGGGCAATGATGTTGCTTTTTCAAATTATCTGGAGATTTACCTGCAGGCAATTGTTTCATCCAAACCTTTAATAAATTAAATGTATTACTTATATGAGTCTTAATGAAGCTGGGAATGATTATTATATGGGTCTTGATTAAGTTGGAAATAATTATTCATAATTAAGATTCTGATAACCTCCACTATGTAGAAAATATATTTCAAAATAAAACCAAACAAACAAATGTAGAGGCGGGACAATTATTGCACGATGGTAGGGTTCTCACGTGGACAGTAGGGTTCCCACGTGGACGGTAGGGTTCCCACATGGACGGTAGGGTTCTCACGTGGACGGTAGGGTTCCCACGTGGACAGTAGGGTTCCCACGTGGACGGTAGGGTTCCCACATGGACGGTAGGGTTCTCACGTGGATGGTAGGGTTCCCACGTGGACAGTAGGGTTCCCACGTGGACGGTAGGGTTCCCACGTGGAACGGTAGGGTTCTCACGTGGACGCTAGGGTTCTCACATTGTTGTTGATGCTGCTTCAGGGTCTATGTTAACGGCAAGGCCACCCTCCCACACCACCTCGGCTGTGCCCTCTGACCTCCCCCTCTGCCCACAAGGGCAAAGTCCCAGTCATCACCAGGACGCTCCTGATGTTTGGCTGATGGTCACCTCTGCAGGTGGCGGTGTTGAATCTGCTGGGTGTGTCTGTCCTGATACGCTTGGTCATTAATATCTTCTGGGAAATTCATGTCCAGTCTTGAGTTAGAGCCCATGTTCCCCTGGATCCCTGTGAGACCCCATAGAGGGCCATTGGTGCAGGGCATGGGCTGGGGGGTGACCCCTCAGACCTCACCTCCCCAACCTGCCAGCTCACCCTGGCCCCCAGATCACTCCTCTGTGGCCCAGCATCATTCCAAGATCCTGAGATGCCAAGAGCCAGCCTCCTGGAGCATCGGTCCTAGCAGCCAATGATTCTGTCACTAGTTTTAGACACTTTGCAATTAAAATGCTGTCAACAATTTCCCAACGCCCTAGTGACAGAACCCAGATCCATCTTATTTTAATATAAAACCCACCGTTTGGCATTTTGCAACTTCTAGCTCACTTTTCTAAACAGAAGACAAGCAGTACCACGAGGGAGAACGCAAGGCCACCCCATCCTCAGAACTGGGAGGGATGTCGGCACTGAGGTGTCAGGAGGCCCTGGGCACCCACCGGACAGGGCGCGCCTGCCCAAGAGCTGCTGGCCACGGTCCCTGGAGCACAGCCGTGCTCTGAGCCCGTCCTGCAGATCTCTGCTGCCTGGTTACTCTGCAGGTGCACGCAGGGTGTGTGATAAACTTGGCAAGCGGACAGCGATCTACAGGGCTGGGGGGAACTGAACCTTGGGGATCCCAGAGGCGGTCTGGACTGCACATCCTTGCCGAAAATCCTTTCTGCTTGAGTTTTCTCACATTCCTGGAATCCCACTGGTGCTCTGACTGGGCTGGGAGCTGGGGTCTCCCAGCCACGCCCTCCGCTGGTGTGCAGCCTTCCCATAGCCTGTCTACATGCCCTCCACCCTGGAAGGACCCCCGAGTCCCTGCTGGTCTCAGAGTGCCCTCTGCCTCAGACACCAGGAGCTGGAATGGCCTCTGCACCCTGCTGGACCCATCTGGATGGTCCCCGAACCTTGCCATGTGTAGCTGTACCCAGGAGGCTTTGCTGAGGATCCGATGGACAGGGTGGGAGGAAGGCCCTGGGGCAGGGGGTTCCTCTGGGTCTTTGGAGCCAACGGCTCGCCTCTGAGGTTGATGCTATCATGGGGTCCAGTAGCAAGTCCGCCAGAAGGCAGGCTGAGGGCCCGTGGGGTCAGAGTCCTCCTGCAGTCGTGTGACTGGCCAGCTCTTCCAGTTGCTTCAGTCCAGTAGGTCCGGGTTGGCTGAGCGCACCACGTGGCCAGGGGAGACGGGGGAGCCAGTGCTTGGCTGCCATCAGCAGGGGACATCTGGGAGAGTTCTGCATGCTTCTGAGAGCCCTGAGGAATTGGCCCCTTGGTGCACAACAGCCATTGCACAGCACAACCTCACGCTATGCTCCCTCTGTCCCCGAAAACTCACCTGCCCCTCACTCCTACTTCCTGCATCACCTCCCTAGAAGCTGCCTACACCCCAGTCCCTGCTGCAAGGGTGCATTGGGGGATTCCACTGAAACAGGCCCCCGCAGCAGCAGCAACAGGGTCTCAGAGCTGCATGGGGAGGCCCTGCTCAGGCTGAATTTTGCTCAACATTGGGTGAAATTCAAAGGCCTCTCTACTCAGGACATTCTGAGGACACAGGTGGGGCCCAGTGGTGACACTGACCAAGTGGTTTATTCTCAGTGAACGCAGCTCCCTGTGGTCCTGTGACCCAGGATGACACACACCTGTGCAGGCATGTACAGCTGCGCCACTGCTGTGCTGCCTGCCTCCCAGGGCCTTTGCCATTACCCTCCACCGACCCCTTCCCTGAAACCCATAGCGGTCCGAGCCCGCTGTGGTTTTGGGGACCGCCACTCCTCCATCATCCTGCTTTTCCTCCTGCCTGTCTTGTCTTTCTCCGAAGGGGACAGGAAGCCAGGCCCTGGTGCTAGCAGGCCTGAGTGCTGAGTGAAGATTCGCAGTCTCTGCAGGTGCCGCCCCTGAAAAGCTGTGCCTCCCTCCTATGCAGGGCAGACACACTACACCTGTCAGGAAATAACGCCATCTCCTCCTCATCTGAGGGCGCCTATTGAAAATTCGTTTGATGTGCAAATTCCTTGGAAAACAGAGAAAATCTAGCTAGTTAGTGCTTTCTAGGTGAAAGTCAAAGGAAAATATGAAACCCTGTCCCGAACCAGACTGTGTGCTCTTTGATGGTGGAGACGTCTGTCTTTTAGTGAGTGCCTGGAAGGTCTGTTGCCCGGGCCCAGCAAGATGTTGCTTAATTATAAAATGTGTGTGGCTACGGGGAAGACGGCATTTGTTGAATGAGCAGGTGCTTTAACCAGTGCTTCCAAGCATATTCTGTGCCAGGTACTCTTGCTGGGAACCAGCAAGGCACAAGGCAGAGGGTAGCTCCCCTCGGAGAGCACATCTTCCAGTGGGCTGTTGGTGAGGGCGCGGCCATAAATACATGTTGGGGAGGGGGATGAAGAAAACGCAGCGGGAAGTGAAGTGAAGGTTGACACGAGCTGGTTGTGCTGATGGATTGTTTGAAATTGGGAAGAAAAACACATTTTGTCATGGGAGCAACCTTTTCAACCTGGCTTGGTCTTCAGAGACTGGCGGTGCTTCCTGGATCTCCTGGGCACTGGGGGTGAATGGCAGATGGAGGCTCCCCAGATCTCCTGAGCCCTGAGAATACTGGGAATGAATGGCAGATGCAAGTTCCCTGGGTCTCCTGGGCACTGGGAATGAATGGCGGATGCAGGCTCCCCAGGTCTCCTGGGCACTGGGAATGAATGGCAAATGGAGGCTCCCCAGGTCTCCTGGGCACTGGGAATGAATGGTGGACGGAGGCTCCCCCGGTCTCCTGGGAACTGGGAATGAATGGTGGACGGAGGCTCCCCGGGTCTCCTGGGCACTGGGAATGAATGGTGGATGAAGGCTCCCCCGATCTCGTGGGCACTGGAATGAATGGAGGATGGAGGTTGCCTGTCATAGGCTGAATTACTACATGCAGAAAGATGTGTCCAAGTCCTAACCCCCAGGATCTGTGAATGGGACCTTCTGTGGAAACCCCATAGGGTCTGTCAGATGGAATTAGCTAAGATGAGGTCATGCTGGATCAGGGCGGCCCTAGTCCAGTGATGTGGACTTAGAATCGCTCCTTTTAAAGAGACGGCAATTTGGAGACACAGAGGCACAGATAGAGGGAGGATGGCCACAGGAAGACGGCGTGGAGACTGGAGAGACACAGCTGGGAAGTTAAGGGGGTGGTGACTGCCGGGAGCCGCCGGGATGTGGAGGAGGCAGGGAAGTGCTCCCCTGGAATTTTTGGTTGGAGTGAAGCCCTGCCGATGCCTTAATTTCAGACTTCTGGCCTCCAGAACTGGGAGATTGTAAAAGTCTGTTGTTTCAGATCCCCTAGTCTGTGGTTATTTGGCAAGGCAGCCCCAGGACGAGATGTGAATAGATTCCCTGGCCCTTTGCTCTCTGAGGCTGGGCATAGATCTCGGGCAATGCCCAGGGAAGATCCATTGGGTGCAGGCATGTGAGCCTGGTGTGGAAGATCCATTGGCTGCAGACAGGTGAGCCTGGTGTGGAAGATCCATTGGCTGCAGACAGGTGAGCCTGGTGTGGAAGATCCATTGGCTGCAGACAGGTGAGCCTGGTGTGGAAGATCCATTGGCTGCAGACAGGTGAGCCTGGTGTGGAAGATCCATTGGCTGCAGACAGGTGAGCCTGGTGTGGAAGATCCATTGGCTGCAGACAGGTGAGCCTGGTGTGGAAGATCCATTGGCTGCAGACAGGTGAGCCTGGTGTGGAAGATCCATTGGCTGCAGACAGGTGAGTCTGGTGTGCAAAGCCCATTGGCTGCAGGCAGGTGAGTCTGGTGTGGAAGGTCCGTTGGCTGCAGGCAGGTGAGTCTGGTGTGGAAGGTCCGTTGGCTGCAGGCAGGTGAGTCTGGTGTGGAAGGTCCATTGGCTACAGGCAGGTGAGCCTGTTGTGGAAGGTCCATTGGGTGCAGGCAGGTGAGGCTGGTGTGGAAGGTCCATTGGCTGCAGGCAGGTAAGTCTGGTGTGGAAGGTCCATTGGCTGCAGGCAGGTGAGTCTGGTGTGGAAGGTCCATTGGCTGCAGGCAGGTGAGTCTGGTGTGGAAGGTCTGTTGGCTGCAGGCAGGTGAGTCTGGTGTGGAAGGTCCATTGGCTACAGGCAGGTGAGCCTGTTGTGGAAGGTCCATTGGGTGCAGGCAGGTGAGGCTGGTGTGGAAGGTCCGTTGGCTGCAGGCAGGTGAGTCTGGTGTGGAAGGTCCGTTGGCTGCAGGCAGGTGAGTCTGGTGTGGAAGGTCCGTTGGCTGCAGGCAGGTGAGTCTGGTGTGGAAGGTCCATTGGCTACAGGCAGGTGAGCCTGTTGTGGAAGGTCCATTGGGTGCAGGCAGGTGAGGCTGGTGTGGAAGGTCCATTGGCTGCAGGCAGGTGAGTCTGGTGTGGAAGGTCCATTGGCTGCAGAAAGGTGAGGCTGGTGTGGCACATGTGGTTAGTTGCCTCCTGTTTCTTCCCAACAGTGTGTTGAGGCATCAAAATGCTCATTAAAATACCCCCTTTTCCAGACACCCCTGCAGCTGGAGTTGGACCAGCCTGGAGCTGGCCTGAGACAGACCCGTGGTCTCATTTTTCCCTCCTCCCTCCCTCATCCATGTCTGGAAGCTGGGTCTGATGCCTCCACCACCTCCCAGCCAACAGACTGATGTTGCATGCTATGCATTAGGATTTGTGTTCTCCATTTCATCAGTGGAGAAACTGAGGCCTGGAGAGCTCCGTTCATCTGTGTCAGCTCACATGGGGTGGATGGCATGGCCCTGCCCTCTGTGCCTGCTGCACCGGCTTTCTCTCGCCCACGTGGGTTTGCCAGGCCACTCTGGGCGAGAGGATGGCACCCTGCTGTCTATTTCCAAGGCAGTTTTGGAGACCAGGTTGCTGAAGCTGCACACTTCTGCGGCCGCAGTGTGTCATACGCCCCATGTCTTCCGAGACACCTCAGGCGAGCAGAAATCAATGCCGGATAGTTGCTGTAAATGTCCATCTCTCGCTCAGAAGCACTTTGTCTGGATGTCTTCCCCTTTGCTGTCAAAGCAACTTGTCGTCGACACTGTAGGCTGTGAGTCATTTTGAAAACATTAAGGGCAGATGCAGGCCATGAGGCCCCGGCTTCTCATGTCCCCATCTGTGCTATTTCTGGAAGGTTGGCGGGTCTCCGAAGGCCCAGCCCACGTGTCAGAGACGGCCTAGCAGAACTTTGACGGTGGTGTCACAGCCGAAGAGCACCGAAGGCTGCGCTGACTGCCCGACATATTGGCATCCACAGTAAGGCCAATTCATCCAAAGCATCAGGCTTAGGTCAGCAAGCAACACACTCCTTGGCCTGTGGGCAAATTGCCCTTCAAAGGAAAACAGCCAAAAACTGTCTTTTCCATCTCTTTCCAGCTCTGCGCAGTGCCTCTGTGGGCAGGAGGGTGAGCTCAGACTTCCCTTTGGTCTCACGTGGTGGTTTTCACAAAGCATTTTGCCTCCGGCACCAGCTTTGAAGTTTTACTGTTATTTTAAGGTAGAAAAGGTGGGGTGGGGGCACGTCAGGATTAGCAACAACCAGCTCCACCTGCGGGGCAGAGAAGCCCCAGAGTTGGGGCTCAGGGACAACCCCGGCGTCAGGCCTACAGTCCCCAATGGCCGCTTCGCCCGTCAGCGCTCACTGCAGCTGGGGGTGCAGAGACATCTTACAGAGTGGGGGCAGCTCCAGGGGGTGTCTTGTTCCTTGGTGGGGACAGGTGCTGGGGAGGGTCCTGTGGTTTATGGGTTTCCTGGGAGAAGCTTGCAAAAAGGATTTGTGTCATGGTGGTGTTGCCTCCTGTGTGGGTCAATGGTGTGGTCATCGCAGGGTACTCGTGGGGTGTGCGGTTCCCATCTGGGAGATGGGGCAGGGTCCCTGTTGTGCAGGGCAGGTGTGAGGACTGCCTGGCTCATGTGTCAGCTCCTGTTGCTCAGGAACTGCTGGGGATGTGTGGACTGCATGTGTCTCCTGCACACTGAGCTCCAGTCAATGCCCAGTGAGAGAATGGATGGGCGAGGGAAAGAGGGGGTGCTGGGTCCGTGCTCCTGTCACCCCACTCCTCTTGCCCCCGCAGGGTGCCCTCAGCCCAGCACACACCTGGTCATACATCATAGCCCCTGTGCCCATCTGTACGTTCCCACTCATGCAGAGCAACTTCTGCTGTGTGAGAAAACTAAATTAGGGTGGATGTGAAGGTGGATCTCACATTAAAAGGCCAAATGAGACCCTGAAGCCAATGACATTCTTCACTAAGGCCTATTTTTTTTTGACAGAATTTCAAACTCAAGTTTCCCCTTTGTTTTCTAATCAGCACTGAGCTCCCCTCTTTGGAGAAGGAAGGAAGCTTTGTTATTCAGAGACAGCCACGGGAAAAGGAATAAAATTAACATGAAAGTCCAGGTGATTCGATGAATATTCATATGGACAATTTAATCAGTGTCTGTTCATTATCCGCATTTCCATGAGAAGCAGGTTCCTAGAATATAAATAAAGATTGCATAGCAATTGTATTGACTTTCATTTTGCTCTGAGATACTCAAGCCTCTATCTGCAGCTTCAGGACGTGGGCTCTGTGTAACTGGAGATAGAGGCAACGTGGAAACCTCAGGATTCATTACCTGAGGAGTGAATACCCTGAGAATTCCAGTTGCAGCTTGCAGGTACCTGGTATTCTTATCTGATTACATTTAAGTGGGTTAGACAGCACAATTTTCCAGAAAGTTGCCCTTTATCCTTAATAATAACAAAGAAGTCCAAAGTGGCGTGGGTGGTTGGAAACACAACTCTAGAGACCTGCGACCCCGCTTGGGGGCCCGTGAGACCTCAGCACTCACTTCTCTGATCCTCGGCCCCGGCTTCCGGGGACTCCCAGTGACAGCTGTGAGGGTGACGATGAGTGTCTTATATGTGGTAGCCTTGGTGATGGTTGTTTCCTGGCTGTCGGAGATGAGAGGGGCTATGATAAGGAGGGGTGCAGTCACAGAGAGGAGAGAGGAGCTGAGAACTTGCCTGAGGTCCTTGTGCTTGACTTCCTCCAGCTCCTAAGGGCTTGACTTGAAGTAGGCCTGAGTCAAAGACACACAAACATACACATCATGAGGAAATGCTTGACTTCAGTGGCAGTCAAACACTAAAGGCAGTCGGACGCTAAAGGATGTAATGGTGACCATCATGACAAAAGAGAAACACCAGGATGGGCGAGAGGCTGCGGCCACATGGCGGAGGCTGTGCCTCTGGAGGGCAAAGTGTCAGCATCATCGTCAGAAACGTTAACAGGGTTCAGACCCCCTAACCCATAGGGTCACGTCCAGAGATGGATCCTGGAGGCAGTGTCGGAAATAATTTTTATATAAGATGTTAATTAAAAGGCTGTTAACGATAATGAGAATTCGAAACATTGTAAATGTTAACAATGGGAAATTGGTTAAACACTAGTATGATCTCTCAAAAGATTTGCTAACCATGCAGACGTTCGAAATCGTGCTAAGCCTTTCTGGCAGGACCGGGGAATATCCGAAGGGTGGAGTCTGGCTCAGCAGTTCTAATTTTAGGTGCCTATTTGACAGCTTTGTGGTTCACTGTGGAAGAGGCAGGGAGGTTGGGTATGGACGTGAGAACAGCAGCAGGGAGAAAGCCCCCCACAGCCAGCCACAGGGCAGGGTAAACGTGGTCTGGCTTAGCCTTCGTGTCCGGGGAGCACAGGTGAAGGGACGAGGCCATGGGGGTTTCGGGGGCCTGGAAATGCTAAGGGAAATCCACAGACAGCAGGTGGGCTGACTTGGTCCCCAGGCCAGTTTGCTAACCCTGCACTGGAAGGCAGGTACCCTTTGTGGCAGGCCAGGTCTCACTAACGCAGGCCTCCATGACAACTGTCCCGGCACTGACTGAGTAGCTAGGTTAAACATTAAAAGCTGAAAGAGCTAGTGCCTTTATATACAGGCTGGGCCACCAAGAGTTTTGCCTAGGCTTTTCCTGGGCCTTGAAGCATGACAAGATAACGAAGGAATTCTTAACAGGACCCTTTTACAACTAAACAAACTGTGTTGGGGATCTGAAGAAACTCCCCAGGCCTCCACAGACAAGTTTATTGGGGTCTAAAGGAACTTCCCAGACCTTTATGATTTCTCAGAGACGGGGCAATCACCCCAGCACCTGGACCCATCTAGATGAAGTAAACTTACTGAGGCTCCACAAGAAGGTCTTCAGGACTCAGACCTCAGTTATAGATTAGAAAAAGGTCTTCAGGACTCAGACCTCAGTTATAGATTGGAAGTTAATCACTTCTGGCATTAGGTGAATGCACTCTTACACATAGACATGTAGCTTGGAAGGTATATAAGCTCTGGAAGACTCTGTAATTTTGAGTTGGTCTGGCGATAATTTCCAGGCCTTCTCTCTGTAACCGGTTGCAGAAATAAACACTCTTCTTCCTCAGTTCATCTGCATCTTGTTACTGGGCCGTGAGAAATAGCAAAACGACCCTCAGTTTGTTCCGGGAACAAATAACCTTTTAGATTTGATGAGGGAGGGATTTTGCCACTTTCTTTGGACTCTTCTGATTCTTTGGGGGTTTCTCCAGTGAGCATTGTTCACTTTTGTAATCCCAGAATATATGCAGTAAATGTTCTATTAAAGAAACACCCTTAGTGCTTTTCTCTTTTCTTACTTCTGTTTGTCCCTTGCACGTGCTGTGCTGCTCCGGCCCCGCTCCGGCCCCACTCCAGGGTCCTCTGCTGCTGAGGCGCCTTCCAGCTGTCTCTAGGGTGCAGCCTGCGTGCCTGACCGCCTTCAGAATGTCACATCCAAGCTGTATTGTCTTTGCCTCGTCTGAACCGGCCTCTCCTGGCATGCTTTAAGAAGGATGAACCCCTCTCGGAGCCCGTGCGTTGGAGATTATAAAGGAGTAATGATTCGGTGACTTAAAAGATTTAGTAGCCAGGTTGTTACAGTCTTGGAGCAGAAAGAAGATTAATGAGGTACTAGCTTAACATATGTCTCAGAGAAAGAACAGTCGTTTAATTTCTAACTTTGTAGAACTTGTATCTGCTCCCATTTTGCAGGAATAGAAATTTTGCAACATGATTTTTTTTTGCTCTCAAATTAGCTGGTTAAAAGAAACCAATGAAATTACCCCAGGGTTAAAGAAGGTGGCTCAGAGACAGTGTCCTGGTTTCCGGAAGGGCCTGGGAGCCCAAGTGTCTGCCTCCAGGGCTGGACTCTTGGGGCTTAGCTGGAAGTGAGGCCCTTCCCTAGGCCCCTGTTGGATGTCTTCCTCCTCACTGGGGACAAGGGCCAGTTCCTTGGGCGATGATTTTAAACGACACCCACAAAGCCATTGAGACTCCTTCCTTCAGAAGGTGAAGCCTTATTCAGCACACCTTGACCGCGATGGGCTTAGCGACTGCTTCAAAACCAAAAGGATGTAGTGACATGTAGGTCCTTCTCGCCTTTTCTCATAGAGGCCTGTAGGTGAGGCTTTTTCCTTCAAGAAGGGAAGCCCAACCTCTTCACCTTAGGAGGCATCACCCAGAGACACCCCCAAATGCTCTCAGAGCAGTTTACCCATTCGCGCCCCCACGGCAGCCTAGGGAGCCTCCCGCCCCACCCTCGAGCCATCAGTGGGTACTGACGCTTGCTTCAGTTCCGGCCAACCCGATGGCGTGAAATGGCATCTTACTGTTTTGATTGGCATTTCCCTAGTGTTTTATTACTGTTTGTTGGACAGTCAGGCTGTCTTTTCTATGAACAGCCTCAACAGAGCCTTGGTGCATTTTCTCCATTGGGCTGTTTGTCTTTCCTTATGGATTGGTAGGAAAATCATGCTTTCTAGCTGACAATCATTTATAGGTTGCATAAATTGCAAATAATTTCTCCCAGTCTGTGCTTTAGTTATTTACATTTGTTTATGGTGTCTGCTGGTATACCAAAGTTTTAAATTTTGTTCTAGTCATATTTGTGATGCTTTTCCTTCAAGATTTACGTTTTTCTCCCTTGTCCCCCACCACAGTTCATTAGAATATTTTTGTACATTTTTTTCTAATTTGTTTTTGACCGTGCGATCTTTGATCACTTAGAATTCACAGTTTGCTCTTGTTGAGAGGTAAGGGTCTACGATTTTCCCAATCTAGTAAGCCCTGGATAGTCATCCTTTTTCCTCTGACTTGGGATTCTTCCTCTATTATACGACAAAGTCCTGCTGCTTGTGGATGTGTGGTCTGTGGGTCTGTATCTGTGGATACAGAGAGGCCTATGGGGCTTTCTTTTCTGCTCTGTTGACTTAGTTGTTCAGCCTGGACCCTGAAAACACACATCTTAATTCTGGGAGCTTGTATGAAGCCTTGCTAATCTCGGAAGGAAAGTCTTCCTGCCGTCCTCTTCTTTTCCAGAATTTCTTGACTACTCTTGGACTTTCATATGAATTTTAAAATGTGTCTTACGGCTGGACATGGTGGCTCACACCTGTAATCCTAGCAATTTGGGAGGCCAGGGTGGGTGGATCGCCTGAGGTCAGGAGTTTGAGACCAGCCTGACCAATGTAGTGAAACCCCATCTCTACCTAAAAATACAAAAAATTAGCTGGGCGTGGTGGTGGGAGCCTGTAATCCCAGCTACTTGGGAAGCTGAGGCAGGAGAATCGCTTGAACCTGGGAGGTGGAGGTTGCAGTGAGCTGAAATTGCGCCATTGCACTCTAGTCTGGGCAACAAGAGTGAAACTCCGTCTAAAAAAAAAAAAGGGTCTTACAAGCTCTACAAAAATAATCTCTTTGGGATTTTGATTAGAATTGCTTTGAATTTACAGATTAACTCAAAGAGAGTCGACATCTGTATGAACTTAGGTCTTCTTACTGCCCTGCTTCCCTACTCGCTCACAGTTTTCATGTCCTTGAGTAATGTTTATGACTTTCTCTATCAGTATCTTGGACATCTTGTGTTATGTTAGATTTAGTTTTAGATACCTTATGGTTTCTTTTTTCTCCTCCCATTGTGAATGGGATCTTTTATAAATCACATTTTTAATTAGTTATTGCTGATGTGTAACAATGCTTAGATTTCTCTGTGTTGAGCTTATGAGCAGTAGCCTTGCTGAAACTTCTTATTAGTTCTAATTGTAAATGTTCTTTCATCTTTTTTTGCATGCAGCTATAAAGATCTGTTAGTAATTACCTATCTTTTATAATCTGTCTGCTTCATTTTTCTCAAATTAACATATTGCCTCGGCAGGAACTCTGGCAATGCAGTGCTGACTGGTGTGGGAGGTATCAAGCGTCCTTGCCTCATTCCTTGGGTAAACCCTACTTAGTGGCCATTGAAAATACTTCTGGCTAGGTCTTAAAGAACAGCAGAGTTTACCAGTCAATGGAGGAAGCATAAAGGAAAGTGTTCTATCCAAAGGAATCGGTATATAGAGGACACGGAAGCAGGAAGCACATGGATATGAGGATTTGGAAGTGTTTATTGCAGCTGCAATATAGTGTGTGATATTTTGGGGAGGGAAGAGGTTGAGGAGATTGCGCCCAGAGATGAAGTTGGAGAGATAACCAGGGCCCAGATCATGTAAGGCCTTGACTTTTTCTCACAGGCCATGGGGGACCATTACAGGGTTTTTAGTTGCGAGTGGCAAGATAAGTTTGTTTGTTTGTTTGTTTATTTTTGAGACTGAGTCTCGCTCTGTCGCCCAGGCTGAAGTGCAGTGGCATGATCTCAGCTCACTGCAACCTCTGCTTCCCGGTTTCAAGTGATTCTCATGCCTCAGCCTCCTGAGTAGCTGGGATTACAGGCTCATGCTGCCACGCCCAGCTAATTTTTTGTATTTTTAGTAGAGGTGGGGTTTCACCATGTTGGCCAGGCTGGTCTCAAACTCCTGGTCTCAAACTCCTGACCTCGAGTGGTCCACCTGCCTCAGCCTCCCAAAGTGTTGGTATTACAGGTGTGAGCCACCAAGCCCGGCCAAGAAAACTATCTTTAAATCAGCCTTATTACGGCAACATTTCCTTATAAATGTTCCTTATAAATGTTCCTGAATAAAATCCACATATTTAAAGGGTACAATTCAATGAGTTCCAACAACAGTGCACAGCCGTGCAGCCCTCCTCACAATCAAGCCACAGACCAGTTCTGCATCCCCAAGGTGCTCCTGAGTAATTTTGCTGTTAGCCTCTTCATGCTCTAGCAGCTCCTGTAATTTTGCCTTTTTTAGACTTTCTTCTAAATGGAATTCTATTGTGTGTAGTCTTTTATGTCTGGCTTCTTCCACCTAACATGATACTTTCGGGATTAACCCATGTTGTTGCCTGTATTGGTAATTCATTCCTTTTTCTTGCTGAGTAGTATTCCATTATATGGACATACCACAGTTTATTTAGAGAATTTGGGTTAGTTTCAGGTTTTGGTGATTACAAATAAAGCCATTATGGCCATTTGCAAGCCCATCTTCATGGGGATATATATTTCATCTCTCTTGGGTAAATACCTAGGAATGAAATTGCTGAATTACTTGGCAAGTGGATGTTCAACTTATAAAAACCTGCCAAGCTATTTTCTAAAGTGCCTTTGTCATATTGCATTCCCCAGTAGTGTATTAGAGTTCCAGTTGGTACATGTTCTGACTGACACTTGGTATTGTCAGTCTTTTAAAATGTAAGCATTTTAGTAGATGTGTAGTGGTGTCTTATTGCAGTTTTAACTTGCATTTCCCTAATGACAAATACTGTTGAGCATCTTTTCATACACTATTGACTATTTGTATATGTTATTTTGTGAAGTATCTGTTTAACTCTTTTGTTTTGCACAATTAAAACAATTTTTTTCTTATTTTTGAGCTATACTATATTTTATATATTCTGGTTACAAGTCTTTATTAGATAACATATTTTGCAAATATTTTCTCCCAGTCTGTGGCTTGCCTTTTAGTTTTCTTATTGTAGTTTTTAAGAGGTAACAGTTTACAATTTTTATCAGTCCACTTTGTCAATTATTTCTTTTATGGTTGCACTTTTTGTGTCCTATCTAAGAAATCTTTGCCAACCCAAGGTCATACATATTTTTCTATGAGTTTTATAATTTGAGCTCTTACATTTATGTCTATGGTTCATTTTGAGTTAGTTTTTGTATAGGATGAGGAGATAGGGACTGAGATTCTTTTAATACCCCCACATTGATCTTCAATTGTTGTGGCATTGTTTGTTGTATGTTAACACTTATTTTGGGTCTTTTTTATCTCTCTCTGCTTTAGTTTAGATTGTCCATATTTCTAGTGCTCAAGTTCACTAAACATTTCTTCTGCAGTGTCTAATCTGCTGTTGATCCCATCTAGCGTTCTTTTAAAATAAATTGGTAATTTTAGAATAGTTTTAGATTGATAGAATTATTGCAAAGATAGTACAGAGGGTTTCCACCTACCCAACACTCCATTTCCCCTCTTATTAGCATATGTTCCTATGATACATTTGTCACAATAAAATGCACCAACATTGATAGGTTATTAATTAAATCCCATATTCTGCTCATATTTCCTCAGCATTTCCTTAATATCTTAGAATTTTTGATAGGGGCTTTCATCTATGTTCATAACTGAGATTGGGTTGCCATCTTTCTGCTTTGTATGGTTTTGGTGTCCATACATGTGGTGTTTCCCTCCTTTTCTGCTCTGAAGTACTGTATACATGTGGGCAGCATCTATCCCTCTGTCTAGAATGCCTTTCCTTGTGAGTTTGGACCAGATGGTCTCTCCTTGGCATTCAAGCTTCAGTTGATTATCACATACTATGACTGCCTGGTGGAGGTCACTGCATGGTGACTATCACAGCATCCCATTGGTGTTTTTGTGTTCAGGGGTCTCTAAGAGAAGAAAAAAGTGACTAGGAAGGAGAGGCACATCTCTCCTGCTTTCCCCCCTCAGAATGTTTTTGTAAAGTAGAATATTCTCTTTAACTGCATATGTTAATTTCTTATTTTCAAAACTCAAGTTCCTCTGTGAAATGGGGTTCTGAAGTCTCAGCCCTTGGGCTGACTATAGGCCAGTGAGGATGTGGGTGCACACTGTTTGCTTTAGGACCTGGGGAGCCAAAGCATACTGGTGGAGCTTCAGAATCCAGTGCAGAGAAGTCTGGCCCCTGGGAGAGGTGTTCTCTCCATTCCAATCTGACTTAGCCCTGCTGTGGAACTCTGGGGCCAGCAGCTAAGAGTGTGTGAGTGACAGAGCCCTCAACCAAGGACATGTATCTGGTGGGTGCCAGCATACAGATGGGGCACAGGACAGTACTTCCTTTTCCTGTAGTCCTCAGAGGCTCTGTGGTGGGGTGGGCCTGAGTCTCAGTGGGGTGGAGCTAAGACCCGGACTTGGGGGGATTCAGGCTGTCATGCTGGTGTAACCCTTTGTGTTAAAACTGCAACACTGGCTCCACTTTCCAGGGAAAGTCCTGGTATGGGACCTATGAAAGGCTTCAAGTTCTTTCAAATGAAATATTATTATTTCCTCAAATCAAAATCAACTGTATCCACTCTTTATATAATTATATAAGTTGCAAGTACAGGCATTTCTGAAATTGTATGTTACTCAAAAGAACTAATTGAAACAAGTTAATTTTAAAAAGCAAAATATGATAAGAGAAAACTCCCACTGAAAGCATGCTGGTCAGGAACAAGGCAAGGATGTTCCCTCTCACCAGTGCTTTTCGATGCTGTGCTGAAATCTCAGCTAATGCAATAAGACAAGAAAAGGAAATAAAAGGTGTATACATTGGGAAGGAAGAAGCAAAACTGTCTTTATTTGTGGATGGCATTCTCATCTAAGTAGAAAATCCAGAAGAACTGACAAACTGAAGCTAATGAAAAATTCTAGAAAGGCTTCAGGGTACAAGGCTAATATATAAAAGCCAATCACTTTTCTATATACCAGCAATGAACAAGTGAAATTTGAGATTTGAGATACATTATTATTTATTCTAGCACTCAAGAAACAAAATATTTAGATATAAACATGACAAAATATGTACAAGGAAAACTGCCAAACTCTGATGAAAGATATTACAGAATAACTAAATGAATTAAGGGATATTCCATGTTCATGGATAACAAGACTCAATGTTGTCAAGATATCAGTTCTTCCCAAATTTTTCTATAAATTCAATACTATCCCAATCAAAACTCCAGCAAGTTATTTTGTGGATGTCAACAAACTTGTTCTAAAGTTTATATGGAAAGGTAAAAAACACATAACAGCTAACACAAATCCCAGGAAGAACAAAGTTGAGGACTGACACTACCTGACTTCAAGACTTACTATAAAGCTGTAATAGTCAAGACCATGTGGTATCGGTGGAACAGTAGACAAATAAATAAATTGAACAGAATACAAAGCCCAGAAATAGACCCACACAAATATCCTGAATGAATCTTTGACAAAAGAACAAAAGCAATTATATGGAAAAGGATAGTCTTCTCAACAAATGGTGTTGGAACAAACTGAATATCTACATAAGAAATGAATCTAGACACAGATTTTACATGCTTCACAAATATTAATTCAAAATGGATCATAGACCCAAATGTAAATGCAAAAGTATAAAACTGTTAGAAGATAACATAGGACAAAACTTAAATGACCTTCAGTATAGTGATGACTTTTAGATATAACATCAAAGTCACAATCCTTGAAAGAAAGAATTGATAAACTGGACTTCATTAAAATAAAAAACTTCTGCTCTGTGAAAGACAGTGTCAAGAGAATGAGGAGAGAAGCTGCAGATGGGGAGAAAATATTTGCAACAGACGCATCTGATAAAGGACTAGTATCTAAAATATAGAAAGACCTTTTAAAACTCAACAATAAGAAAACAAGCAACACAATTAAAAAATGGGCCAAAGATATGAACAGACACTTCACCATAGAAGAAGACAGATGTCAAATAGGCACATGGATATATGGAAAGACTGGCTGCATTGTGTGGCATCATGGAAATGAAAACAGAAACAACAGAGAGATATCACTACACACCTATCAGAATGGTCAAAGTCCAAAGTGCTGATAACATTAAATGAGGCAACAGGGGCCCTCCCTCATTCACTGCTGGTGGGAATGCACAATGGTATGACTTTTTTGGAAGACGGTTTGGCAGTGGGTTACAAAACTAAATATACTCTGACCATATGATCCAGTGCTATGGTTTGGATGTGGTTCGTTCCCACCAAAATGAATGTTGAAATTGGATCCCCAATGTGTCATGGGAGTGGCAATGTTGTCATGGGAGTGGACCCCTCATGACTAGATTAATGCCCTTCCATGGAGGTGAGTCCTCACTCTCACAGGAATAGATTAATTCCCAAGGGAGCAGGTTGTTATTAAGAGTCTGGCTTCCTTGGTTTTCCTCTCTCACTTCCTCTCTTAATGTGTAATCTCTTTGCACACACCATCTCTCCTTCTGCTTTCTCCCATGGATTGAAGCACCATGAGGCCCTTATCAGGAACAACTGCCCAATCTTGAACCTTCCAGCCACCAGAATTGTGAGCCAAATAAACCTCTTTTTTTTTTTTTTTTTAATAAATTACCCAGCCTCAGGTATTCTGTTATAGCAACACTAAATGAACCAAGATATTCAGCAATTGCACCTCTTGGTATTTATCCAGGGAGTTAAAGACTCAGTTCCACACAGAAAACCTGCACATGGTTGTTTATAGCAGCTTTATTGATAGTTGCCAGAACTTGAAAACAACCAAAATGTCCTTTAGTAGACAAATTTATAAATAATCTGTGGCACATCCAGACAATGGAACATTATTTAGCACTGAAAGGAAATGAGCAATCAATCAAGCCACGAGAAGATGTGGAGGAAACTTAAATGAATATTACCAATAAAAGAAGCCAATTGGAAAAGGCTAGAGACTGAATCAATCCAACCATATGACATTCTGGAAAAAACAAAACTATGGAGAGAGTAAAAAGATTAATGGTTGCCAGGGGTTAGGGGGTAGGAGGGATGACTAGGTGGAGCACAGGAAGTTTTTAGGACAGCGAAGTGATTCTGTATGATGTTACAGTGGTGGATGCATACTATTCTACATTTGCCAAAACCCATAGAAGGTGCAACACCAAGAGAGGCCCCTAATGTAAACTGTGGATGTTGGGTGATGATGACGTGTCAGTGTAGCCTGATCAGTTTTAATAAGTGCACCACTGTGGTGGGGGACATTGACAGTGGAGAAGGCTGTGAGTGTATGGGGCTGGGAGGCACATGGGCACTCTTGGTACTTTCTGCTCAGTTTTATTGTAAACCTAAAATTGTTTCAAATGTTAAGCTTTAGTATTTAGAAAGTCTCAGAAAAAGCATGCTGAATTTTTAGATTGGATAATATTGTAAAATAACTTAAAAAAATCACCCATATTTAAGTAATGGTTCTCTAATAGCTATTTCTGGGAGTGTTTTATGTAGCCCACTTCTTCTCCTAGTGGAAAGGTCTTCCTCTCATAAATCTGCATAGATGGATAGTGAGTTAACTGAATCACTTTATTTCTACTCCATTTTCGCTTGATGACTGCTCTGTATTTTTTTTAGAACTCCTGAAATAATACAGACAAATTAATTAAGATGACAAGTTGAGTATGAATATTACATTTCCTTTTTAGTATCGTGATTTGGAGAGACTGTAATTTGAATTTACTGCATTTTAATTCCTAAAATACCTATTCAGTATTTGGGGCGAGGAGAAAAGAATGTTTTCGGGACACATTTTGCTTTAGGCAAGTGGACTTTCTGTCTTGGTAAAGGCTCCCAAGGAGTGTGGGGAGGAAACCTCTAGATGCACCCAGGTGCTCAGCAGCCCCAACTCATGCAACTACTGTGCCTTCTCTTTGCTGTTTCCTGAGCTCGGTCACCCCTTCCTACAGGAAAAAAATGTGACAGAGTGGTCAGCCTTCAGGCCTGGACACAGACCTGGCCCCCAACCCAGGGCTTCCAGAAGGCGAATGGGCATCTTCAAATGCTTTTTGAGGTTTCAACAAGAGTCATGGGAATGATTCCTTTCCACCACGGAAGTCAGAGGCCATGGTGTTTTCAATGAAGTTTGTCTGGAAAAAAAGGTGGAAAAGGGTCCTTGCGGTAGAAGCTTTGGAGTCTCACGTGCCTTTACCTCTATCTCTGTTCATAGTGATGCCGTCCGAACACCATCTAACGGCAATCTTCAGACGGTGAGGTTAAGATGATAAAGGCAATCGTCAGATGGTGAGGTTAAGATGAAGATGTTTCCTTGCTATGGTTCTGCCCAAGGGACAAGATGAATTTTATCCTCTGAGTTCTTGCCCCATCTGGTCCAGGATGTCCAACTGGACTAAACTAACAAAATCAAACCCGGCATCTGGCCAGAATCAGCCTTGAGTGAATGACCTTGTCCAGTGATGATGCCCTGGGTGGGGAGCAGCTCTCGAAACATGCACCAGAGCAGGGCGCGGTGGCTCAAGCCTGTAATCCCAGCACTTTGGGAGGCCGAGGCAGGTGGATCACCTGAGGTTGGGAGTTCGAGACCAGACTGACCAACATGGAGAGACCCCGAGTCTGCTAAAGATACAAAATTGGCCAGGTGTGGTGGCACACGCCTGTAATCCCAGCTACTCAGGAGGCCGAGGCAGGTGAATCACTTGGGCCCGGGAGGTGGAGGTTGCGGTGAGCTGAGATTGGGCCACTGCACTCCAGCCTGGGCAACAAGAGTGAAACTCCTTCTTAAAAAAAACAAAAACAAAAACAAAAAACAAAACCATTCACCAGCTTGTCCTGTTATCACCACTTCCCAAGCCTCCTCTGATCCAACAGACCACGTTGGGTCCCTTCTCATGCTGCCCTGCACCTGCGCACACCTTCATCTGCTGCATGCTTTCAAGTAGAGAGTGCTTTGGTGATGTGGCTGGCAGCCCCGCTAGCTTAGGTGTCCCTGAGGTGATGTGGTCAGCAGCCCCGCTAGCTTAGGTGTCCCTGGGGCAGGGGCCGAGTCTTGCTCATCACTGACCCCAGTACCAAACCCCGCTTGCTCAAGGAGGAGTGCTGGGCGTCATGGCCAGAGGGCTGCAGGCCTGCCCAGCTGCCCCTTATCACAGTCTCTGGGCTCCTGGCTTCTTTGGGAATTTCTGTTTTGGTTTTCAAAGTGTATCCCTTGTTGCTGACAGTTGGTTATTTTTTAAAGGCACAGACATGGCAAGAGTCAAAAGTCCTCCAGGCTGAGAGTGAACACATATTGTGAGGGTGAGCATGCTGGCTTCAGCACATCCAAATGGGGTCCCTCAGGGTGTCCCCCGTCATTTGTGCCCAGCAACTTCCACATGTCTCCCAGGTTCTCCTCGTGTCCTACCCCTCTTAGGTCCTGGACGCCGACCTGCGGGGCTACATCTGTGAGTCTCCTTCCCCTCTGGCTTCTGCTGGGTTTGGCCAAAGGGACCTGGGCAGGGGTGTGGAGAAAGAGAATGGAGAGTGGTCAGAACCTTTATTTTCTGCTCCCTCCCCCGGGGCAGCCTGGAGCTGGCTGCGCCCCTCCCCTGAGGGCTTGGTTCCTGTTGGGCGGTCCTCTGCTCTGGGGCTCACCACAGGACTCCCCAGTTTCCTGTCCCCAGTGGTGGTGACAGAGCCTTGCTGTGATTCCCAGGTGTGGCCTCCCTGACCATCCCCACACCTCTGTACTGACCCCCTTTTGGGACCTTCTGTGAGTTGCCCAATTCAATTGAGTGTCCTGTCCTCTATGCAGGCTGGGATGGAGTTGAGAAAGACCTGTTCGACCCTCATTCAAATCCTGCTTGCTGACATGTCCTCCGCTCTTTGGTGCTGTGGCCAGCCAGGACCAGCTCCCCTCACCCTGTCCCTGCACCCACTGCTACCCAGACGCTTTTCCTGCTGTGGCCACGGAATCTGAATGGCCGGGGTCCTGCCAGCTACATATTAGGGTGGGCTTCCTTGTGTTTGTCTGGGAGCAGTGTGCAGATGTGGATTATCAAAAACCACGTTCTACCAGCAGATCTGGGCTTCAAAGAGCACCTTCTATTGTGTAAATGGAATTGAAAAAGCTCATCATGGAAAACGAGAAGCATTTTCAGCTCCTAAATTAGAGAATTTATGGTGATAAATCAAGAGTGTCTGCTCTAATAATCACAGGAAAAAACATGATAATATGATTTAATCTTAAAATATTTCTAACATAATATTAGAAAAATTATATTTCAGCTAATGTCTGGTTAGCCTGTTGTGAATGTATGCAAATATCTCAGGAAATATTAATATATACTGCCAGCTTTAGCTAATTAAAGAAATAGTTTTAGGAGTAACGGCCTCCTGATAATTTAATCACCGTTCAGTCTTTGCAGATAATTATGGTATTTGTTATTAAGTTCTCTCTGATTTTCCGAGGAATGAGAAATCTGATATAATCTTTTACTATGTGAGCCAAAAATTAAATTTTATTTCATTGTGAAAATTGTTGTGATCTGAAGATTTTAGAGCCAAGCTCCAGAAACGCTTCTCTCTTCTAGAACTGCCCAGTGTTGTGTTTTACAGGACTTGAACCCTGGGTTGCTGAGGAAGTGAACAGCTCTATGGCCAATAAAAGGCAATTAGGCTGAGATAAATTGTTGTGGAACAAATGATCTCATAAGAAGGTTTCCTTATGCTTACGCCTTATGAATAATCTTCTTACAAAGACTTTTTGAGGTATAATTTTAAAAATGATACTAATCATAGCATTTTAAAAAATAAAAAAGTGAAATGACCCAAAGTGTTTAATGATAATAAGATGGCCCAATAAATAACCTGCACTGATGTAATCCACATTAAAGGCAATATGATTCAGTCTTTAAAATTAAATTTTCAAAGAGTTCTTAAGACTGTTGTAGTTATAACTTTAAGTGAAAAAAAAGAGAAAATTATTTAAGTCGGCATGACCAAAAAAATCCATAGAAAAAAACGGAAAGGAAATATATAAAAAATGTTAAGTAGGTCCCCCAGAGTGGTGAAATTATACAGGTTGAGCATCTTGAATCTAAAAATCTGAAATCTGAAATGCTCCAAAATCTGAAACTTTCTGAGTGCTGACATGATGCTCAAAGGAAATGCTCACTGGAGCATTTTAGATTTTAGACTTTTGGATTCAAAATGCTCAACCATTAAGTGTAATGTAAATATTCCAAAATCCAAAACTCAAAACCTTTCTGGTCCCAACCATTTTGAATAAGAGATAACCTGTAGGATATTTTCATTTTCTTATTTTCTACTTCTATTTATTCTCCACATTATGTACCTGGCACATAGAAGATGTTTAATAACTAAGTATTGCTGAGTGAATAGTCAGGATAAGAACTCATTACTTTTTAGTCCATTTTTGGGAACTTAGGTTACAAAGTCTGCAGGGCCAGTGTTGTGGAAGTCACTGCTCTCTCCGACTCTTGGCAGGAAAAAGAGAAGTAGACTGCCTGTCTGCCAATGATGGCAGTCCCTGTGGGATACAAGGATGAGTGTGCCTGGTGCCCTCTCTACTGGAGCTCCAGTCCAGAGCTGGTGATGTGTCGGTGGACAAAGGACCGTGATAAAAGAAAGAATGGAGCAAGGACAGTCATCAAGTTCTCAGGGTGATTTGCTCACTGAACATCCCTGCTCCTCTGAAGCAGGCAAAGCAAGGGGACTTGCCTTGGCCAATGAAATTCAAGTACAAGTGTCATGTGGCAGTAGGGCCATGTGACTTGCCTTGGCCAATGAAATGTGAGCAGAAGTGTCATGGGGCTCTGCTGGGCAGAAGCTAAGAGCCAGCACTTGTTCACCATGTGCTCATTTCCTGTCTCTATGACAGGCTGCCGTGCTCCAGTTTGCGAATGCCCATCCACCTGTGAAGGGCTGAGCCAAGCCCTGGGCACGTGGTGAGTGACAGGCAGATCTTTGTGGAGGGAAGCCTCTGTGATTGCAGGACATTTGTTACTCGGTATAACCCAGCCTGTTCTAACTGACAGTGAACACAGCTCTGATTTACAGATAACACTGTGCTAACAAATCTATCATGTGCGTCTTACATCCTTGAATGTCATTGTAGGTTGGGGGTTGGGGTCTGAGTTCTGGTCCATTTTCCCCAGGCTTCATCTCCTGTGTCAATTCAGGCAAGAGGAAGAGAGAGGAGGAAGCTTCTAGATCCAAGCCAGAGGAGGTGGATGCAGCATCTGCCGCCCACAGCTTTGGGGCCTGGCCCAGCCTCCACCTGGCCGAGACACCCAACCCCGACCCCACCCACATGGGCGTGCAGAAGAGCCTGAGATGGTGCACACTGACCCATGGCAGAGTTACAGGTGACATTTCTTTTGTTTCTACATCCTAAATCTTTCTACAGTAGATGAACGTTTTGTAAGAGGACTTTTGCTGCCAGTTAGAAATGCATATTGCTGATGCACCCTCTGCAAGACCTTCTGAATCCAACGCCCTGGCGCAGTGGTCCTCAACCTTTTTGGCACCAGGGACACGTTTTGTGGAAGACAATTTCTCCACAGACTGGGGGTGGGGATGGTTTGGGGATGAAACTGTTCCATCTCAGATCATCAGGTATTAGATTCTCATAAGCAGTGGGCAACCGAGATCCCTCAAAAGCACGGTTCACAATAGGGATTGTGCTCCTATGAGAATCTAATGCCGCTGCTGATCTGACAGGAGGGTGAGCTTGGGTAGCAGTGCTCCTCAGCCTGCTGCTCACCTGCTGTGTGGCCTGGCTCCTAACAGGCCACAGACTGGTACTGGTTCATGGCTGGGAGTTGGGGACCCCTACCCTGCTGGATGGGGAGTCTCTAAGGTGTCATGGATGCCAGTGCAAAGCCTGTCTCCCCTGTGCCTCCCCTGTACCTCCCCCGCACCTCCCTGCACCTCTCTCTAGCCCTATTCCAGTGCCCTTCTTGGTGATGATGAGGCAGCTGAGGCCAGGGGCTTATTACTTCCCCAATTGCCACTGGCAATGGGGTTCCTCTGTGTGCTGGATTGGCGAGGGGACTAGCCCCCAAATTCTATCCTGAAGGTCTGCTATCTAGAGCTTTCAGGTGTGGTATCAGTGGTCTTAGATGGAGCTTCTCCAGCAGAGCTAGGGACAAAGGCTTGAGTTCAGGCTGTTTCTTTGGGCAGGGGTCTCAGGGCTCAGGCGAGCAGGAGTGAGTTGAGCGAGGGAGGGAAGGAGTGAATGGGAATACCAGATGGCTTATCCAATCGACAGCCGCTTGGAGTGGCTGATGCTGGGCTTTTTGAGACCTTCTGAGGCCCTTTATGAAATGCATCTCAGCACAGTCTCCTTGGGACAGTAAAGGAAAGAGAACTTATTATCTGCTTCTGTCCTGGCCGTGGAGGCCCTGTCTTTGGAGACTTGCATAACTGTGATTGCTGAGCAGCCTCCTGCAGGTGACCCCGGGGCCAAGGCAGGAAGTAAGAGGTGAGCAGATCTCCGAGCCCAGGTGGTGTCAGGTGACACCTATGCAAAGTGGATCAGAGCCTGGGAGGTACTGGGTGAAGTGCGAGGTGAGGCTGGGAGGGTTTTCATGTGGGGTATAAAAGGTATCCCATAGAATTACCTTACATAATGAGGTTTTGCACACGAGATGGGGCATACTCCTCCCTGTTCTGCACCCTGGATAATCCCTGGAGTGTGAGGGAAGGGAACATTTTATAGAATAGGACTGGTGGGAAGGTTCACTGTAGGGGACAATCAAGGAGAAAGAATAAAAGATTTTGCAAAACACCAAGCTGAAGTTTAGCTTCACTCTGTGGCTTTGGCGACCTGACCCCAGAGCACGTGCTGGTCCTGTGAACTTTGATGCTGCTGAGCTTTCCCCCATGCAGTTCCCTGCTTTGAATATGTGTCTTTCACATTGGGGTTGGGGTTACCCATCTCTTTCCTTAGCTGAAATGGCAACTTTTTCTCCCTGCCACCCCTCAAATCAGATAGAAGAAATTGCTTCTTCCTCTTGCTCCCGTAGTGCCTTTGGACGAACACTTGTCATATCAGATTATAATTCTTATATATGTGTATATATGTCTGCTCATTTTCCTTGCCAGGCTGTGGGTCTTTTGAAGGCAGAAATTGTGTCTTAATTTTCTGAGCATTCAGCACCCGGCCCAGTGACCAGTCCAGCCATGTGATAAATAACTATTGCATGGAATTAAATTATCTTGTACAATAATTATATATAAATATGTTTTATATGAATAAGTACAAAAATATATAAATGTTTATGTTTTATATACACATATATAAAACACGTATATCTCCTATATATTTACCTTTACATATCATAACAACAAAATGGAATCAGGGTGCACTTGGTTTGACTTCTTAGAAAACTCACAGTGGCTCATAGCTACCGGTTCCTTTTCACTGTGATTAGAGCCTTTTAATTTGCAACCATCTCAGTGAGATCGAATTCTAGGTATTTTCTTTAAAGCAAGCATCTTCACTCTGTACTGTGTTCTTTCAAAGTTGCATGTGTAACTTTGTGAATGTGCACGTGTGTTCATTTTCCCAGGGAGATCCTCCCACATTTTATCAGGGTTTCAAAAGCATCTATGACCAGTTAAGAAATGCTGCCTCAAGGCTTGTGCTCGGATTATACTTGTCACATGTAGGATTAACAATGAATAAGTTCACATATTTTACCATTTTCCCCTAAATAGATGAGAAAAATATGTTCATTGCTACCTTTACCAAAACACAGTTGTAGCGTGGACTTCACTTTTTGGAACATGACATGTGACACTGTGACCACCACCAGGTGGCAGCAGATTTTAATCACATACTTGGTTTTTGAAATGGTGAATAAATTAGAATTAAAAAAAAGAGTCAAGTCAATAAATTCGAATCTATATAATGCCGGCGATAGATGTCACTTCAGTCAAAACCCAGTGTGGTTTTTTTTGTTATTGCTGTTTCGTTTTGTTTTTGTTTTTTCCACTGCGTTGGCCAGAGCTTTCAGGTGGCACAGGAAAAGGCGAGCCCAGCTCCAAGGACTGTACGGTGTGCACTGACAACACTGTTACCTTAGTCTCCTTGGCCTGGGAACATAGGTTCCAGAGGTTTGCCTGTGCATAACCAAAGTTCCCAGCCGACAAGCACTTAAACTCAGAACTGCCGGGATCCTCAGAACAGAACAAGTCTCCATGCCTCTTCTTACAGCAGGTCATAACTCAGTGGAACCAGTTCCATTGTGATCAATGACCTAGGACATTCACACTGGTACAGATTTGTGTATTTTCTATTGAAAAAGATAATATTCTTTTGAAAAAAATTCAATGTTATCCTTAAAATGTTGACGCTTATGTCTTAAAGACATGACATTTACGGTGATGTTTCTTAGGCCCATTTTTCCTTGTCAGGTGCATGCACGTACCCATTAGTTCCTGCGCAGGATGATAAATGCAGTAAGAGCTTGATGAAGATTTTATGAATGAATCAGCGCAGAACCCTTCTCCTTGGCCAAGTGGATCTGATACACAACAAAGGACCTGACTTCTTCCATTGAGCACATCTGGGGGAATCAGTTTGTTGAAGCTTCAGTGGGGCTACAGATGCACATAATTCCTTCTTGAGAAAGCTCCTCTTGCTCAGGATTGATCTTAAAAAGCAAGAATTAGGGGAAAAGAGAAGGGAACTAACCTTGCTGAATTTTGGGAAATGGGGATAGCAATGTTAGAAGTGAAGGGTAGGCAAGGGCCTGTCAGCCACCCTGCAGGGGAGCTGGGCGGCCAGAGGAGCCCAGTCCACCCTGAGCAGAGCCGTGGGCTGGGAATGCGGCAGGTGATAGAGGGGAAGGGGCTCGTGGTGGCCTGACTCCTGCCTGGTGTGCAGAAGCAGGGAGCACAGCAGCTCTCCGTCCCCTAGGGCAGCTCCGCAAGGTCAACCGGATGAACTCTGATGCTCACCTTTCTCCTCATTTCTACAGTCGCTGCTTTTGTGTAACGTTGGCTCAGCAGCCCTGTAGGAGTTAGGGGGATTGGCTTTGGAGTAACGCCCGGGCTGGGAGCTGGTTCTGCCATTTATTCTCTGGGTAATGTCTGGCAAGTTGCTTCTCTGCATCTCATTTTTTCCTTCTGTTAAATGGGGATAGCAATGGTGTCTGCCTCATGGACGGTGGTGAGAATTAAACCAGGTAATTGACACAAAAGGCCCAGGGGCACGTCTGGTGCATAGTAGGTGGTCAATGAATAGTAAATAGGGTTTTGAAGTGGCTTATTTCGGTATTCTTTTGAGTAGTAGCCAGTGGAGGCCAGATGGCTTCTGAATTATCACAATTGATTTTCTATATGCTCTTGGGTATAAAGTTTCCACTGAATTCAGTGAGCTGCAAGGTGTCACCGAGAAGAAACAGGCCATGGTGGCATCAGTGGCCTTTTGGGGGATTGGGTCCAGCCCTGGGCCTGGAATATTCTGGGCTCTGGAGGAAGGAGTCAGGAGTGCCGTGGGGAGTGTCTCAGCAGGGCAATGGCAGGGGAAGGGGAAAGTCTATAGAACAGGACTGCTGGGCAGTTTCTGCTGCTGTAGGGGAGAACCAAGGAGAGAGAATAAGAGATTTTGCAAGACACCAAGCTGAAGTTGAGCTGCACTCTGTGGCTTTGGTGACCCCAACTCAGAGTGCTTGTTTTTCCCGGGAAGGTGTGGAGCAGGAAGCAAGGGGCCTCTCGGCTCGGGCCAGGGTGTCTGGTTCCAGGCCGGGGTCGGTATGCACGGAGGCGGTGAGTGTGGGCAAGCCACTCAACCTCGCTGGGTCACAGCTGCTGCATCTGTAAATGGCGGTCACAGCGATGACAACCTCTAGTTGTTGTGAGAAGACACCATTTATGACACTTAGAGCAACGTTGGGCCCAGAGTCAGCCCCGCAAAGGCAGGAGGAATCATCAGTCACATTGACACGGACGTGGAGGGATGGGCCCCTCCACTGCACGTAGGTGAGGGGAGGAGCCAGAGGTGATGACAGGGTGTCCACCTGCACAGGATGGGAGGCCCAGAGGAGAGACTGGCTTCGAGGCGGTGGGGGAGGGGAGCTCCTCTGGTCTGCTGGGGTTGAGATTGGGGACCTCTGGCTGACATGGCAGGATTGACTAGATGTGCTGTGGAAATGGGTCCCACTGAGGAAGTCTACAGTGGCCACATTGTGGCGAGGGCAAGGCTGGGGTCCCGTGGGCGGGGGCACTGTCCACTTCAGCAGTCAGAGACATGTGACCAGTTGCTTCACCAACAACCTCTGACTCTCAGTGGCTCCAGGCACAAGGTCTATTTTATTTCTGAAGATGTCAGGCAAGAGTGGGTGGTCAATACACCGAGATGGGTGCACATCATGGGATGGTGAATTTCATGCTTTAACTTGACTGGGCCGCGCACCCAGACATTTTTTGGGTGTGTCTGTGAGGATGTTTCTGGATGGGACCAGCATTGGAACCTGTAGACTGAGTAGGGCAGATGGTGCTCCCTGGTTAGGGCAGCCCCTGCAATCAGGCGAAGGCTTGAGTAGAACGAAAGGGTGGGTCTCCTGCTTTCCTCCTGTCTAATCGCCTTGAGAGGGGACATTGGTTTTCCCTGCTTTTGGACTAGAACTGAATCATGAACCTTTTTCTGGTTTTGAGCCTGCTGGATTTTGGACTGGAACTTACACTGTTTGGTCTCCTGGGTCTCCAGCTTGCAAATGGCAGAACTGGGACTTGTCAGCCTCCATAACTGTGTGAGCAACTCCTTACAATCAATCTCTCTCTCTCTCTCTCATCAGGAAGTGTGGGAATCCTCAGTCCTTTGTCATCTTGGGAGAAAGAATTTGGCCAAGAGACAGTTTATGGAGTTTATTCTCTTATCCAAGAAGATAATTTATGGAAGGAAAATTGGGAGCAGAGGGTTTATTTAAAGGGACAGTGCACTCTGAAAGATGAGACAGAGGGGGCAGCTGAAGGAGAATGAGCTACAGCCCCTGAGGGTTCTACGCTGGGTTTTTATGACTTTGTATTTTTTCCTGAAGTTCCCACCTCTGTCTTAAGGCTCTGCCTTTTTTGGGAGGGTCTAGTTTTGTCATTCCTGTCTTAAGTCCCCACCTTCTCCTCACCTAGTTCTCACCCTGGGCTTCTGGGACCCTCCTTTACTATCAGGCGGTACCCATGCCAGGCCAGTGTTGGATGCAAATTCTACCTAATGGCTGTGTTGCTCATTACCTCCACTCGGGAAGGTTGTATCATGGCCAGATCTGCACTTACTGCGACTGCTTGTCTCTGAGTTTCTCCTTTGTTTTCTTTCCTCTTTATCAGCACGCAGACAGCTCTGCTCTGACAGGTTGACTGTGGAGGGAGTGATGACTGGGTGTCTCTAAGGGGTGTTCCTTCCTGCATCAGTATATCCCCTCCTCTGCTCATTTCCAGCATGCATGTTTCTGGTGGTCCCTGGGGTGTGAGACTTTTCCAGACCTCCCTTTTCTCAGGGGCTCCCTCTCCTGCTCATGTCTAGCCATCTGCCCATTATTTTATTTTATTTAGTAGAGATGGAGTTTCACCATGTTGGCCAGGGTGGTCTCAAACTTCTGACCTCAAGTGATCTGCCTGTGTTGGCCTCCCAAAGTGCTGAGATTACAGGCATGAGCCACCCCACCTGGCCGCTATCTGCCTATTCTAACAGATCTGTCTCTACCTATTGATTATCTATTATCTATCTGTATTAGTTCGTTCTCATGCTGCTATAAATAACTGCCTGAGACTAGATAATTTATAAAGGAAAGAGGGTTGACTCACACTTCCACATTGCTGGGGAGGCCCCAGGAAACTTACAATCATGGTGGAAAGCAGAGGAGAAGCAGGCACCTCTTCACAGGGCGGCAGGAGAGAGAATAACAACTAGCAGGGGAAATGCCAGGTGCTTATAAAACCATCAGATCTTGTGAGACTCACTCACTATCATGAGAACAGCATTGGGGAAACTGCCCCCGAGATCCAATTCCCTTCACCTGGTCCCACCCTTAACACATGGGGATTATGGGGGTTACAATTCAAGATGAGATTTTGGGTGAGGACCCAGCCAAACCATATCAATATCTCTCTACCTACCTATCTATTGATTATCTATTATCTGTCTACCCACCTATTGATTATCTGTCTATCTAATCTATCCTATTGGTTCTTTCTCTGGAGGACTCAGAGTAACACAGACCCAAAGAAGCAGTGCACATGGTAACCTGTGTTCTCAGTGTCCTCACGGGGTGAGGCTCATGGGGAAGGGCTGCTTTCCTCTCCTGTTCCCCACCCCCAATACAGACAGATCTTCACCATCTAGCACCCCTTTTCCTGATTTAGGGTTCAGGAGGAGGACAAGGAACCAGATTAGAGAAGTGTTGTAGGAAAGTTGGAGGAGAGTTGGGTGGGCACAGTGTCGCTGTAGCCAAGAGGCTTTAGGAGGAAAGAAGGGTGCCAGTATTACCATTTCCTCTAAGAGCTCTGAGGGAAGGCCACTGAGTTTCTTATTTGATGGGAATCCTCCAAGAACCTGATGTTCATAAATACGTATTTCCTTCACACTGGGAAAGTGAATGTGCACACTGGCCATTTAGATTAAACTCAAATTCTCCACAGGAAAAACGACAGCTGTTGTTTCCAGTTCCAGAAATAGCTGCACCACTATCCTGTTATTATAGATGAAAAAGTAAAGCACAAAAAGTGTTGGTTTGGCAAATACAAGAGAAAGATGAATAATGATATTGTCTTGTCCCCCCAAGCAAATACTTCCAAGTCTTCAGAAACAAACAGCACAGCAAAGACTTCCATCACTCACTTCTCTGTGGGATTGAAGTCACCTCTAGAGAGTGAGTTATCCCACTCCTGATGGCTAAGCCCCATCACAACTGGAGGACACCATGGCTTAGGAAGAAGAAGCGGGAACGCTGGGCCCAAGACAGAGTGCCACAGCACAGAATTATGCAGAAATGTCACATCGCTGAGACAGAGGCCATAGCTACTCACACCAACTCACAGCTCCCAGGGCCAGGCCAAGGCCATGGTTCCCAGTGAACTCCAGCACCTGGGCTGGTGCCCAGACACTTGGAGACAAAGCCTTGGACAAGATCAAGCTAGGCAGAGTTTTTTGTCCATGGGTAATTCATTCTTTTTCACTTTAATACAGTGGCCCCTTCCTATATCACCTAAAGCCACGTGTCCACATGAAGAATCCACTCATACCTAAGACCAAAGACAGGCATGTGGCTGGGGACACTCTGGGCAGAAATGTAGCATCTTTTGAAGTCATCCAAACTCTTCAAAGCCATCAGGGGCTGCCAGACCTCTGCCTTGGAATTTGAACATTATAGTTTTCATTTGTTTGTATCTTGAACACTCAACCAAGCCAGCAGCTCCTAGCAGCTGGAGACCTTTTCAGCTCACCTCTGTCTCCAAGAAAGTCTGAATCTCAGGGTTTCTTTGAAAAGGAGTCTGTTGAATGTGTGTGGAAGGGGGGTGGAGCAACAATTCGGCCATGTTAGTCTTGTCTCTATCCAAGGCCACGGTCAAAATGGGCATTCAGGGCGCTTCCGGCCCTGCCTCTTCCCTTCCTTCTGGTGACCACACTCACTGGTAGGCAGCCCTGTCCCCCAGATGCCTGCATCCCTCTGTTGTGCCTGCTACTGAAGGCCCCTGAGCAGGACAGCTGGGATTGCTGGACCCCACCCTCTGAACCCTTCCTAGCCCAGAGGGCCCACGAAGATGTCTGATGCATGATATCTACTCAGTCCAATTCAGTGGCACGATTCTGCCCCTGGGAGACATCGGGCAATGCCTCTGGGTGGTTTTGGCTGTTACTAGTGGGGGGTGCTCCTGCCATGTGGTGGGTGGAGCCAGGGATGCCACTCAACAGTGTAAGGGCAGCTCTCCCAGTGCAGAACAATGCGGCCCAAATGTCAGTAGTTCTGACATTGAGTGATTCCGCTTGGATTTTAACCTGAGCCTGTGGACATCTGGGATCCACTGCTCTGGGCACAGCGTACTCCCCTGGGGAGGACAAAAGTCTTACATGGGATTTGGACTTGGAGACAATTCTCTCTAAAGAAGACAAGGTCAACTGAGATTGGCCGGTCCAGGTCATTACTTCCTGAAGAAGGCTTCTCCTCATCCCCTGGTTGGACAGGGCCAGGATTTAGGTCTCTAGAGAGTGAGTCTTGGGAAGAACTCACCAGTCAGTCCTAGTTTGAGTTCTTCCCAGCGTCTGAGGTAGTGGGTTATGCACAAAAAGAGGCAAGTGGCTCTGATGTTAATGGCGAGGCTGTTTGGACACGAGGATGATTGGTGGGTTAGGTGGAGGCATGAGATTTGTCTGTGAAGTTGCAAGTCCTATAACAAGCTGTTTGGGAAATTGATTTGGTCTCCTCCTGCTGAATTAATTGGCTCCATTTGCTCCTTGGGAAGTTAAAGATGCTGCACTCTGCACACTGAAAGGTGGACTAATTAGCAAGGAATGCACAGGTCTTTGTTCTGTGGACAGTGCCTGGCTCTGAATGGCCACGGATTTGGGGCTGTGGCTGTGAGGCTCAGTGGCAGCAGGGGTGTCTTTGGCCCCAGCTCCACATCTACGGCCTTTCGATTGAGGCTGGAGGAATAAGGTTGCTGGGAGAGGTGTGTGTGAATGGATGTGTATGGTGGGGGACCTGGGGTGACCCCCTCCGGCTTTAGGATTAGTTCAGGGTCCCTCAGCCTTGACCCAGGCGAGATGGGAGAGGACCTGCTAAGGTGACCCACTGTCCCATTTGCCTGGGACTGTCTCCGTTTTTGCACTGTGGGTCTGAAGTCCTGGGAAGCCCCTCAGTGCCTCTGGAACTTGGATGGTTGGTTGGTCACTCCCTGGAGCACAGCTCCCTGCCCCGACCCTCCCACTTAGGGAAGACCGTCTGGGTCCTGTGTGCTGCCTCAGTGGCCAGGCCTCCCTGGACATCCTTGTGGGGAAGGTGTGGCTCCACTGAGGCTGCAGTGGTCACCCAGAGTGTTGTCCTGGTGAGTGAGCTCCGTGCTGTGGGGAGGCCCCTCTACCAGGTAGAACGTGAAGCCCCCACAGAGAACCTCAGTGGATTCAGTCAGAGGGGCAGTCAAGAGCACTTAGGTTGTGCTTCTGAGTGGTCAGCAGAGAGCCCCAGGAGCCCTCTGTGCTGGGGGCAGTGATGGTGACAGTCGTGGAGATGGAGAGGCCTTGGAAGCTGGTGGGGGGCTGGGACGTCACAGGGAGAGCTCAGCTCCAAGAGCAGCTCTGGGGCTGCTGAGGTAGCACCATTTATAACCCCCCAGAATAACAACATCTTCTCATTATTTTAAATAAAAAGTGTATGGTTGCTTGTCAGTACCCGAAGTGTATCTTGTTCTGGGGAGGGAGCGGTTTGGGGAGGAAAGGGAGGCAGTCAATGGAGGGTGAATGCATGTGGGGACCATGAAGATGACAAGGCTGGCCAGGCTTCCCAGGACCCTGCAGGCTAGTGGACATCCAGCCCCTCCAGGCTAATGGAGGAGCAAAGTACTGTCCCCTTTCCACCTCACAGGGACACAGATAATGCCTTCATTCATTCATTCATTCATTCATTCATTCATTCATTCATGCACTCCAGGAATTTGGCTGCCTCTCCTCTATGGCCTAGCAATAGCACATAGGTGTTTGGCATTCTCATCCCAGAGGTTTTGTAGAAATTCCTGGATATTTATAACAGTGATTCTCAGGAGGAGACAAAAATCCAAACCAAACAAAACCAAATAGCAACAGAAAGGCAGCAATCCCTGGGAGAAGATACACTGGTTAGGATTCCTGACCTGGACGACTCTCAGCTCTGGAGGCTCTGTGGTTTCACAGAAGCTTTGCCTTTGTGGGACCCCCGCAGTGCCCTCTTGCCTGCCCTGTTGAAGGGTCAGGTGGTGGAGGACAAGTGGAGCAGAGGTCAGGAGGCCGAAGCTGGACGCCTGGAACTCCCACAGGCCTTGGGCCCTTCCTGCAGGCTGAGCTGCGTGTGCTCTCTGTGGGGTCAGGCAGGGGTAGGGCTGGGGTCAGGTACTCCTTAGGAAGGACTTTGGCATCTCACTCTCCTCCTCACTGCGTTTGGTTTTGTGTCTCAGACCCGAGGCTGAAACACCTGCATTGTTGGCGTGGTTGGGGCAGCCAGTCCCAGAGAAAACTGAGATCTCCAGGGACGACTGTGGATCTGAAACTGAATGCCAGAATTGTCAAGAAGAAATGTCGCTGTGCAGAAACCTCACCAGGGTGCGGGGCAGGCTGGGACTGAGAGGGCAGCTGCTGCTCCCCAGCGGTGATCTGCCCCCTCGTCTGCACTCCACCACCAGCTGCACTGGCCCCCACTGCAGGGCCCCTCTGGTTGTTTAAGATGGAAACCTGTGGAAGGCGACACACGCTCTCCCAAATGCTGCAATCATCACACAGCCCGGGGCCACCAGCCTGGGGACAAGCACGTCTCTCTTGTCTCTCGCAGAGGGCCCCCTGCTGGCAACCAGGAGCCCAGTGGTAACTTAGACAAAAGGAGGAGACCACTGGCTCCACAGGTGGGGTCCTGTGGACTCAGAGATGACTGGGTTGGGGTTCAGAGAGTCAGAAGAGGAACTTGTCTCCCTCCATCTCTCCTCCCTGCCCACCCTGGACTTGCCACTGTGGGCAGCAAAGGTACCTCTTGGAGAAAGGAAGCCCACTGTCTATGGTACCCAACCAAGAAAGTCAGCAAAGTATCTACAACAGCCAGCCCAGGAAGCCAGCACACCATCTATGTTAACCAGCTGAGGAAACCAGCCTGCCATCTGCACTAATCAGCCCAGGAAGCCAGTCCACCATCTACACTAACCAGCCCAGGAAACCAGCCCACCATCTACACTAACCAGCCCAGGTAGCCAGACTGTCTTCTACACTAACTAGCCCAGGAAGTCAGCTCGTCATCTACACTAACCTACTCAGGAAGCCAGTCCACCGTCTACATTAACCACCCCATGAAGCCAGCCTGCCATCTACACTAACCAGCCTAGGAAGCCAGTCTGTCTTCTACATTAAACAGCCCAGGAAGCCAGTCTGTCTTCTACAGTAACCAGCCCAGAAAGCCAGTCTACCACATTAACCAGCCCAGGAAGTCAGTATACCATCTACACTAACCAGCCCAGGAAGCCAATCTACCATCTACACTAACCAGCCCAATGTTAAGGACAATACATTCCTCTTCAAAGACTCCTTGGCCCCCCTTCTGCTTGAACTGTAACAAACCCTTGTTCCTCAGCTTGATCTATAACTAGCAAACCTCTTATTCTATAAACAACCCTTTACCATACCTGGACATGCCCAGACATGCCTTGAACTTGTTTGTAGACAACCCTTCCCACCTTAGCAACAGACAGTCTCTCCTTCTCCTCCTCTCTTAGCAAGCTGCACGTTTACCATATTTAGAAAAGTTAAAGTCTTAGTCATATTTGGAAAAGTTTAAGTCTTAGCCAATCTGGTTAGTTTGGATTGTGTGGTCTGACTCCAGCCAATGGAGAAAGGACACAGAAACAGGAACTGTGTTAGGGATAAAAACCCTTCTCTCCTTTGTTCATTGTACTCTTGCAATCGTGGCTGATGCAGGCAGCATCCTTCTGCAGAAGTAAATTGCCTTGCCGAGAAAACTTTTTGTCTGAGTGCAGGTTCTTCTTTGTGGCACCGAGCATTTGTTTCCAACACCAGGAAGCCAGCCCGCCATCTACACTAACCAACCTAGGAAGCCAGCCTGCTGTCTACAGTGATCAGCCCAGGAGCCTGCCTGCTACGTACCAATCAGTCTGGTAGGAAGTCAGACCAATGTCTCTAACAACCAGTGCAGGAAGCTCAACAGTATCTTCTGTAATAGTAGGCTCAAAATGGCCAGGTCTTGATCAATAACTGACAACTTCCATAGTCTCTGCTTCCAACTTGGGGCCAACTAGAGAAAGCCCCTTGTGTCCCCCTAGCTGGTCAGGTGGAGGCTTGCTTGTTTTCCACTCTCCTATCTTCTGGCCATCAGCCTCCCTCCGTCCATGCCCGAGACCTTCCTGTGTCTCCACTATGAGGCTCTCCCAGTCCTCTGCTGCCCCGAGTCTCCATCAAACCCACTTCTTGCTAGCTGGCTCTGAACAAATAGCATTTGTCTGTTCTCGTTTGGAGGGGAAGTCTTTGTTTGTTTCCAGACTGTCTCTGTCCCTGCCCCCAACCCTCTCCCATCCTGTCTTGGCCTCTCTCAAGTCTCCCCCTGGAGGAGTCTTTGTGCTGGAGTGGCTCTCGTGGAACTGGAGCATGCAAGGTCAGAGGGGGTGCGTATGGCCACGTTCCATACCTGTGAGTCCGGCGGAGGAAGAGCTGTGCTGTGTCACAGGAGAGGCCTAAGAATCAATGAGAAATGCGGTTGCATTGGCAGCTTCTGCAGGGTCTGGCACGAGCGTGGGAGCTGGGGAGTGCATGTGCTTCTGCCGTCATGACACCTCTGCTCAGGTGTGATTCTCCTTCCCTCTCTAAGGGCATAATGTCAGGTATTTGCAATGTTTATGCCTTTGTTTTTGAGACAAATCAATAAATGCAGGGGAAATCCTATCAGCACAGCTCTTGTCATCCGCCTTCAGATAAGGCTGGCGTGTGTTCCTGGTTATTTTTAGTCTCCTACATATCCGTCTATGATTGCTTTTTGCATTATAGTTATGGAACAATCCGAATGACTGAATCACAGCACCACAGTAATGATTCTGCAACACTGAACTTGACTGTCCCAAGGAAATCACAACTGCCATCTCAAGAAAGCCTGTCTGCAGCAACCATTCCATGGTCCTCAAAGTCGTGGCCACCGGAGAGGCTGGTTTCAATTCGCCCCCAACTCCGGCTGGAGAGAGTTGAGGAGGAAGGCAGCGGCCTGGGCTGAGTGGGAAATGCCTGCACTGGAGGGTTGGTGGCCCCCATGCTGGATGGAGGCAGGAACGGGAGGCTCCTGGAATTGTCCTCTCTTCTGCCAGAGAGGGGAGGCGGGCCGTCACTGTGCAGAAGCCCAGCCAGCACCGAGAAGGAAGTGGGTGCCTGTGGGACCCTCGCCTCTCTGCGGAGGGGCCTGTGGAAATGCAGCCTGTGCCCTGGGCCAGCCCTGCTCCTAGGAGGGTCCTGCTGCCTCATTTGCTCTCTCTCCCTCCTTCTCCTCTCCACTCCCACCTTTTTTTCTAGGAACTTTGAACCCTCGTTTTCACCCAGTCCCATCGAGAAGCCAAGTGCTCCCTCCTCAGGCCAGAGCTCCCAGCTGCAGACACAGGTTCAGCCCCCAGCTGAGCGAGGAGCGGCTTCCATGCCGGGGCCTGCCTCTCTGCCGCTCTCCACCGGTCCTTCGCAGCCGCTCCGATGCTCTCCACGGGTCCTTTGCAGCCGCGTCCTGGCCCTGAGGCGGTGACACAGAAGCCCACGTCCGTTTCCTTTCTGCTTGCCTGTTTGTAGGTGGGACCAGGCTTCCTGTCTGCCCATCCCCAGAAGGCAAAGCCTTTAGGTCCCCCCTCTGCTGACTCAGGCACAAAAGGGTTTTTTCTTTCTTAGTTTTGGAATCTGAGTGGAAGGGCACATGCTGTGGATCATATTCTCCTTCTAGTCTCTCGGTTGCTCACGTGGGAGTAAGTAGGAGCTGTGGGACCTTGTCCTTAAGCCATTAAAGATGTGGTGAGTTTTATTGAGCCTGCTGCCCACCCTGTGATATCTTTTGCTGGTTTGCTTCTCCACAAGCAGATTCCAGACAAGGATCAGTGTCTGTGGGGTGGTCTCAGGAACACCTTGTTGGGAGTGGGGGTGAAACAGAAGAGGCAAGAATCCCAGGCTGGGAGCAGGCCCTGCACGGGCCACTGAGCTCAGCCCACTGGGGCGTTGGGGAGTGGGTGTGCTTCTGCCTTCATGACACCTGGGGCCTCGGGGTCTGGAGCGAGCTCAGGGAGGCCCCACAGAGTGTGGGGGCTGCAGGCTGGTCTTTTCTTCGCTGACCGCTGAGGCTGGGGCCTCGTCCTGCTTCTGTGCTGTGCTTTGCGTTGCCAGAGAGAACCCCAGCGGGAGTGATTCAGGAGGCGGGCGCTGCCACGTCCTGACTGGTGAGCTCTTGAGGCTGGGGAGACACTGGGGGTTTGCTCTGATTCTTTCAGTTCACTGCAGCGGGTTCTCGGTGGGGTGTGTTGTGGGAGGAGACTTGCTTTGCTGCCACAGCTATTTTAAATCCAGTGGAGCGGCAGAAGCCTGGTGATCTTCTCGTCACCGAGGTGGAAAATAGACCGGACTGCGAATGGCTTTTGGAGCCTCCCATGTGTCTGACCCCGGTTTAACTTTGCTTCTCGTCCCAACCCATGGTGTTGGGGGCAGGGGGCAGGGAGGGAATCAATAGCTAAAACCATAACTCCTCCAGGCCGACTTCCGCAGGGACAGAACGAGCCACTGAGAGCGCACCAAGAGAGAATTACACGGCAATATTTTTTTCAAGGAAAGTTATTAAAATATTGACATTTCATCTGTACAGCTTATCCCTCAGACATCCTCAGAACAGTCCCCAGACAGGGCTAATTTAATTACGCTCCACCCCAAATGTGCCCCGTGCCCTGTGACAGTCAGATTCTTCCAGAAGCACCAGACACAGATGTATCCAGTTCTGGAGGCGTTCCTGAAATTTATCTCAAACTTCCAATAGGCTTAAAAAAATTCTCTTTCCTAAAAAAATGAAGTTGAATGTTGATGTTTTTACAGTGCTGGGAATCACGCATGTATATCTCCTCCCTCAGCAGAGAACCTCCTGGAGAAACAGAAGCCATGGGTCCTGATGCCCGAGCCGGCGACGACTCTGAGCACACTGTGAGCAGAGAACCTCCTGGAGAAACAGAGGCCATGGGTCCTGACGCCTGAGCCAGCAACTTACTCTGAGCACACTGTGAAGGGCGGCTGTGAATTTTTCTTCTTTCTCAAACAACGATGCAATCATTGGGATCACTTGTCCTCCTGGGATGGGTTTGTGTGAGACTGATGTCTTCCGAAAAACACAGCCCCAAGGGAGTCGAGACGATGTACCAGGTAGAATAAGGCACAGGGGAGCCGCTTGACAAATCAGACGACGGCAGCCGGCCTGCCTGCCCGGTATGTGGCCAAATATGGGCGAGGCCAAGGTTGGGGTGTGAAAGTGCGTGACGTTTACACCCACGTGGGCGTCTGTGCACGTGCGTGTGTGCGTGTGAGCTGCCTGTGGGCATCTGCAGAAGCAGACATTCTTCATGGCTAAACAAAAACCTCACGTTTTGGGTTCCAGGGTGATGCCAGCGAGTTGTGTTTCTGAGAGACGAAGGAAGCCTTCCTTCCAGGTTTCCACGTGGAGCAGTGCCTCTCTGCGTGGTTCCTGGCAGCAGGGGATGCCAGGCTGCAGTGGCAGAATGTTGAGCTGCATGGCCGGCTTCCACTCATGCGAAGCCAGCAGCAACCCCCTCCTCAGGGGTGACAACCAGAGTGTCCTCCAGACACTGCCAGATGTCCCCTGGGGGGAACTGTCTTTGGCTGAGAATCACTGCTTTAGACGGATGATGATCGTTTAAATGGACAGTGCTGTTCCTGGCTCCAAGCAGTCAGTTCCCTCCCTCCCTGTTTACTTACAAAACAGCCGCATCCCCGGGATTACGAGTGAGCCAGCGGAGGTGTGACCAAAGAGATGTCACAGTTCGCTTTTCTTTGTGATCAATACGTGGAATGATTTAGGGGCCTGTGTTAAAATTACAAATCTTCTATAGAAGATTTTGGCAGCAAAATATTTTAAAAGCCTACGAAATAAACAGAGATGGCACATTCAGAGGCTCCAAATCACAGAGCAAGGAACTGCATCCACAGTAGCTTTTGCCTTCCTCCTCTGCCGCTGTTTTGACTCATTGATCTTTGGGTCTGGTGGATTTTTTGTGTTGGGGAGAGAAGAGGGAAGAGGCAGGAGGGCCATTCTCATGGCAAGCTGAGGTCTCAGGGGCCGGGCTGGGAGTTAGGGGGCGCTGGGGTCCCACCCAGGTGGCAGGGCCAGGCAGGTCATGGCACCTGCTATGGTCGTGCTGAAGTCCTGGAGGCAACAACCATTGTTACTTCTAAACGATACCAAGAGGGAAAGAACACATCCCTTCAACTTTTCCTTAAGGAGATCTGTAAGGCAGGTTGGAAGAATTTGAAGTCCTTCTGCCTTCGCATGAACAAAAATGTGAAGGGGGTTTTTAAAACTCAGATTTGATCTTTACAGTAACCAGATGGATTTTATTTCAACATGCCAGAGTTTCCACATCACGTCACCACTGCACTTCAACGTGCTGTTCTTGAGGCTGTTTAAAGTTCAGCCTTGGCACCTGACATGGCGCATCTGTTTTAACTCCAGGCGTGGGGGCTCCTGGGGAAACGACGACTTCTGATGCCTGACCACCCCCAGGCTGACGCCCTCCCTCCTGCCCAGGGCTGAGGCTGGACCCAGGGCACCTCCTTCGAATGGCCTCTCTCTTCCTCCCTAACACAGAGCAATCAACAGCTGTATAAAATAATTGCCCTAAAATCACAAATTAAAAGAAAATCAGCAGCCAAAGTTCCTTCCTGATGTTTTTCAAGTCTAGGTTTCGTGAGTGAGTCTTCTACTGAGGGAGCCGGTTGGGGTTTCAAAGGCCTTTGGCTTTGTGGAAAACGGCTTTGTGGTGTCCAGAGCTGTGTGGGTGCCTCTGGCAAGTGCCTGCACCACGGAGGCCCTGAGTAAGCCCGCTCAGCCCTGTGCCCTCCACACCTGGCGCTCAGACCCAGCCTCCTTCACTCAGGCCTGGGGGCTGGCCAGACTCAGGCAGGTGGCCTGGCCTCCTCTCAGCCCCTTTCTCACCCACCCACTGCTGTTCTGATGGCTAGTGCAGCCTTTGCACAGTGGGGGACCTTTGTGAGGGCCTGGATAGAGGCAGGTGGGTTCATCTGTGGCCTCCCTGTCCTGAGGGGCCAGGCTCTGTGCCCCCAGCTGCACCTTCCCCAAGGCCACCATCCCACCTCTTGCTGTCCTTCCTTCTGTGTCCGTCTGGCCCCGCAGGTTCCTGCTGGGCACCATTTCCAGCCCGTGGGGTGAGCACTGAGGAGGCAGCAGGACGCTGAGCTGGCTGCCAACCCGTCTGCCGCTCCACCCACTCTGGTTCTGACTCAGATGGCACCAGTGGCTCCGGCCCAGGGGACGCCCTGCTCTTGGGCCTCACCAAGTAGGTCCAGACCGGCCCCGGCTCTCATGTCACTTCAGCAACACACCTGTCATTGCACCTGTCACTGCACCCATCACCACATCCATCCCAGGGTTTGACCTGCGTTCCTGCAGAGTGGAGCAGGTGGGCGCCTGTGTCCCTGCTCATGTACGTGCCCTCGGGGTCAGGATCTCAGCCCAGAAACAGCCTTCCTGAGACACACGCAGGCCTTCCCAGCTGTCCCAGGCGCTGTCCATGTCAGAACACCCAGGCTGCAGGCCTCTGCCCCTACGGCCCTTGGTTCATTCTTCCAGTTTCTGCAGCTGAGCTCTCCAGGGGCCTGGTGGAGCCACCTGGGGCTACACAGTTCCTCAGATCACACCTGCTCCACGGCAGAGCTCTGGAAGGAGCGAAGGGGCAGAATGACAGCATGGTCCAGCCCTGGTCACAAGTCTCCCTCCACAGCCCGTTCCTCACGCTGCTTAAAGTGGAATTTCCAGATGAGTGCCACACCCAGGCGACATCCAGGTGGGGCCAGCGCTGCTCAGTTCCAGAGCAAGGAGGTGGCGACCTTCCTGCACCGTCACCAGCTCCTGGGCTTCCCGGCAGCGGGAGGGAGACAGGGGGCCCACGGCTTGCAGCTGAACCTCCAGAATTCCAGAAGCCCCAGTGCCAGCTCCAGGGAGAAGCCAGACAGCCTCTAGCTCAGTGACCCTTGAGGCCTTGGGACCCGATAAGCCCCAGCCCCCCATAGACTGCGGCCTCCATGCCAGGTACAGGTGCTTCGGACCCTGCCAAGGAGCTACCTGGAAAGGGTGGTCGGGGGCCCCGCCCCTCTCCTACCTCCTGCCCCACCTCCCCCACACTGCCCCTCCCTGTCCTGCATCTCCCCACTCCTCCCCTCCTCACCCCTCCCCGCCCCACCTCTGTGCTCCCCTGGGCCCAGGTGTCAGCTGTTCGCTGCCCTCCTGCCCTGGTCCCCACGTCACCCCAGAGGCTGGCAGTTTTTCCCTGGGCCAGGAGCCCTCTGCTGGCTTCCCCTCCGGGGAGGTGGAAGGGTGGGCTTCGCACTCATGGGCCTGGCAGCTGAGGCCCCACAGTTTCACTGTCCCCCATCCCCCTTTCCCCATCGTGCCTCATCCAGTTACTCTATCTCCCACTTTTCAGAAACACAGGCCTCTTCTCCCTGCATGCCTTTTAGATGTTGAGTCCTTGGCTTGGCCAGCTTCTAGTATTCAAACCCGTAACAAAGGTTTTCTCCTCTAAAAAGTCTCCTTTGGGACAGCCTCCTCCCTGGGCTTTCACGACTCTGTCTGTGTTCACAACCCTCTTCCATGGCTCAGCCTGCACCTCACGGTGATCTCTCCTCTCCCTGTGAGCTCCTGAGGGCAAGGAGCTGGCCTTGCCAGCCTGGTGCTGAGTGATGGAAAGAGAAAACAATATTATGGGAAACACATTCTAACATTTAAGACGCAAAGCAATGCAGATCCTATTCTCATATGGAGGAGAGAATTGTCCCTTCAAACGCGTGGCAGATGGACTGCGTCAGCAATAACAGAAGGGGGTAAGAATGTTGCCTCTGGAATCCTGTGGATGCCTGCTGCCTTTCCAGGAGCTGCTGGGTCGTCATGTCCCTGGCCCCAGCCCTCAGGCTTTGGGGCCACAAACCCCAGCCGTCTCTGGCTTCCCTCCTAGTCCCTTGCACCACCAGGCTTGGTGTCCCCCAAGGGGCTATTATGGATCAGGCCAGCATCATCAGGGAGACAAAAATTATAAGTGTTACTTTGAGTGAAACGGTAATTTGGGTTTTACAGACAAATCATTCATGTCAGCGGATCAGTGTGTCCATGGAGCAGAGCCCAGCCAGCAGCCTGGCAGGTATCGACCCAGCTGACTTGGCCAGTGGGCGGCGGTGCTAGACGCTCGGTCAGTTCCAATGGATTTTTGGAGAGGAGACCAGGATATTATCATCAACACCAGAAGACTTAGCCCGGGGTGACTTAGTCAACACACCCATAAAAATTCAATGAGGCTTACAGCTGGCTCTAAGTTGAAGTCAATTTTTAATCATGATACTCATACTGGCGCGCTGTAGATGTTATAGCAACGGTTTCATTAATATTAAAAAACCTTTTTCTCCTCTCATTTTTGTGCATGAAAATGAGCCACTTTACACAGGTTCCGGAGCATGTGCCAGGATCGCTTTGGGCCCTCTGGGCCGCCCCGAGGAAGACACAGCCTCTCCCAGGGCGTTTTATGGAAGCCAGGATGGAACTGCCGCAGGTGCGGGCTTCTCATGCCTCCAGTGCATTTGTTACTGGGGTGAGACGAAGTCGCCAATATCCATTTACTTAGAGAGATGAAATGTGTCTAATGAACTTGCTATGTCAGATGGCAGCAATCAACTTGAAACACATTGCAAACCAGCCGGCAAAAGGTTTCACATTTTCACCAGAGAGGCTTCCTCTAGCATCAAATAATATTACCAGAGTAAGTTTTTGTACAAATAGGTTCTACCGTGAGGCTCCGATGATGGTCTCTAAGGGAGAGGTTGTAGAGGAGGTGGGACTGAGCTCATTTACTTCTGTATGGTGTGTCATTTACATATGTGCAGGTCATTACATATGCACAGATCATTACATATGCTTAGCTCCTATGCAAAGCTGAGCCCCCTCAGGGTATTAAGCAGTAGGGAACTATTGATGGGTGCTCACCTCAGCCTTACCTTGTGTGGGGGACTGTCCTTGGCCAAAGGTCTCCTCTGCTTGCCCCCCTCCAGTGAGACTTGAGTGGCTGACCCTGGGCTCAGAGCAGGATTAATGTGGGAGGGACACAGGAATCACTCAATAAGTGCATGTAAAACTGAATTGACTTCAAAAATGAAATTAAACCAGCCCAATCCCAGGACTAGGGTGAGTTTTCATTGATGATCAAGGGTGATCAAGGGTAGTTAAGGGTGGTTAATAATAGTCAAGGTTGTTCAAGGATGGTCCAGAGGGGTCAAAGGTAGTCAAGGGTGGTCAAGGGTAGTTAAGGGCAGTCAAGCGTGGTCAATAATAATAAAGGGTGTTCAAGGGTGGTCTAGAGTGGTCAAGGGTAGTTAAGGGTGGTCAATAATGGTCAAGGGCATTCAAGAGTGGTCTAGAGTGGTCAAGGGTAGTCAAGGGTGGTCAAGATTGGTCAAAGGGACAGGGTCCAGTTAGCAGGAAGGGGTCCTCCCAGCGACTGTGCAGTGCTGTGGAGGGAGGTGGCCTCCAGAGAGCCCCCTCCTATCACCAGGAGTCAGCCAGCAGGGCTGGCGGTCCCCAGTAGGCAGTGGGGACATGGAGGATCCCTGTATATGTGAACAGTTGCAGCATTGGTCTATCACAATGATTTTCTTAAAGAAGAACCAAATACAGTTTGTTTTTTTAAAAAGATGATTTTGATATCAGATGTTGGCTTTTGTCATCTCCAGCGTTGGATATCTTTCTTGCCGTTTAGTATATTTACCAAAAAGTAAGAAGCACGCTAAAGTTAGGATGGAGTGCAGATGGATTTGGGGCACCCTCTATGACTTGAGTCAGAAGAGCTGAGGCTGCACCCCAGGGAGCTCGCCCAAGCTACAGGAGAATTCCAAAGGTAATCTAACCCTTGACAGTCAAAAGAGCTAGGAATGCATTTGCATTTATTTTTTTATTTGGTCACAAGCCTGAGGCCTTCTGAGGGTGGAAGACTGGCAGAGCAGAGCTAGGGGCAAGAGGGAACGTCTGTAATTTACGAGTGACCTTGTTTCTGCCATGTGAAGTGCTGGGCACGAGTTCCGTCAGGGGCCTAAGGCGTGGATCTGAATGAAATCAGATGATTGAAATGACTAATTTCCAGATGAGCACTTTATAATGCTGGAGTGTGAACCTTTAAAAAGACAATAGATTATTGATGGATGGATCCGATGGGACCTGAAGCAAAACAAGGACTTTATTATGACAAGGTCAATAGTAGTGTGCTGTGAAACACATATATGTATATATAGTTCCATACAAATAACGATTGTGTTTGGGGAAGGGCCCACAGCCCATGTATGTAGGGGTTGCACAGCTGCCTTGATCATCAAGATAAAGACAAGGACTTGGATATTTGGCAGGAGGGGCAGGAGAAAGGGGAAGTTGTCTAAATCACATTCCTTCACTAGTGATTCTGAGTGCCATGAGCTAGGAGTGTATTAGAGCCCAATGGAGTAGGTCGAACGTTAGATGAGAGCTGGACAGAAGCAGCGTTTCCAGGCCAGCAGCGTTTTATCTATGATGTTCTAATAGTCACGGCATATTCTAATAGTCTAATAATAATGATGAAACACATGAAAAATAAGCACCTTATGTGCTTACAGGCACTGTCGTGAGAGCTTCACGTATATGAGTTACAGTCACGCCCCACATAAAGGTGCTTCTGTCCCTCGGATGGCATGTACGGTGGGGCTCCCATGAGACCCCAGTGCAGCTGAACTGTTCCTATGACCTCGTGACACTGGGATGCTCCTGACCCTGTGTAGTCTAAACTAATGTGTGTGTTTGTGTCTTCGTTTTAAGCAAAAAAGTTGAAAGAGTAATAAATAAATAAATAAATAAAAGTAGAAGAAAGCTTATAGAATAAGGATATAAAGAAGGCATATTTTTGTACAGCTGTACAATGTGCGTTTTCAGCTAAGTGTTATTACAAAGGAGTAAAAAAGCTTAAAACAATTAAAAGTTTATACATCAAGAAGTGACAGTAAGCTAAGGTTAATTTATTATTGAGGAAAGAAAAAGACTTTAAAATAAATTCAGCAGCACAGTATTTAGAAAGCCTGCTGTGGTGTACAGGAATGTCCTAGGCCTTCCGCATTCATGCACCACACACTCACCGACTCACCCAGAGTGGCTTCCAGTCCTGTGAACTTCATTCATGATAAGTGCCCTATACAGGTCTGACCTTTTAAATTTTGTTTTTTTTTTGAGATAGACTCTGGCTCGGTCACCCAAGCTGGAGTGCAGTGGTGCAATCTTGGCTCACTGCAACCTCCGCCTCATGGACTCAAGCAAATTCTCCTGCCTCAGCCTTCTAAGTAGCTGGGACTACAGGCATGTGCCACCACACCCAGCTAATTTTTGTATTTTTAGTAGAGGTGGGGTTTCACCGTGTTCAGGCTGGTCTCGAACTCCTGACCTCAGGTGATCCACTCGCTTTGGCCTCCCAAAGTGCTGGGATTACAGGCGTAAGCCACCACACCCGAGGTATGCCCTTTTAAAAAAAGGTTTTTAACCTTATTTTAACTGTCCCTTTTCTATATTTAGATATGCTTAAACACACAAACAACACTGCGTTACAATTGCCTACGGTACTCAGTACAGTCCTCTGCTGGACAGGTTTGTTGCTGTTTTAGGAGCTGTGGGCCGTGTCATGCAGGCTGGTGTGCCATGGACCGTGTCGTGCAGGCTGCTGTGTCGTGGACCGCGTCTTGCAGGCTGCTGTGCCGTGGGCTGCGTCGTGCAGGATGCTGTGCCGTGGGCCGTATCGTGCAGGCTGGTGTGCCGTGGGCTGTGTCATGCAGGCTGCTGTGTTGTGGGCCGTGCTGTCCAGGTGTGCACAGGTGCACTCTGCATTGTTCACAAAGCGATGAGGTCACCCAGGGATGCATTTCTTGGAATGTATCCTCATCATTAAGCGACTCATGACTGCACTTTAATCCTCCCCTCAACCGTATGGGGTATGACAGTTTGGTTTAATAGGTGAAGAAACTGAGGTACAGACAGGGTAAGTAACGGGTCCAATGTTGCTCAGCTGTGAGAGGCAGAGCGGGGGTGCGAAATGGCTTCATCATGATCCTGCTGGCCACTGATCGGAGGAGGGCCCTGCCTGCCACCAGGAAGGGTCAAGCCTACCTGAAGGGGGTTGCAAGAGGTAAAAGGGATGTCTGCAAGGTCGATCTTTTTGTGTGGATACTTTCATCATAACTTAGGTTAGAATTCTTACCTGAGGCTGTAAGGCTTGCCTATCAATCCTTCTTCCCACAGCAGGGATGGTAACCGGCTTGAGCGCGAGGCAATGCCTCATTGGTCTTGGTAGCCCAGAATCTGGTGCAGATCCTGCCAGAGAGAGGTGCTCAATAAATGTTAGATGTGTAGTGGGTTCTGAGGACCACTGGAGAGAAGGCATGTCTGGGAACCCGTCCCTCTCGTGGCTCAGACCAAGGTCCTGGCTACTCAATGTCTCTTCCCTGACCATGGCCACAGGTTCCTCCAATTTTATCATTGTTGATTTGGAACTCTGATTCTACTTCTTAATTTAGCAATGCTTCATTACTGTTCCTACAGTCACCACTTTTCTTGTTGAAGCACATCCTTTGGTGGTTCTCTTGTGAGGGTGAGTGGTGGAACTGTCTTCTTTATGCTCCCTATGCTGCAGTGGGTAGGAGGAAAGTTCCATGGTGACCGTTGCTACTTCGATGGGGTCTGCAGCCTGTCCAGCTGCTGTCCCATCACAGGCCCTGCTTGGCTCTTTGGTGGCAGAGCTGATGCCATCTGTCTATGTTCCCTTGACTTCTTTTCTATGCTCCTGCTCTCAAGCTCCCGGCAGGCAGGAACTGAACCTCCTTGCTGGATGGCTGCTGTCAGGTTGCAGGAGCCCGCTCTGCAGCACACAGATGTCCACAAAGGCCTGAGAAGGCATGTGCTGCAGGGGCAGCCCCAGTTAGGACCGCCCAGAGGTGTCACCCGCACTGTCTTCAGAACCATGCGATTTGTCCACATCACACTCCTGCACAGCCTCTGTCCCCTCCTGGACCAGCATTTAATTCTCTCGGGGCCTGCTCCTGCGGAATCCAACCTCAGCCCACAGCTGTAAAATATTTCGTGTACAGCTAACCCTCGGTTTCACTCCTTGTGTTTACCTTTAAATTTATTTTTTATGTAACCTGCTTTCAACTTAGACTTGCATTCCTTCAGTTTTTGAAAAATATTGCCACTATCTGTTCAGATGCTGAGTTTTCATAATTCTCTTCTTCTGGAACTCCTAGTAGGTGAACACTGGATCATTTCGATCTCTCTTCCAAGTTTCTTTCACACTTCTAATTTTACGGTTTTTCTGTACCGTGTTGTGAACGAATTCCTCATCAACATTTTCCAATTCACAAACTCTCCTCTCAACTCTTTCCAGTCTGGGATATATCATATTGGTTGGATTATTTCTTTATTTCAGGAACTGCATTTTGCAATCTCCGAGATTTGTGGTTGGATTTTTTTTTTTCACATTTACCTCTTCTTGTTTTATTTCTGCCTGTTCTGTTTCAAAATTCCTCACTGGGCCTTGACTTATTTCTTTGACATTTACTTACACTTCAGTACAAGCCCTTTGATGCCAGGGCTAGGGTCTGCACGAGACTTCCCCAGTGGTCATCGCCAGCAGCTCCGTGTCGGACTCTGCTGACTGGGGGCACTGGGGAGAGCAGGGGCAGCAAGAGAAGTGAGGGGCTCCCTGCTGTCATTCCGCAGCAGCTGGGATGCCGAGCACTTCCTATTCATCATGATATCTACTGCCTTTCATTTACTCTAAAATTCCATTGCTTATATGATGCACCAGCCATTTGTGTGCTCTTTAGAAAGAAACAATGCTGCCGATTAAACAAGGTCATGTTGTTTATGGAAAGATATGTCCAGACTTCAGAGATGTTGAAATATGAAAAGCTATGGCTAAGATGGTGGGGTTTTAAAGTGTTTGTTAGACAGTTTTCTAACATTTATGTTCAGACTGATGGTTTTGTGTGCTGTCTTCTTCTTTTTGAAGAGAGCCTCATCCTGCCCCTGTTTGCTATGTGTGCACTCCTGCCAGCCCCCGGGATGAGTTCCCTTTCCTCTTCTTTGCACCCTGAGGGGGCAGGGCTGCCACAGCCATTCTGAGGAAGAGGTTTCTGTTGTTCAGAGATGCAGCCTCACTCACCAAGAGTCACATGGGAGTAAAAATGCTTTTGGTTCTCCGCAAGTGTTCTTTTTCTTTTTCCACTTCTTTCTCTCTACTCGTTTGGATGGTAGACATTAAACACCTATTCTTAGCAGATGTCCTAGATATTTTAACATATATATAATTCATCTAGTCCCGGAGTGCCAATGCTTTCATTCTCCTTTTTGAACAACCGTAGATCTTTCAGTGCTGAAATTCTGATCGTCTATTTCTGAACCTCTTGCATCTTTGTCCGGGATTCTTTCCCCACCGACTCCCGCAGAGCAGGCCTTGTTTGTAATGAGTCAATGTTTGTTTCAATGCCATGAGTTCCCACCATCTTCACTCTTCTTGCATCACGGACCTTCCGTCTGAGGTCCTTCCCTTCTGCCCAAACTGCATTCTTTAGAATTTCCTTTGCCTGGGGTCTCTTGGTGTGTGGTAGGCTGCAAAACTGCCCATACATTCTTTCCCTACCAAGCCTGCTTCTCCACCCCTTGGAGCTGGCTTGGAAAGGGGATACTGGCAGATGTGTGTGAGGTGCTTGCCTGTGGCGGTGGAGGGGGGCTTGCTCTCCTCCTGCTTTGGACCCTGGGCCACCTTGTGCATGAACCTGAACAGGAGCGTTCAGGTCCCAGGCAGCAGCGGGTGTGGAAAGGGGGCCATCCTGGGTCACCCAGCAGCTGACCAGATGCCAGCTGACCGCAGGAACAGGGGAGAGCAAAAGTCAGCTTGGCCCCTCCATCCGCAGCCCAGCGAACTCTCAGGAGCAGGTGCAGGGGAGAGCAGAAGTCAGCTTGGCCCCTCTGTCCACAGCCCAGTGAACTCTCAGGAGCATGAGGGTTTACACCGTGAAGCTCTGGGGTGGTTTGTGCTGTAGCAAAGCTAATTTGCATGGTGACAAACTTAGTGCTATCTTCCTGAAATATCTTTGTTTCATCTTCATTCTAGAGACTTCTAGCATTGGTGTAGAATTCTAGGTTGAAAACTATTTGTCTTGGAACTTTGAAGATGTTCAACTGTCTTAACTTGCATTTTGCTATTGAGAAGTCAGCAGTTAATCTGTTTTTCTTTTGTACGCAACAGTCCCTCCCCCGCCACCCCCAGCTATTTCTAGATGCTTTTAAGATTGTTTTCATTGTCTTTGATGTTTTTTAGTTTCAAATAATGCATTTTGGTGTGGATTTTATAATATTCATCCTGCTTGAAAGTTGAGGGGGCGGATTTTAGGATCTGAGGTTTAGTGTCTTTTTGTTTTTCGAACATTATTAGCTGTTATCTCTTTAAATACTGCCTCCTTCTCATTTTTCTCTCTACTCCCTTTTGAAATTCAAATAGATTAATGTGAGACCTAATTCATCTTATCTTCCATGTCTTAATGTTTTCCATCACTTTCATACTTTCCATCTCTTTGTCTCTGGACTGCATCCCTGATAACATCTTCTGACACATCTTACCAAGTTTCTCTCAAACTCCAGCTAGTCTGCTGCTTTTCACTCATATTTTACCAGAAGTTTTATTTTTCAAATATCTTGTTTCTTACTAATACATTTAATCTTCCTTTTGAAACTTCCTTCCAATTTTTAAAACATGTTAAAATGTTAATATTATATTAATGTTATATGTCTGGTGTTTCCAATATCTATGGTCTTACTGAATCTATTTTTGCTTTTCTGTTTTTCCCACTCACTTACACTCATGGCACCTTTGTTCCTTGTGTATGTTGTGTGGGGAACTCATCTTCCTTTGAATTGGGAGTTCTTTGAGACCTGGGTTGAAGTTGAGAGGACTTTTTCTCCATTTCTCCCTCCTTTTCCCTCCCCTCCCATCCCCTCCCCTCCCCTCCCCTTTCCTTTCCTCCCCTCCCCTCCCCTTCTCTCCCCTTCCCTTCCCTTTCCTTCCTCCTTCTTTCCATTTCTTCTTATTCCTCTTCCTCCTTCTTCTTCCTTTCTCTCTCTTTCAACTTTTGAGGTTACTTGGGCCATCTATATCTGGAACTACTTTAAAGTTTATCCTGAGGTTTTCGGGGTCACACAGGGTAGCCTCATTGATCACAAACCTGTTTGAGGACCCATTTGCTGTTACGACTACAAGATGAGATTACGTTTTTCCCTTTACATAATTCCAGGGTTGAGACAGGTAAATTTTCTTTCTGCCCCCTTCTGAGTGATCGGTTTATTTGTTGTTCACTCTTACACTGGGCATAGCCCACAGATGGTCCCAGATTCATCTAGGGGTCTCCTGTGTTTCCCTGCTGTGGGTGAGTGCTGGGCCCCATCTTCTTCTCCCCACAGTGCTCGGGGGCTCTGAGGTGTGGCGTGTACCTGTGGGGTAAGTGCTGTTGGCTGGGTGCACCCCCAGGCTCTGCTTTCACCTCCCTTTCAGGGCCTGTCCAGGCATTGCCACTGTGCTGGCCCATGGATTTGAAATAGGTTCAAAATATCTCACCTTTTCTCTGTTTCGGTGTTTCTCTGTTCGGTGTTTCTCTGTTTCGGTGTTTCTCTGTTTGGTGTTTCTCTGTTTCGGTGTTTCTCTGTTTCAGTGTTTCAGTGTTTTGGTGTTTCTCTGTTCGATGTTTCTCTGTTTCGGTGTTTCAGTGTTTTGGTGTTTCTCTGTTTGGTGTTTTGGTGTTTCAGTGTTTCTCTGTTTCGGTGTTTCAGTGTTTCGGTGTTTCTCTGTTCAGTGTTTTGGTGTTTCAGTGCTTCAGTGCTTCTCTGTTTCGGTGGTGGGTGCCAGGATGCTGCTGAAGGATAAGCTGTCCTCAGGGTCTCAGCATCAGGTTTCCTCTCAGCTGGAGTCTTATTGTTTGCAGACTCATTGTCAGTGGGAGGAGTTTTGCTCTGTTTTGTTTTGTTGTTAGTCCGTTTCTCTTTCTTGCCCTCCCTCCATTCCTGCTGCACTTCTTTCTAGCGGCTTTGCAGTTGCCTCCTGCCTAAAGGCCCTGTCTCATGGCAGTGGTTGGGCTTCTGTCCCACTGGAGCATGGGGTGTCTCCCAGATGGAGCCATGGTTGTCAGGGGATTGACTCACTACTGAACCCTGAGGTTCAGGGCCTCCTGCCTACCCTGGCTTGTGGGTTCAGGGTGCTGAAGTCCTCATGGAGGTCTGGCAGCTTTATTGGGGGGGCAGGGTCCCTTCATGCTGGGCACCTGGCTGGGGTTCCTCCACCCTGTATGGGCAGTTTCAGTCTCTCCACCGTTCAGAAGCAGCCCGCTGGCCCTGCTGCCCATTACCAGACCTGAGGTCCACAGGCCGGGGTCTTTGGCCACCCGTAGTGCTGTGCTTGTCATTAGCGGACACCAGGCTACATCCTTCATGGCTTTTTTCAGCGCCTGCCATGTGTCTGGAGCAGAGAAGAAAATGAAGTGTGAATGCCCTGCCCCCTCCTGACCACAAGTTCAAGATGTAACTTTGAAGCCTATACTCTGGTAGCGATTATTTTGTGGACAGAATAATCTCCCAATTAAAAAGTGACAAGTTTTCTTTATGTGGGTTCATTTCTTCCTGAAGAGACATCCTGCAATTGATAACGTGAGCTTGCAATGTCTGTGCAAGTCCTGGTTGTCTCACCTGATAGCTGTAATCACCAGCCATCACGTGGCTCCTCTGAGCCTTTATCCTCATTGGTACAACTCTGCAAATTCATCTCATGGATGACTATTTCCCAAGCATCTCTACATGCCAGGCTCCGACATGCAGGCAGGAGAATGCCCCAAAGATGTCCCCATTGAATGCCCCAGGGCCTGGGGGTATGAGGGTTACATGATCAAGGAGAGTTACAGCTGCTCACTGCTGACCTGCGTGTGGGGAGAGCCTCCTGGTTACCCAGGGAAGCTGATGTCTTCGCAGGGCCCATGAACACAGAAGAGGGAGGCAGGAGAGGAGGCCAGAGCCAGTGGAGGCCAGAGTGGTGCTGCACCGCCAGCTCTGAGACGGCCTAGGGGCCACCAGCCAGGGAAGGCAGATGCCCACGGAAGCCGGAAAGGGTGAGGAAGCGGATGTGTCCTGGAGCCTCGGAAAGGAACACAGCTTTTCTGAGACCCTGATTTTAGTCCAGTGAGGTCCAGGCCAGGTGTGGGATCTCCAGAGCTGTTGGATGGTAACTGTGCTGCTAGAGCCTCCCCGTTTGTGAGGATTTGTCACAGCGGCTGTAAGGTACGAATACAGCCATACACGGTGACTGGCTTGGGAAGTGATTCCCTGTCAGGGCAGAGGGCGTCTAACACCCTGATGTCCTGACCAGGTTAAGGGCCTTGGGCTTCCTCCCGCAGCCTCCGGTCTCCGGGTCCTACCACCAGCCACGCAGCGACTACTAAGGGGAGCACAGATGCCTGGTCCCAGCCAGACAGTAATTGATAGGCAGCCGCAGGGACCACTTCTGATTCATTCACGTTGAAAAATACCCTAGGTGTATTTTTATGGTGCCGTGCGGGGTGGTGAGACTTTGCGGCCATGGTTTTCCCACAGATTTTTCAGGGAGGATTCTCCGCAGCCGCTTGCTTCGAATGCTTTTGACAGGGCAGCTGCCATTCACAGCCCTGTGGTCTCAACACTGATGACTTTGGATTTCACTGAGGGCAGGGAGCCACTTGTCCCTCTTCAGTAGAGGGATGTGGACTTAAAGATGGCCCTGCAGGTCAGCGCAGGGCGAGCCAGCTGCTGAGGGAAGCTGGGCATGTCCCAGTTAAGCAGAGAGGGCTGGCGCTGGCTGTGGGGCTCCTGAAGTCCGGCCGCCTCTTTCCTGGATGGGAGTCTCCAGGGCTGGGGGAGGGTGGGCGGGAGCAAAGCCACCTGCGCACTGAAGGTGACCCTGACGTGGGGCCCCTGGGTCACGGCTCCTCTGAGGCCTCTTCCTGTGAAATGGAAGCAGCACCCCAGCCTTGTTTCTTTTGTTTTGTTGCCTTGTGATTTCTTTTCATGCCCCAGCAGGCAAGCCGAGGCCTCATTCTTTCCATACGTCCCTCTCTGCTCTCCGGGGCCAGGGCTGGGCCTCCGGAAGCAGCATGTCCCTTTTGCTCTGTGGAGGAGCAGGTGCTGGCCACTCTGCTCATGTGTTCCGCTCCAGGGAGAATCTCATCTGCTCTGTGGGCTCCTGGGAGGCCACCTGGGTGGAGCTTGTTGGGTACACAGCCCTGGGGTTGTTGTGGAGCTGACAGCCTTCCTGGGTGGAAAGACTGGCTCCCTGGAGTGAGGGGAGGAAGCCAAGGGGCTGACCAGGGCTTGGGCCTCTGCCCATCGGCCTGTGTGGGGAGGGAGCTCCCTCTTAGCTCCCTCATGGGCTCCGCTGGCCCCAGCAGGCTGGTTTCTCATGACTCTCATGTCAACCCCTTGTCCTCCAAAGTCTTACACATACGCACACACGTGCATTCACACACACGCACATGCATACACACACGCATGCACACACACGCACACAAGCAGACTTGCACACACATGCATACATGCATGCACACACACATGCACATGCACACACATGCACACACGCAGACATGCACACACATTCACACATGCAGACATGCACACACATGCACATGCACTCACATGCACACATACGCACACACATACACATGCAGACATGCACACACATGCACATGCACACATACACACATATGCACATGCATGCACACATATGCACACATGCACATGTGCGCACACACATATACACATGCACACAGCACACTCATGCCCAAATACACCCTCACACACTCTCATAGTCACACACACGCACTCGTGTTCATGCCCAGGGTGCGGAGCTGTTCCCTGGGAAGCTGTTCCCGCTCTCTATGAGATTGTGATGGGGATGCAGGCACAGCTGGTGATGTCTCACACCCTCCTCAGTGGAGCTCCCAGGCTGGGGGGTTCCCAGGGGCTCTTCCTTTGCTCCGGGTTCCAGTGAGTGCTCGTGTGGAGCTGCTGTTCTGTGTGCTTGAGCTGCGGATATCGAGTGGAATGTGTGACGTTGCCGCTCCTTCTCACCCTGAGTGCCTGCAAGCACCCAATCAGCCGTGTTATTGACCGGGCATTCAGCGCTGTGCAGTTCCCCGAAAAACACACAAGGCAGAGTAGAGAAGGCCTTGGTGTCCTACGGGCTTAGAACTTTTAGCTTTTTAATATATTGTTGGGAAAAATGGCAAGACTTTGACATGCAGGAATAGCGGTCACCACACGTCTGGTCTACCACACCCTGTGCCGCCTGATTCTGGAGGGGCCAGTGTCTTTCACTGTCTGTGGGCTATTTCATTTTATTTTATGGCATAGAAACTTACAGGCATGTAAATGACTGTGGCCCGTAGAACTGCAAATACATTTTATCCGGGTCATACAGTTGACCTTGGACAATGACCAGTTTTTGATTTACTCACACACTATGTCATCATCCCTGGTTGCCTGTGTGTGGGTAGAGATGTTTAATTCTTTTTTTAACCAATTGTAATAATTTATGATTTCTTCACTTGTTAATAAGTTAAATAAAATCTCTGCCACGTGTTTTTATGTAACCATTTTATGAACGTCGTATCCTTTAAGGACATGCAAGTGAGAATGTTGTTGTTTTTGTGATTCATCGTCCCCCTCAAAGAAATGTAAACTGTTAACTAAGTGTTCTGAGAAGGACTCACAAGTGGCACCTGTCCTGTACGGCCACCCCCATTTCTTAAATGCACATGATCGGTCTTTAGCATGTACTATCCAAGGGAAGATCAGGGATAACATGATAAACAGAAAAAAAAATAAATTAAAAAGCTGACTACTTCCCCAGTGCTCGTAGCAGGTGTCTGAATGATTCTAGTGCCCATACATAAAAGTTAGACCTCCATGTGGGTTTAACATGGCAGCCTGTTGGTGTTTCTTCCTTTTCTTTGTTGCATTAGAAGAATAGAATTAAACAGTTTCCTCCCCTTGCTGTGTCTTTGGAGGACCAAGCACTTCCAGGCCTCGGGGAAGGGTCCTCTGCCTGGGTTCAGAGCTCTGGGCTGGTTGCACCATCACGGCTGGTGGTGAACGGGGAGCAGAGCCTTTCCTTTGTGTGGGGGAATAAAGAGAAGATAAAGCAGGAGACTTGAGAGGATGAGGAAAGAAGGCATGGGGAGAGGTTTCCAGAAGAAGCTACAGAAGCAGAAGCTGATCCCGGGGAACTCTGCCTGACATGTTGGGAAGACCCTGGGCATGGTGGGGAAGTGGGAGCCGGCCGTCACCACCTCAGGCCTCAGAGACAGTTTTCCTTCTGGGGACTTTCCTCAGCCAGTGCCCGCCCCTCACGTGTACGTGTGACTGCCTCAGACTTTGCTGGGTGGTCCTAGCCACCCCACACTGTGCCATATGAGCCCCTCCCTGATGAGATTCCAGAATCCCCTGGCTCCAGGCAGGTGGTGGCGAGGAGCCGCTGCAGAAGGGGTCAGCTCAGAGCTCCTGGGCTGAAACAGTAGTTAGCAGGACCAGCTACGGAATTTGCACAGCTCAGTGCAAAATGAAAATGGGAGGCCCCTTTGTTTCCAGACCACACTAAAGGTCGGGCTGCTATTTCTATTTCTCATGGCCCAATAATGAGACGCAGAAAAACTGAGGAGGAAGAGGGTGTTTATTTCTGCAACCGGTTACAGGGAGAAGGCCTGGAAATTATCGCCAGACTAACTCAAAATTACAAAGTCTTCCAGAGCTTATGTACCTTCTAAGCTCTATGTCTACATGTAAGTGTACATTCGTCTACAGACATAAGTGATTAACTTCTTCTAATCTATAACTGACGTCTGAGTCCTGAAGACCTTCTTCTGGAGCCTCAGTAAGTTTACTTCATCTAGATGGGTCCAGGTGCAGGGGTGATGCCAACGTCCTAGTGCCAACGTCCCTCCTGGAGTTCTGGTGAGGTTCATATGCTGGTGTACGAATTCCTCTCTGTCCTCTAAAAAAGAGGCAGTATTATTAGCTATGTGGTAATTAACTTCAAGCATACTTATGCATAAAAATTACAATGCCTGTGTAAGTCTATTCTTGTCTCCTGTGAGATCACAGAGGTTTGGGGATTTCCTTCAGATCCCCAATCAACTTGTTTGTGGAGGTCTGGAGAGTTTCTTCAGACCCACAATAAAACTTATTTAATCCTAAATGGGTTCTGTTAAAAATTTCTTTGTCATTTTGTCATCCTTTAAAGTCCAGGAAAGGCCTAGCCTTTGTATAAGGGCACTGGCTTTTAATATTTAACTTAACCACTCAGTCAGTACTAAAACAGTTGTTAGTGAGACCTGGCCTGCCACACGTTGCGAAAACAAAACAAAACAAAACAAAAAAACAACACATTAAAACACAAAACAAAATAAAACACAAAAACAAAAATAAAAAACCATTGAGACTTTGAAGACAGCAATGACAGAGGCTAAGACCAGGCCTTGCCTTCCTAGTGCCAGGCCCCTTGCATGGATCCAACCCTGGTGACTAATGACAATGTCCCTCCTGGAGTTCGGGTGAGGTTCATATGCTGGTGTACGAATTCCTCTCCGTCCCCTGAGAAAGAGGCAGTATTATTACCTATGTGGTAATTAACTTCAAACATACTTATGCATAAAAATTGCAATGCTTGTGTAAGTTAACCATAATCTACATCTTAGGAGCTGCTTGAAATCTTCTATCATGGATCCACACTGTGCAGGTGGTTACTTAGCACTTTCAATGTCATTATCGAAATCTATACCAGAGGGTTTAATTCTGGTGCAGATACCAGATGTTAGAAATTGTTTTTCACTGGTAAACTGAGGATTATTCAATATAAGCAGAGGCTTAGAAAGATTGTTCAGGCCCAGCCAGTCCCTGGAAGCAGCTGGAGTTTCAAGAGCCCAGCACCCTGATACCTTTAGTGCATTCCTTGGGGCCTAGAACCCGTGAGTCCTGCCCACCTCTCCCCTGCGATGCAGGGAGAACCTGTGAGTCCTGCCCACCTCTCCCCTGCACTGCAGGGAGAACCCGTGAGTCCTGCCCACCTCTCCCCTGTGACGCAGGGAGGACCCGTGAGTCCTGCCCACCTCTCCCCTGTGACGCAGGGAGGACCCGTGAGTCCTGCCCACCTCTCCCCTGCACTGCAGGGAGAACCCGTGAGTCCTGCCCACCTCTCCCCTGTGATGCAGGGAGAACCCGTGAGTCCTGCCCACCTCTCCCCTGCGATGCAGGGAGAACCCGTGAGTCCTGCCCACCTCTCCCCTGCGATGCAGGGAGAACCCGTGAGTCCTGCCCACCTCTCCCCTGCGCTGCAGGCAGAACCCGTGAGTCCTGCCCACCTCTCCCCTGCGCTGCAGGCAGAACCCGTGAGTCCTGCCCACCTCTCCCCTGTGCTGCAGGGAAAACCCGTGAGTCCTGCCCACCTCTCCCCTGCACTGCAGGCAGAACCCGTGAGTCCTGCCCACCTCTCCCCTGCGCTGCGAGGAGAACCCATGAGTCCTGGCCACCTCTCCCCTGCACTGCAGGGAGAACCTGTGAGTCCTGGCCACCTCTCCCCTGCACTGCAGGCAGAACCCGTGAGTCCTGCCCACCTCTCCCCTGCGCTGCAGGCAGGATTCTGAGACTTGACTCGTGCGTGTTTGGTGCTTGCCGCCGGAACATCACTGCAGTGGCCTCAGAGTCAAGTTTTCAGGCGAAGCACTTTTCGGAATTCCTGAGGGCTGACAGCGGGGCTACCCCTGGCCACAAGAACAGGATTTTGTGCATACTTGGAAACATTTAGCAAAATCTGGTCTAAGACTTGTTTCATTGTGCCATTCCCCTTGTCACTGATAAGAAGGGGACTACAGCTCCCACCTGCCTCTAACCACTGGGACCTTCAGATAGTTACCAAAAGAGCCTGACCAGCCAAACTGGCCTATGCCAAATTAAAGTGGTGTGTTGATTGAGCATTGAATTTAAAAAAGTATCAAAAGTTCTGTAGGGTCAGGGAAAGGTGCTATGCTCATAATCCACTTGTATCCAGCATTTGTATTGTATTCTATAATTTTAAAAGTATTTCATCTATTCGGTGTTGATGTAAAACAAATTAGCATGCATGCTTGTAAGAAGTTGTCACTGACTGCAGAACAATTTTGCATTAAGTAAAATACGAGTCACAAATCTCAATGTGTGAACAAGTTAAGGAGAACTGAGAAGCAGTTTTTTGAATTTTGCTTTGACTTCAGAACACTCAATTTTCAATTTGCATCTGAAGCCATAGGAGAGATGACACCAGGTCAGTGGGTTCTGAGGCATCCTTGGCTGTATCTTTGCCGGGGAGGAAGGAGCACTTCCCAAGGCCAGTGGCCCAGGTGTGGCTACTCGTGGGGCCTCCACACTGCTCTGTCTGGTCCACAACACAGCTGCTCCAACATCCTTGAGCTCGTAAGTATCACGTCGTCACCTGAGGTCACGGAAGTTCATGAATAATCTTTTTAAAAGCCAAAATCATAAGTCGAATATAAAATAAATTCATGCCAAAGATTTTCATTTAACTCATTGGTTAACAAGGAACCAGTAATATAAAAACCAGTTTCAGTGAGACCCGGAGGAAGATACTGTATATACAATCGGGAATGTGGAAATGAATTTGCTGCTAGATACAAAGCTGTATCTTGTAGAACAACAATGTAATGCTTGCAAACGCTTTTCTGTAGGGCAGGAATCAATTGTATCTCTATGGGTCTACACTTCAGCTGCATCTCCATGCAAGAGTCCTCTGCGGCACCATCATCAGCCTTCTCCAGGCAAATGTCTATTTTTACTGAGGTGCAAAACAGCCCAGCCAAAGACAACCTGGAAGTGTTCAATGCCTTCTGCTACATTGAAAGCACACACAGTAACCTTTCTGACCATATCAAAGCTTTTCCTGATGTGAATTGTGTGTAAAAACTGTGGATTATGGTCTTAAGCTATGCATAAGGCCAAGAGAAAGACCGGAAATGAAACAGAAGACAGACGGATAAACAGCAGAGACAGAGCACCAGCAAAGACAGAAAGCCCCGGAGCCCCTTTGAAATGATCAAGGAAAGACAGAGAGACTTGGAGAACAACTCCCAGGACAGGTCCCCTTTGCCTGGTCGCTCCTCCTTGGAGGAAGTGGTGAGTTCTCTGTGGAGCCGCATTCCACATCACGTTTTCTCCTTGGGCTTCTAAAATGAGAACTCTTTAATGGGTCTTGACGGTTTTCAGCAAAGGTCAACAAACTTTTTCTTCAAATTCCTGAGAATAAATACCGGAGGCTTTGCAGGCCACTTGGTCTCTGCTGTGGCAGCTCCACTCTGCCTGCAGCATGAAAGCCGCTCCGTCGGTGGAAAACCCATCGGCTGTGGCCCTGCTCCCAGGAAAGCTGACTCACCCCCCCTGAAATTTAACTTTCAAGTGTCATGAAATAGTTTTCCTCTTTTGATTTTTTTCCCACTATTTAACGTGTAAAAACCATTCCTAGCTGTGAGTCATATGAAAACAGGAGGCAGGTGGGGCCCAGGTAAGCTGCAGACTCCCCGGGCAGACGTTCAAGCTCTTGTCCACTGCAGTGAGCGGGAGAAACCCACTGAAGGGGGCTTCTGGGGTGACTCCTCTGTGGTTCCTCGACATGTGCTCCCACCTCCAGCCCCAGCCCCACAGCTCCCCCGGCCTCTGAGGCTGCCAGCCCAAAGTGCCCCACCCTGAGGCCCCGTAACCCTGAGCTTTGAGAGCCCACTGGCCAGCACCTGGGCACTCACATCCTGTGTTCTGAGCTCCTGTCTGTCACCTGGACCTGGACTGTCGGGTAGGGGAATGCGACCGCAGATGCTCCACCTCCCCCCGCAGCGCCTGTGCTCCTACCTGCTTCCTTTGCTTCTTGATATGGAGGGCGGGGCCTCCTGCAGTTCCCCCAGGCCCCTGGATGTGGTGATTCCAGCTCTGTTGGTCCCTGCTATGGGATTTGCACCATTGGTGGAGACCAGGGAGGCCTCGCTGCCCAGGGTCAGCACCCTAGCAAGCAGGGCACGTGTGACCACAGCCCCGCTGTCTGCAGCTGAGAACCCAGAGCCCCGTGGGGCTGGGTTGGCCCCAGAGGTCAGAAGCAGAGGCTCTGGGAGGATTTTCTGGCTCTGTGTGACTCCTTTGTCTTTTCTGGTGTGTTGGAGTCACGCTGTCTGTCTGAACAGCTTGGGGCACCCAGGGTAAGTGAATGTGGGAAGAAAAGGGCATGGTGGGGGAGGGCCAGAGGGAGAGCAGCCTCCTGGAGGGGGACAGGCTGACATCAAAGGCAGTAGGGGCTCACCCCAGCCCCTGGGGTCCTGCATATGTCAGCCAGCCTGGAGCCGGGAGGCCAGAGGTCAGGTGGGAGAGGGTGGAAAGGTGCTCCACGGGCAGCTCCGGTCCCTAGGCCCCAGTGGGAGGCTGAGGAAGGTCAGAGGCTGTGCGTGTGGCAACAGCTAGGGAGTGGACAGAAACCCTGGAATTGCCTGAGGATTGTAAAATCATTTCATAAACCTTTACATACTGGATGATGCTGTTTTTCCTGTTTCATGTGCTTTAGTGAATAAGTATTTGGAAGGAAATGTATGGGCCTGCAGCGCCTTGCTCCTGAACTGTTTGTGCTTCACTGACAGACGGTGCAGCTTTGGTGGAAGGAGACCAGGCAGGCCTCGGGGAGGGGCTGCAGCCGGGTCCCGGGGGGTGAGCCCACTTCAGCTTTCCATCCTGAGGCTCCAGGGACAGGGAGGAGGCCACTGCCGAGCAGGCCAGAGAGGGCGGCGGCGTCAGGATGGCGCAGGTTGGCTGGGACTCTTGGCTACAGGTGCTGGTTGGGACTCTTGGCTACAGGTGCTAGAAACCAAACCAGCTAAAGCAAAATAAGCCATGTATTATAAGGACGCTTTATTTATTATAAGAGAGGTCTCAAGAATGTAGGATAGGAATGAAGTTGACCTCAAGACAGTGGGATCCGCGACCTAGATGTTCCCTCTCCATCCTCTTGATCCTGGAATCCGGGACCGAGAGGCCCTCTCTCCGTCCTCTTGACCGGCCTCCTCTGTGGCCAGCCTCCTGTGGCTGCATGGCAGGGGCCGAGTGCTGCAACCAGGCACAGAGCCAGCCTCGGGGCCCCAGACTTCCTGGACACAGGCTGTGTCCCACCAGCTGTCTGCTTCTGGCCCAGTGCGCTGAGGGGCAGATTCTGCTGCCACCTTGGTGGTCCCTCTAGTGGGAGGGTCGGTGTCCGTGGTGTGTGCCCCTGCCCTGGTGGGGCACTCGCTGCACAATTGCAGGGCTGCTCCCTCCCCAGTGAAGCAGAATGAGGGATCCTCTGGGATCTCTGCTCAATCTCTTTCCACACAAGGTCAAACCACAGCTTCAACAGGGATTTCTTTGGTTCCACCAGAATTCCTCACCGGACAGAGCCGCTGTGCACAGGCACACGGAGGGCAGGTGGGGCAGCCCAGGTGCAGGCCGTGGGAGGCACACTGTCTGCAGGGAGGTCTCTCAGCATTGACCCAGCTGGCTGCAAGGCGCTCTCCATGCGCAGGCGACTCTCAACACGTGGCCGCCCTCTTCCCCAGCCCCCTGTCGTGCCTCAGCTCCAGGCTGGGGAGCCGTTGGGAGGTATTTATATATTTTTTTGAGGAGATGATGACCAGACTGAGTAAGTCAAAGAAAATCGTGTGCCCTCCTTACAGAATCTGGTGTGTGTGTGTGTTAGAGGGAGAAAGGGAAAGAGAGCGGCTGAGGGGAAAAGGCCGGGTGTCCACTTTCAAGGAGGGTGGCCAGAGCTCTGAGTTACCAAGTGGCTCCCCAGTATAATGCCATTATGTGCCCAGGCCCCATGGAGTCCCATCCCAGCTTTCCCAGGACCCTGTGGGTGGCAGCGCCAGGCTGTGAACGTGAGACCAGGCCCACAGCCAGGCAAGCTGCCACTCTGGAACCCAGAGCCCTGCTGGAAAGGCTGGTGAGCGGCCCATCCTCAAGAGTGGATGCCCAGCTGTGGGGAGGTGGTGGCAGGTGGCCACTTCCCACTTGGCAGGGACGTTCTCCTCTAACACGCACGCAGGGTTTGTGTGCGCAGAGCAGGCTGCTCTGATTGCTCTGATGAGGAGGGGATACAGAACACAAGCCTGACTCGAAGGCTGTGGGACGTGCCCCCATGCTGGCCCCTCCCCAGCAGGCGCCCACCTCCTCCCCAGGCCTGGCGGCAGACGAGCTGGTCTTCCGTGCGATGCTGAGGCAGAGCCGGGGGCACGTTCACCTACGGGCGGGGCTGTGTTGCCCGTGGCTGCTCCCGGAGGAGGAAGCCCAGGGGACTCGTGACACTCTGAGTGCTTTCCCTGCGGGTCGACGGCCAGGCCACCTGGAGCCAGAGGCCCTTCCTCCCTCGTGGCTGCCTCTTTTTCCTTCTCCTGCTGTCCCTGGGTCCAGGTGATGGCCTGGGGAGCTGTGGGACACTCTTGTGCTAACACTGCTCTGCATGCTGCTCTGCGTGTTGCTCTGCATGCTGCTCTGTGTGTTGCTCTGCATGCTGCCCTGCGTGTTGCTCTGCATGCTGCTCTGCGTGTTGCTCTGCATGCTGCTCTGCATGCTGCTCTGCGTGCCCTCCGAAGCTTGGAGCTGTAGATGATACCCCTCCCCCAAAACTCACTGAAGCTGGGAGTGGGAAGGGGAGGCACAGAGCCCTGCCCGCCCTTGACTTGGCCACACAAAAGGGGCGCTGGGCTCCCGGTGAAGCCTTGGCCCTCGGCTCGGGTGAAGGTCAGCTCTGACCCAGTCCCCCACCTGCCTCAGCTGACGCCTGGGGCAGCTCCCTCACCGCTGACCTGCCGCCCGATTATGGGGGTCAGAGTCCTGCATTCCTGCGGCGAGTTCCGCCCACTGGTGTTAAACAGCTCCCTTCCTGATCCTGCATAATCCCTGTCCTGTGGAGCAGCCTCCTGCCCTGCAGGCGTGGTGTCAGCCTGCGCCTTCCTGTCCTTTGGTGAGGATGCTCCGGCCTCTGCTTGAAGCAGGTGGAGTGACTCGGCTGGGCCATCTGCCTGTGGGAGCTCCGTGGAGCTGTGGCTGTGTTGGCAGAGAAGGGGCCAGCCTGGAATGCAGGGTGTGTGTCCAGTGTGTGTGCACATATGTGTTAGGTATGTTTGTGTCCCTGTGTGTGTGTCTGTGTGTGTTGGGTGTGCCTGTTGTGTGTTATATGTGTGTGTTGTGTGCATGTGTTGTATGTTATGTGTGTGTTTTTGTGTTGTATGTTGCATGTGTGTGTGTGTGTGTTTGTGTAGGTCTTTACGCTGCCTGCATCCTGAAGGCACCAGCTGAGCCTGGCATTTCCTGCGTGAGGAGCAGTGTTTTCTTCTGCAGAGACTCAGGTCCCCTTCATGTCTTGTGATGGCGGTGGCTGTGCCACTGGCCCTGTGGTTCGTGATGGCGGTGGCTGTGCCACTGACTGGCCCCCGTGGCTGCTGTGCCGGGCCCTCTGCTAGGTATTACCCACCATGGTGCCCACTGTTTTTGCCCTGGTTCACCCAGTGCCAGCTGCAGCACTCCCTGAGTACCTGCCATGTCTGCACCAGGCCTCCTGCGGAGCTGGGGTCAGCAGTGGGCCAGGCGGCCGCAGCCCTGTCCTCCACATCAGCTTCCAGTGGGGAGGAAGGAGCTGGTAAGGCCTGTGTGGTCTCTGGCCCAGCAGGGAAGTGCCAGTGCCCCAGGCAGGCTCACAGGGAGGCCTCTGAGGGAGCAGCCTCTCTCTGAGCTAAGGTGGGAGGGGTGCAGTGTGGAGCTGGAAGCCGGGGAAGGGGAGTGTGTTTCAGAAATGACAGGCAGTTGAAGGGGCTAAAGCGGGAGGCTGGGGCCTGTGCGCACGGAGGCCCGGGAAGGAAAGGTCAGATGCTTGCCCATGTGGCCCCATCAGAGCCCCGCCCGACCGTCTTATTGGACTCCACGTCTGGACATCTGCTCTAGCCCAGACCCTGGCTTTGTCCGGAGAACCCACAGGGCACCTGGTTCAGCGTCCCCACCCTGGGGCCTGACCATGGGGCTTGAATCCCCAGTCAGCACCTGTGCCCTGTGTGAGCTGGAGAAAGTGAATCAACCATCCAAGCCCACAAGCTTGTCATCCTCATCCCCACTTCACAGATGAGCAAATGAGGGCACAGAGCCCGCCATGAGCGCCCTGTTAGATGTCAGCTGCCTTCCTGGTTTAGACTTCCTGAGTTGGGTTTACCATTTCTTAGCAAGTTATTCAAACTTGACCACCCCGTCTGTACGTGGCTGAGCCACTCCTCATTCGTGGCTCTGACTGCCACGTTAGCCTTCATTTCACCCCATGGTGGCCTTGTGTATGGCCGGATCAGGAGGTGCGTCCCCTGGCTGGCCACTCACACGCTGTCCCAGCGGCATCTTCCCTCCCTCTCCAGCCCTTGGATTCCATTTCTCTTTGATGGGACCTTCAGCCTCAGCTGGGGACAGTGTTGAACACTGGAGGATGCCGCTGAGGGCGGTGGGTGTGGTGGCTGGGCCCGGAGGCCGTCGGGGCAGATGCTCTGAAAGCCCCCAGCAGTCAGCTCCTCCTGTCCCGGTGGAGGAGGCAGTGCTGATGGGTGACGGTTGCCCGTCCCTTAAGAGAAATGGGAAAGTTCCTCAGAACTCTCATTAATATTGTAGGGCTGTAAAAGAAGATATCTTTCCCTGCTCCATCCCTAGGAAGTGTGTGGGTATCAGGGGCCCTTTCTGTTCTGTGGGCCGTGACCACTCATTGCAGTTCCAGGCCCTCAGTGAGTTCAGTAATAGCAGTGGCTGGGGATGACCAGGTGAAACCTGGTCTGCTTGGTCACAGCATGTAGGAGGATGGGAGAAGCAGGAGGGGGAGCAGGGGGAGGAGCAGGAGGAGGAGCAGGAGAAAGTATAGGAGGAGGAGCAGAAGAAGGAGCAGAAGGAGGAGCAGAAGGAGGAGCAGGAGGAGGAGGAGCTGGAGGAGGAGCAGGAGGAGGAGGAGCAGGAGGAGGAGCAGAAGGAGGAGCAGAAGGAGGAGCAGGAGGAGGAGGAGCAGGAGGAGGAGCAGCCCTGTCTCCTCCCAGAAGCTCTGTCCCCAGTGGTGGGCACATGGTCCCATCCCCCCCAAGCCCTGTCCACAGCTTTGGGCACACGGCCCCTTCCCTTCCCCCCAGCTCTGTCCCCCACGGTGGGCACATGGCCCTGTCCCCTCCCCCCAGCTCTGTCCCCAGCAGTGGTCCAGGGTCCTCTGCCAAGGCCGCGTCCCAGTGGGGTTCCGGGGACAGGTTCTTCACCCACGAGTCAACGTCCCGGGCAACCCTGCTGCAGCCCCCGTGGGAAGTCAGGGCTGAGGGGGCCTGTGGGGTGAAGCCGGCAGCCCCTCTTTGGCTTGGGGGGTGGGGGGCGGAATACGAAGCTGAACATTCCTGAGGATCTGTTCTGGATGCCTGCAGAGAGCCCTGGAAGCCCAACCCATGGTCACACATCCTTCAGGGACCAACCCGCCGCACCAGGTGGCTGGAGAATGAGACCCTGTGTCTGCCGCTCCCCCTGCCGCAGGGCACACAGTCCCCACTGCACCGGGTGGCTGGAGAATAAGACCCTGTGTCCGCCGCCCAAGGCTCCCCCCGCCGCAGGGCACACAGACCTGTGATCCAGGCCAGCCCATCCTGTTGGAGCCACCTCTGTATGTATCCATATGTGTGTGTGGGAGTTGTGTGTGTGCTGTTTGTGCATGTTATAAGTGTGTGTCTGTATGTGTTGTGTTGTCTGTGTATGTGTTGTGTGTTGTGTGTTGCGTGTGTGTGTGTGTGTGTGTGTATAGGTCTTTACGCTGCCTACATCTTGAAGGCATCTCTTGACGCCAGGCCTGACTGGGCTGGGATCTGCCGACGACACTGCCTCTTTTCTGGGCTAGGCCTTCTTTTCTGTCAGGGCTCACAGTGGTAGCTCCTTCCAGGCAGTCCTCTGTGGTGCCCGGGCTGGGTCAGACACCCCTCCTTCAAGCCTCCTGGTACCTCACCTCTGTCCACCGTGGCCCTGCAGAGGAGCCACACCCTGCCCCGCCGGCACTGCAGCCTCTGCCTGCCTCTCGCCCTGAGCGAGCACCCTCTGCCTTAGCACCTGCTCAGGGAGCACGGATGAAAGATGAGTGATGGGTGAATATGTGCAGGAAACGCACTCCCGCCGCTGCCGAGGCATCTTCCCGCAGGCTGGTGAAGCTTCTTCTCTGTCTTGCAATTTGTAAACTCTGCTGTTCATTGACATTTGTCTGTCCTTTAAGATCAATTTAAAAGTTTCATCTAAATTCACATTCATACTTCATGCCTCAGAATAGGGACGTCTTTTTGTTTCTAACTGTTAGGAACCAAAATGGTATTGGGAGAGGCATGAGCTTTGATCACGCTCCCTATGCTTAATTCTCACTGGTTTTAATGTGTCTCTCAAACATCTGGTCCCACGTCCTGGGTTTTAAGTTAAGGGAATAACAAAATCACTGCAGGCAGCCTCCTGTGCTCCCGTCCTCCCATGCCCCTGTGCTCCCAATCTCCCGGGCTCCTGTCCTCCCATGAGCCCATCCTCCTGTGCTTCCGTCCTGCAGTGCTCCTGTCCTCTTGTGTTCCCATCCTCCCGTTCTACCATTCCTCCTGTGCTCCCATTCCCCATGCTCCTGTCCTCCCATGCTCCCATCCTCCAATGCCCCCTGTGCTCCTATCCTCCCTTCTTCCTGTGCTCCCATCCTCCTGTGCTCCTGTCTTCTCATGCTCCTGTCCTCCCATTTAGTGTCCTCCCATGCCCCCTGTGCTCCCATCCTCCCATTCTCTCATCCTCCCATGCCCCCTGTGCTCCTATCCTCCTGTCCTCCCATGCTCCTATCCTCCCGTCTTCCTGTGCTCCCATCCTCTCGTGCTCCTGTCCCATTTAGTGTCCTCCCGTGGCCCCTGTGCTCCCATCTTCCCAGGCTCCTGTCCTCCCAAACTCCTGTCCTCTCATGCTCCTGTCCTCCCGTGCCCCCGTACTCCTGTCCCCCCAGGCTCCCATCCTCCCGTCCTCCCATGCTCCTGTCCTCCTGTGCTTCCCATCCTATTACCCCAAAAATGTATCTTCCTGGGAGACTGAAGGTGAAGCGTCTGTGACGAGGCTTGATGAGTTAAATACAGATGTTTACTTCAAATTTTAGTGAAAGAGTGGAGGTCTGAGGAGTGTTCTCCGCAGGGAAAAGCATTCCTGCTCTGCAGTCGGGCAGGCTGGTGCCGAGCCTGTTTCCCACCTGTCTCCTTCCAGTGGGGGATGCAGCTGGGACGGACCCCAGGCCTCCGCCTGAGCTTGGCTATGACGGCATCCTCTCTGGACCACGCAGAGTCTGAGGCCCTGCAGAAGAGGGCCCAGCACAGATCTGGCACTGAAGGGGTGAGAGCTGAGAAGCATCCATGTGGACGTGTCCCAGGGGTTCACCAGCTCATGACTCCAGCACCCGAGTGGGTGTGTCACGAGAGTTCACAGGCTCATGACTCCAGCATCTTTCAAATGTGATGATGGTGGCAGGAAATTGAGAGTAACGTAACCACGTGTCCAGTTGCTTTGAGATAAAAGCACTGCTTTAAGGAATGTAGACATTATTAAAAGAAAAAACAAACAAAACAAAAGAAAACACGGTCTAGCCGGTGTCCTGAGCATTGTTTAAACGGAAGAAGAAAGAGAAAGCAGGTAGGATGCGAGAGAATGTGCAGATGACTTTCCTTTCAGGCCGGGCAGGGCCGCCAGGGTAGGCTGCGTCTGGCTGCTGAGCCAGTGTTCTGCGCAGGACGGCAGCGAGTTGGCCAGGGGGCCCCAGCTGCCCTGGCTCCTGCACAACCAGCCTCTTCTCGGGAACTGCAGCTGGAGAAGCAACGGGGGCCCCTGCATGTCGCATCTTCAGGGGATTTTCTGTGCTGTCCGTTCCCTGGGTATTTCCCAAGCACTTCCTCGGTGGAAAACAGACATGGGGTCCGCAGCCCTCAGTGTAGGAGCTCTTGGACAAGGTCTCTGGGCAGCAGCAAGAGCCTGTCAAAGCAAGCCCATGCTCGGCTCACTGTGCAGGGCTGTCTGGGAGATGCTGGCCTGGCTTACATGCCCTCCACCAGAGGCCTCCCCGCCTGCTGCAGATCCCTCCCTGCCCCATGGCGACTTTCAGAAAAGGGGAGCGGTGAGGTAGCCTTGACTATGCTGAGATGGGCCCTTAACCCCCCAGTGAGTGACCTCTGCCGGCATGGGCGGCCTGGGGCACCCACAGCCCAGTGTGCCTTCCCCATGTGAGTCTGGGGTAGGAGAGGCTGATTGCAGGGACAGGAAGCAGCTGTGGCCCCTCTCCTTCCCTCCCTCTCTGCGTCTCCCACACCCATATGCGCTTAGGAGGAAGGCAGCCCCGTGGCTGATTTGGGAGGGCTGGTCCTGCATCCTTGTACAGCAGTGGTGAGCAACTCCCTGTGGGGCAGGGCTGTGGCTTTCCACAGTTCCCCGGGGGGCTGGTAGCAGGGGAAACCCAGTGCCTTCTTTATTTAGCTCTGTTTTTGGCTTGAGTTTCCATGGAAACCACGGGTAACTGAAAACACAGGCCCATGAAAGTTTCCGAGTGATTGTTATTTTAAAGAATATGGCTCCTCTTTCTTGCCCACATTCAGATAGCAGTTTCCATGGGAACAGAATTGAAACTGCCAGATGAGAGGGATCCCCATTTTGGCCATGTCCCTGGCTGTCTGTGGAGGGGAGGCTGTGGAGGAAGGGAGGGCAAGGGTGGGGCCGTGGTGGGGGAGCCCAGCACCCCTTGGCTCCTTCCTGGACATGGTTCTGCCACTTCGGGAGGAAGGGGCTCCAGGATGAGCCCCGATCATTGGTGATTCTCCTTCACTGTGGTGGCTTTCAGTCTTTGGGGAGGGTCCATGATGCCAGAAAAGGGCGAGAAAATTTTCAAAGAAGTTTTATCCCAAAGTGCACTGGGTGCTGGTCCCCAGACCCTCCCACAAGGACCTGCCAGGCCCACAGGGGCCCCAGACGTGCCCCCAGCCCAGAGGCCGTGTCCTCACAGGGAAAGCCAGGTGGGGGGAGCACAGTGTTCGCCAGGCCTGGAGGGGCCCCAGACGCGTGCCCAGCCCAGATGCCGTGTCCTCGCAGGGAAAGCCAGGTGTGGGGAGCACAGTGTTCCTCTGGGCACAGCCATCATCAACCCAGCTTGGAGGAGACGTCCTGAGGCCCTGGAGGTTAAGCTGCTCGTCGGGGTCTCAGTCTCACAGCTGCGAAGTGTCCCTCGGCCTCCGATCCTCAGTGCCGAGGGTCACTCAGTGCCGAGGGTCACTCAGTGCCGAGGATCCCTGTGCCTGTGCGATGCTGCAGGTGGGAGGTGCTGGGGCCCAGGATCTGGGAGAGAGGCTTCCTCATGGGCGCCTGAGACTTTTCCAGGCACTGGGGGTAGAGACATGAGAAGCAGCCTGGCGAGGACAGGGGTAGAGCCTCACACTTCCCAGAGCCCCACACCCACACACTCCTGGGTGTTTGTGCGTTTAGCTCACATGCCCTCCTTGCCCGAAACCCCCTGACCCCAGATATGCCCACCTGGTACCTGGGAATGTGACCTTATTTGGAATAAAGGTCTTTGTAGATGTAAGTAAGTTAAGGATCTTGAGGGACTATTCTCAGGATAGACCATATCTTAAGCCATAAAACAAAACTCAGTATATTTTATTTATATTTATTTATTTATTTATGATGGAGTCTCACTATGTCACCCAAGCTGGAGTGCAGTGGCACGGTCTTATCTCACTGCAACCTCTGCCTCACCAGCTCATGCAATTCTCCCGCCTCAGCCTCCCAAGTAGCTAGGATTACAGGTGCATGTCACCATGCCTGGCTTATGTTTTTTGTATTGTAGTAGATACAGGTTTCACCATGTTGCCCAGGGTGGTTTCTGCCTGCCTCAGCCTCCCAAAGTGTTGGGATTACAGGCGTGAGCCACTGCACCAGTCCTCAGTATATTTTAAAAGACTGCTTTCATGCAAAGTATCTTCTGACCACCATGGGATAGAATTAGAAATCAGCAAAAGAAGGAAATTTAGGAAATTCAAAAATATACACAAATTAAACAGCGTATTCCTCAATAACCGGGTGTCAAATGAGTCACAAAGGAATCAGAAAATGCTTTGAGATGAATGAAAATGAAAACAAAACATACAAAAACTTACTGGATGCAGCTAAAACAGAGCTTTGAGGGAAGTTTGTAGTTGCAAACACATACTAAAAAAGAAAAAAGATCTCGAATCAATAACCTAATCTTTACCTCAAGAAACTAAAAAAAGGAAAGCAAAATAAATCCAAAGCAGACCAGTTGGAGGAAATAATAATGATTAGCGTGAAAAGAAATAAAATATAGAGTATAAAAACAGTAGAGGAAATCAACAAAACCAAAATTGGTTATTCGAAAAGATCTACGACAATGACAAGCCTTTAGCTACATGGGCAAAACCTAAAGAAGGAGAAGGCTCAGATTAATAAAATCAGATGAAAGAGGTGACATGAAAACCAACCTCATACCATCCTGGCTAACACAGTGAAACCCTGTCTCTACTAAAAAATACAAAAAATTAGCCGGGCGTAGTGGCAGGCGCCTGTAGTCCCAGCTACTCAGGAGGCTGAGGCAGGAGAATGGCGTGAACCCAGGAGGTGGAGCTTGCGGTGAGCCGAGATTGTACCAATGCACTCCAGCACTTCCAGCCTGGGCGACAGAGCAAGACTCCGTCTCAAAAAAAAAAAAAAAAAAAAAAAAAAAGAAAAAAAAAAAAACCAACCTTATAGATATAAAAAGAATTATCCAGTAATCCCAGCACTTCGGGTGGCCGAGGCAGGTGGATCACCTGAAGTCAGGAGTTCGAGACCAGCTTGGCCAACAAGGTGAAACCCTGTCTTTACAAAAATACAAAAATTAAACAGACATGGTGCCATACACCTGTAATCCCAGCTACTTGGGAGGCTGAAGCAGGAGAATCACTTGAACCAGGAGGCAGAGGTTGCAGTGAGCTGAGATTGTCCCACTGTGCTCCAGCCTGGGAAATAGAGTGAGACTCTGTCTCAAAATAAAATAAAATTAAATTAAATAATAAAAAGGATTATCAGGGTATATTACGAACAACTGCATGTCACTACATTTCATAACTGGATGACATGGGAAAATTTCTAGAAAGACATAAACTATGAAAACTGATCCAAGAAGAAATAGAAAATTGGCATAGGTTTATAACAAGTAAAGAGAGAGATTAATTTTTAAAACTCAACGATACAGATGCGGGATAGAGAGCATGTACAAAGATCCCGCAGCACATGTCATACTCAATGGTACAGAAGTGTGATACAGAGCATGTATGAAGATCCTGCAGCATGTGTCATACTCAAGGGTAGAGATGCATGATAGAGAGCATGTATGAAGATCCCACAGCATGGTACAGATGCATGATAGAGAGCATGTATGAAGATCCTGCAGCTCGCGCCATAATGGTACAGAAGTGTGATAGGGAGCATGTATGAAGATCCTGCAGCACGCGTCATACTCGATGGTACCAATGCATGATTGAGAGCATGTATGAAGACCCCACAGCATGCGTCATAATGGTACAGATGTGTGATAGGGAGCATGTATGAAGATCCTGCAGCACGCATCATACTCGATGGTACCGATGCATGATTGAGAGCATGTATGAAGATCCCACAGCATGGTACAGATGCGTGAAAGAGAGCATGTATGAAGATCCTGCAGCACGTGTCTTACTCGATGGTACAGATGCGTGATTGACAGCACGTATGAAGATCTGGCCGCATGTGTCACACTCAATGGTACAGATGCGTGATAGCATGTATGAAGACCCCACAGCATGCGTCATAATGGTACAGATGTGTGATAGAGAGCATGTATGAAGATCCCACAGCAGGGTACTGATGCATGATTGAGAGCATGTATGGAGACCCCACAGCATGCGTCATAATGGTACAGATGTGTGATAGCATGTATGAAGATCTCAGAGCATGTGTCACACTCGAAGGTACAGATGCATGACAGAGAGCACGTATGAAGATCTCACAGCACACATCATAATGGTGCAGATACATGATAGAGAGGATGTATGACGATCCAGCCACATGCGTCACACTCGATGGCACAGATGCGTGATGGACAGCATATATGAAGATCCCAGAGCATGTTTCATACTCGGTGGTACAGATGTGTGATGGACAGCATATATGAAGATCCCATAGCATATGTCATACTCGATGGGGGAGACCGAGTATTGGGGGAGACCCCCAAGGTCTGGAGTGAGACATGGGTGGCACTGTGGATATGAAATGTCCAGAACAGGCCAATCCCTAGAGACAGAAAGCAGATTAGCAGTTGCAGCCTGGGGGCTGATGAAGGAAATGGGAAGTGACTGTTGCTGCGTGGGGGCTGAAGAAGGGAACGGGGAGTGACTGTCGCCTCGTGGGGGCTGAGGAAGGGAACGGGGAGTGACTGTTGCTGCGTGGGGGCTGAGGAAGGGAACGGGGAGTGACTGAGGAGGGTATCGGGTATCTTTGGGGGTGATGAAGATGTTCTAAAATTAGACAGTCGTGATGATTTTGCAACTCCATGATTACACTCAAAACCACTGAACTGTACACTTTTAAAAAGTGAATTTTATGGTATGTGAATTATGTCTCAATAAAGCTGTTAAAAGAAAAAAAAATTAAAAAAACAGGCCAGACGCTGATGCGAGAAATCAAGAAGGTGGTTACCTGGTGGGGTGGGGGTGGGGCAGGAGCGCGGGGTGGGGCAGGAGCGCGGGGTGGGTGGGGTGGGGCGTGAGCCTGGGTTTGCAGGGGTGGGGCGTGAGCCTGGGTTTGCAGGGGTGGGGAGCGAGCGTGGGGTGGGTGGGGAGGGAGCATGGGGTGGGCAGGGTGGGATATGAGCCTAGGTTTGCAGGGGTGGGGCAGGAGCGTGGGGTGTTGGGAGTGGGCAGGGGCGTGGGTTTTGTGGGGGTGCCTGGTTAGGTTCCATCTCTTGGTGTAGGTGCTGGTTACATGGATGATTTGGTTTGTGAAAATCCAATGATCTGCTCACTTATGATAAATGCACATTCTATTCCAGTAGAGAGTTTTAAAAGGAAATAAAAGTAAACGAGCATGGCCAGGCTCACGTGGCAGCATGGGGTGGGGGTCATGGCTGCAGAGGGACACTGTGCACCAGAAAGTGAGGTGAGAGCTGGATCGTTCCCCATCCGGGTGTGGCACTCGCAGTGAGCTTGCGTGTTGAGGGTGGGCTATGATGGTGGGGGAGGTACCTCCAGCCAGATTAACTTGTGCATTTCCCTCAAGGCTCGCTCAAGGTCGCCTCCTCCTTCCAGCTGCGTTCTGGGGCTCCCAGAGCAGCCCAGGTCCCTTCCTCAGCCCTAGGGTGCCTCAGGCTCACACACTGCATGTGCGCCCGGCCTCCTGCCTGCCCACTCCCACACCTGTGAGTTCCTCCATGGAGGGGCAGTGTCTTGCTCAGTGCTGCGTTCTCAGCACTTCGCAGGTGCACAGATGTTTGCTGATTGACTGCATGAACATGCTGCTGTGCATGATGGGTAATGAAGCCACAGCCCTCACACTCAGACCCTCCTCCCAGCCTTGAAGGACGGTGTCCATCCTGTGGGGCCAGTGGGCGGTGATCTTGGCCCCTGCCACCCTCTACGTTCTGTATGGAGCCCAGGCAACTCTCAGGAGGAAGACAAATGCCAGGTGTTGCTCTCTGTTTGCCCCTTTGCCCCTCTCCATGGGGCAGCCGGCCAGCCTACCTGGTCCTCGGCCAGCACAGGGCTTGTGTGCAGCCCCCAGAGGCAGGGCCGGGCCCTCTTTACCCCAGCCCGTCCTTTCCCCAGGCTCTGCATCCCGTCTCCTCTCAACCTTTCTGCCTCTGCACTTGCACTTGGCAGATGGGTTGAGATGTCTTCCAGGTCCTTCCCATGTGTGCCATGGGGGGGTGTCACTGGTCGTCTCCTTTCACTTAGCAAAGACAGGCACCTCTCTGCAGCCTCCCCACCATGGGGGATGGGGAACCCCACTAAGAATTCCATGCCCTGAGACTCAGAGAGTCGCCCGGGACACTCACAGATCATCCCACGCCCATTGTTCTTCCAGGTGCGGGTGGGGTTGAGAGGGGTGTCCAGGGGAAGCTCGTGGGGCCGGGGCCCTGTTTAGGCCAAGAGCTCCAGCACTGGCCTGGCTACTGGTTCAACCCTCCAGAGGCTGATCTTAGGAGGTTGACCTTGGACAAAAGACTTCACCTTCCCACGATTTTTTCATGCAGTGAGGCTGTGGCGAGGATTATTGTCAAACTCTGAGAACAGGGTCTGGCCTGTAGTAAAGGCTCCAGAAATATAAATGGAGGTGACTTCTCTCATCCTTCCTTTGGCCACCGGTCTCTGACAGACCAGCCTCGCACCAGGAGGGCAGTCGGGGTCACCAGCCTGTGGGGGCAGTGTGGGAAGTTCACTCTCTTCCAGGGATCAGTGCCTGGGTTCACCCATTCCCTACACAGACTAAATCCCAGACCTTTCATTGCTTTCAAACAGTGTTCCACGTTTTTGATATAAAAACCCTGAAGTGCTGAAAGCATGAGGCGGGTGGGGAGGGAGGTACGTGCCCCCAGCCCGCCGGCGCTGACATTTCCTCATTTCGGGTGCTCAGCTTGATCTGAACTTCAAGGATCTGGCTTCCTTCCCGCTTAATATTTAAATACATAAGCATCAGCTGGATTTTTCATAAGTAATGGAGCTTCTTTGATTTCTGCTTATAGGCTGGAGAAACGCAATTTCTGCTTATAGGTTGGCCCCCCCGGCCCCCGAGCCTCGGGAGGGCAGGTGATGCCCTGGTCCCCTTCTTAGGTGTGGCCTCATCCTTGTCCTCTGGCCTCCACTCTCTTGCCCCATACCCAGCCCCCTTGGGCAAGGCTTCTGCTGTCTTGTGACATTCATGGGTCCCCCATAGCCCACTGCCCCACACATTTTCCCCAGATGACCAGGGGCTGCCCCAAGCCCCAGGGGCCAACCCTGAGCCTGACTCCCTGCTGGGCCCTGGACACCCCGTCTGTCCGGACTTGAGGGTGGGAGGCTGGTGCCATCCTGGCTCTCCCTCCTCTGACTCTGATAGAGCTGAAGTCCTGCCTCATGGGCCACCTGCTTCCAGGGGTCCCACAGCCTCAGATTTCTTCTTCAATGTTCACAGCAGATCCTCTCCTGGAGCCCGGGCCTGCAGGCCCCACTTCCCTGGCCTGAGAGGGCTCCCGATGAATAAACACAGCTGCCCCCACCCATGCCATGCCGGGCGGCCGCCTGGGATTTCTGCTCAAGCCCAGCTCCCTGGGTGCTCGGGGTGGGGGCTGCTCCCAGTGAGTGACACCTCCTTGTCCTCGCACTCTCTCCCCTCCCTGTGCCCAACACCCACCTTAGGGCGGGGCAGGCCGGACAGCCAGTCCTTGTGGAAGTCTGCAAAGCAGCAAATACGCACTTTTCTCTTTCACATTTTCACTGATTTGTCAGGAAAAATGGCGTTTTGTTTTAGGAACGATGATCACCGGATGAGCTTTTCACTGAGCAGCCACGGGATCGAGCTCCGAGGGCCACGTCCTCTTCCTGCCTCCTGGTCAGAGCCTGGCACCCCCAAGGCGGCCATTGCTTCCCGTGATTGCTTTATTTTTCTTTTAACTTTTCAAAGTCTTCCTGGCTTTCTACCTGCTTATTCAATATTATTTTATAATCATGCTGTCATATCAAACAAAAACTTGCATGGATTTTGATTTGAATAGGGTGAACCTAGATGTAATTTTGGAATTAAGTTTTATGATTTTCTTTTCCTTAGAAACATAATGTATTATTTTCCAGTTGTTGCTGTAACAAATTACCACAAATAACACACATTATTTTGATGTTCAGGAGGGAGGAGGTTGGGGCAGGGTTGGTTTCTCGCGAGGCTCTCGGGGAGAGTCCACCTCCGGCCTTTCCAGCTCCTCTTGGCCACCTGCATCCTGGGCTTGGGGCCCCGCCCTCCATCCTCAAAGCCAGCACTGCCACCTCTTTGAATCTCTGTCATCTTGGCCTCGGTCACTGTGTTCTGACCCTGACCCTCTGGCCTCCCTCTCCCAGGGCCCCTTGCGATGACCCTGAGTCCCCCAGGTAAGTCTCAAGGTCCCTCTCACTTATCACACCTGTGAGCCCCTTTACCCAAGAGAGGCAGCCTGCACAGGGACCCTGAGTTGGATGACGCAGACACCGTCAGGGTTGACGTCATTCAGCTGACTCCACATGGCACATCCGTTATTATTTTTCTTTGTATGTCCCCATACAGTCTTGTAATTTTCTACAAATAACTCTTTCCATTGTATGGCAACAATCCTACCAGACAGGTAGGTTTTCTGCCTCTATAATGAAAGGTATTGGGATTTTTTTCCCCTCTACTGATTATTGCTACCATATAGAAAAACTATTGATTTATTTACATGATCATGTTTTCAACAACTTTGCACAGAAGTCTTTCATGAATTCTCATAAATTTTCCTCTTATTTTCTGGAATTTTCTTGGTATTCAGTAATTACATCAACAAACCATGATAGTTAGAGCCTCCATGACATAATTAGAGCATAGCATCTAGAGCCTCCCTGCCATAATTAGAGTCCAGCATCTAGAGCCTCCCTGCCATAATTAGAGTCCAGGATCTAGAGCTTCCATGCCATAATTAGAGTCCAGCATGTAGAGCCTCCCTGCCATAATTAGAGTCCAGCATCTAGAGCCTCCATGTCATAATTAGCGTCCAGCATCTAGAGCCTCCCTGCCATAATTAGAGTCCAGCATCTAGAGCCTCCCTGCCATAATTAGAGTCCAGCATGTAGAGCCTCCATGCCATAATTAGAGTCCAGCATCTAGAGCCTCCATGCCATAATCAGAGTCCAGCATCTAGAGCCTCCATGCCATAATTAGAGTCCAGCATCTAGAGCCTCCATGCCATAATTAGAGTCCAGCATCTAGAGCCTCCATGCCATAATTAGAGTCCAGCATCTAGAGCTTCCATGCCATAATTAGAGTCCAGCATCTAGAGCTTCCATGCCATAATTAATGTCCAGCATCCAGAGCCTCCATGCCATAATTAGAGTCCAGCATCTAGAGCCTCCATGCCATAATTAGAGTCCAGCATCTAGAGCCTCCATGCCATAATTAGAGTCCAGCATCTAGAGCCTCCCTGCCATAATTAGAGTCCAGCATCTAGAGCTTCCATGCCATAATTAGAGTCCACAATCTAGAGCCTCCATGCCGTAATTAAAGTCCAGCATCTCAACTGCTTTCTGCAATCCTAGAGCTTCTACAGAGTCCATGCACAACAGTGGAAGAGCAGTTCTGTTTGAGGTTTTAATTGCCACACTTTAAAATTTCCTTTAAAGAGTGTCTGCCATATGAATTGTGCCTGAATGGGTAGAGGTAGGTGGCAGGTGACAGTTATCTGAGGACTGGGGTTGGGGAGGGTCCGAGTCACCTCTCTGAGCTCCCACGAGTCCCTAGCTCCCTCCTGGTTTCCACCTTCATTGGGGGACTGGCATCTCTGAGTCGTGGAGGTGCAGGCACCCTGCTCTCTCGTGTTCTCAGAACTTTTCTCCCTGGACCCCTCTGTCTCTTGGCCTGTGTCCTGTGTCTGGCAGAGGCTGCCCATGGTCCAGGAAGACAGAGGGGCACCGTCTTCCTTCACAGAGGTATTTCCTTCAAAGTGGAGCCAGGCAGTGTGATTGTCATAACTGAGTCTCCAGGCTATGGAACATAAAATATTTATATCAGGGAAGACAGATTAATCCAACAATAAAAACAGTCTGGAGACTGCACCAGCTCTTCTATTTATGAGGGCTTCCTTTTGGGGAGCACCAGTGTGGGATCAGAGGTTCAGCTCTGCAGCCTCTTTGCAGGGAGCTGTCCTCGACCTTCCTCTGTGTCACCCTCAATGCGCTGCGGGTGGACAGCCCAGGCCATCCGACAGGTGTTCGGGGGACGAGCTGCTCTAGGTGGGCAGCCCCTCAGGACTGACAGCCTGGCCTGGGCCCCTCCAGAGGTCACCCCCAGCCACCTTTTCTGCTCCTCCTGCCTCACTGTGAACCCTCTGCTGGCATCTCGGTGGATGGGAGGCTGAGCCGGTGCTTCTTTGCCTCTATCCTAGAGAGCCAGGGCCAGGGAAAGCACCCATGGGCAGCTCGAATCCTACTGGGGAGCTTCTCGGGGAAGGAGACTTCACATCAGACTCACCACAGAAAGCAACTTGCAGAAAATGTCAGCGGCAACTTCTGTCCTCCCACACGGCTCCCTTCCTGGCTCCTTCTCTGGGTGTCTCCCTGACCGCTCATCTGCCCCTTCTTCTACCGTAAGTGGGCATGTTTGGATTTGGCCCCCACCCCATATGAACCACTCACCATCTCCTGTTTTCCCTCCACCATGGTCCCAACCCCCCATATGCCTGTAATTTCCTTAGAAACTGGGTATAGAAACAAGCTAGTTTCTTTTTTCTTTTTTTTTTTTTTTTTGAGATGGAGTCTTGCTCTGTTGCTGAGGCTGGAGTGCAGTGGCGAGATGTCGGCTCACTGCAAGCTCTGCCTCCCAGGTTCACGCCATTCTACTGCCTCAGCCTCCCAAGTAGCTGGGACCACAGGCACCTGCCACCACACATGGCTAATTTTTTTTGTATTTTTAGGAGAGACAGGGTTTCACCATGTTAGCCAAGAAGGTGTTGATCTCCTGACCTCATGATCCACCAGCCTCAGCTGCCCAAATTGCTGGGATTACAGGAGTGAGCCACTGCGCCCCACCAAAACAAGCTATTTTCTAAAGATGTGTTGGTTCTCTTAGCAAATCAAGCCCTGGGACTCCTGATCAAACAGCTGTGTGTGTCTGCATCTGAGCGTGTTTGTCTCTGCATTCCTGTCTGCTGTGGTCATCTTAGTACCTGTCATCCATGGTGTGTAATGAATCACTCCAACACATAGGTTTAACACTGAGGTAAAGCAGCAGGCAGGTTTTTTTTTTCTCACAATTATGTGGTCAGCAATTTGGGCTGGGCTCAGTTGGGTGGTTCTTCTGCTGGTCTCATCTGGGGTCACTTTCTGACTGCATTCATCTGGCGGCTTGACGGGCAGTTAGTGCTAGACATGGGCTATGTGGCCTTCCACTCCAGAGCTGTGGTCCACGGGAATCAAAGTGGATCTTTCAAACTCTTGAGATCTTGTCTTGTGTGTGCATGCCTGAGTGTGAGTGCATGTGTGTGTGTGTGCCTGGGTGTGAGTGCATGTATGTGCATGTGTGCATGTATGTGTGGGTGTGTGTGCATGTGTGTGTTTGTGTGTGCATGTGCATGTGTGTGCATGCCTGGGTGTGAGTGCATGCATGCATGTGTGCATTGTGTGCATGCATGGGTGTGAGTGCATGCGTGTGCACACGTGCCTGTGCATCTATCCCATCAGGCATGGGGAGAATCATGGAATTAGTTTGTCAAGAGCTCCAGCAGAGCCCCAGTCTCATGGCTGCTGTCCTGGTCGGCATGAGCATTGTGACCCCCTCCAAATGTCCCCAGGACAGGCTCTGCTGGAGTCTTGGCCCTGGTGAGGGGCCCTTCTCTCTGAGGACAGCATGGGTGGCCCCTGAGGCCCACTCACGGGAGTGGGAAAATGTGGGCTGGATGAGTTTTGCTCCAGTTCCAGGGCTTGGCACCTGGTTTACAGGCAAATCAATGAGCTATCCTGCTCCTTGGATGATCCTTTTCATCTTTTATTCCCAGATTTCCCAGGTGTCTGATGTGTGCTAGTTTCCAGGCTGAAGATGAATACGAGTGGGCCCCCTTAGTCTGAAAACTCAGTCACTGTTTTAAAAGGGACTTCAGAACCTTCAGACCTTCTGGGCCACACACGTGGGTCATGTGATCCTTTCCACCCACTCCACTTAAGAAGCCCCAAACCCTCTAAGCAGCAGGCTGTGTCGGTTCTCCTAAGGAGCTCCCAGCCACCCTGACGTCCTATTTGGCAGAACAGCCTGGCCCGGTGGATGGTATTGTCCTGCTTTCCAGAGGAGAAAGCAGAGGGTTTGGGGAGTCTGCTCTAAGTTACACGGCGCTGCTACAAGATTTAGGATTAGAACTCGGTGTCTGGAACAGCCGCTGACCTCAGAAGTTAGGTTCCAACGCAATTTCCACAAACTCCGTGTCTCTGAAACCCCACATGGGTAATGCTTCCATGGGGTTTTCAGCATCCAGCCAGAGTTGCTGATTGTGCTGAGTGGAAAAAAAGGGTCAAAAGAAATGCGTGTTATAACCGTGCTCCCACGTGTCATCCATCAATGGCTTAGATTTTTGGGGAACAGAGTGTGCTATCCATGCTGGTGCTGCTGCCGGTCGGGTAGCTGAGGCACTGGGTGTCCCTCGGGGGAGCAGCCCTTGTTTTCTCGTGGGGTCCACTGTGAGACCTGCTCTACGTGGGTCCTTCCTGTCAGTGCCTGCTGCCCTCAGTCACCCTGTCCTAGTCCCTCCCGACGGCCCCTTCCCTGCAAGCTTGCCAGCTCCTCCTCCCAATCTCATTGTCCACATCTTAGGGCAGTGATGCCAAAGTGATCTCCAGGGCTCAGGAACACACCAGTGAATTTCTGCCAGCTTCCTTAAACTGGCCCACATGGGTGCAGTCAGGGTGGGGGGCGTGGCTTTCTATGGAAGTTAAAGACTTTGCATTTTCATGCTGATGCAAACGTAAACACACACACACACCTGCACACATGCACCACACGCGTGTATGTACCCACCACATACATATGTGTGCACGCACTCCTAGCACATAGGAAATGCCTTGCAGGCGAGCTTGGTGCCTGCTGAGCTTGGTCTCTTCTCAAGACTGTGAGCCTTTGCCCATGACATGGCACACACCCGACGTGTCCAGGCGCTCGTCCAGGCAGGGCCCTGCCTCATGCTGCTGAAGGCGCTCCCAGGAGGAGGGTGCAGTGGTGCCAAGGGGGGAAGTGATGGGACTGAGTCCCAGGATGGTGATTTGGTGTCAGCAAAACCATAACATCTGCCACATTGAATTTATATTTTTAATTTGAATTTTGTTGCTGTTATAGTTTTGTGTTTAATTTATTAATGTGCTTTGTTGTTAAAGCCATATAAAAGCAAAAAGTAAGAGGAGTTTATGTCTAGTTGAATATTTGTACATATTGAAACAAGATTATAACAAAACAATTCTCAGTCCATGCTGGGGTTGAGAAGCTGTGTTTTCACGTTCTTCTATTATCTGTATTTTAAGGTGCCCTTCAAGGGACAAGGCCTTAAGCCACGGTTGGCAAATGCCCCAGGCCCGACCTCGCCCCTGGCTGTTCTGTAAATCGGGGTTTTCCTGGGATTCAGCCACGTCATCCCTTCAGTGTTTCCTGCACCTGCTTTCATGCTACAGTGGTGGGCGAGCTCCTGCAACCCAGGCTGTGGGGCCCACAAAACCTGAAATTGTATCTGGCTCTTAGAAAGGCATCTGTGGACCCCAACCTTAAACAACAGGTTTTCTAAAGCTGGCTGGACCTCAGAATCAACCAGGGAAATTCAACACAAAACAAACATACAAGACCAGGCCCCGGGCCCAGCTCTGGATGCCACTTTGGAATCAGCAGGTGACTGTAAGTGCCGAGTCCTCTGCATGCTCCCAGGTGATCCCAGGACTGTCACGACGGCCCCCATCCCTCAGAGGACCTGGAGGTGACACCCCAGCCTGTGGCAGGCCCAGGAGAGAGCGTCAGCCACTGCCCAGACCAAGGACGGGGCCACCCATACCCCCATAACTGCACCATGAGCACAGGCTGGAGGCCCACCTCTGACCCCACATCTGATGGTCTTTCTGCCTCTGGGATCATAAGCCCGTTTTAAGAGGCCAAGCTTCCCTCTGTGTGGTTTGTCTGAATTCCAGATTCATTGCTTTATTCCCCTAACACATTTATATAATCAGCCACTCCCCAAATCACAAGGAAATTTATTTAAAACATTTTCTCCAATTTAAATGGCAATTAAATTAGATCTTGTGGAGACAGCTGGGAATGAAGATAAATATTTTATTTGCTTTTTGTTACGTAAAAAAATGATGCATCCCAAGAATGCAAACAATGTTTATTTCACAGAGTGAGTAGGATTGTCTGTGGATAACAGGTGCATTTACTTACCTTGTGGCTGGAGACAAGGCAGTGGCCGGGCGCCTGGCATGGCCTGCTCTACAGAGTGGCCTCTCTGGACACTCTCATGCCTGCATTCAGATGGCCCAGGATGCAGGCAAGGCAGCTCTCTGGGGCCATCGTAGGCTGTTCCACTGACATCAATCAGCCTGAGAGCTGGAGGATGGTGACAGCGGCAGAAGGAGGCAGAGAAGAGGCCAGGGCAGTGGGATGGGAGCAAGGAGAGCTCAGAAGAGGCCCCCAGGAAGGATCGCTGAGGCTCAGGAAAGCCATGGCCTGGGATCTTCCTGTGGAAATTGGAGTCACCATCCAGATGAATGTGTTTGCTCCCAGAGCAGAATCCTATGTACTCCCTCAAATAAACATTTTTTGCATTCTTGGAATGCTTCGTTTTTCTATGTAAGAGCAGAATTACTTATTGTGGCCATCGAAGGAGAGGGCATTTCTGTGAGAAGTACCAATAACCGGATACTGGTGTGGTTATTCCGCACTTGATAAAAAGAGGTTCCCACAGAGGGCAGCTGCCGAAAGCCAGGCCGGGCTCGAGGTGAGTGAGAAGCGGGTGCACACAGATCAGGGGAGAGAGAATGCACCAGCCTCCAGCCAGGGGCTTCCTCGGAGCCGGGAGCTGTGATGAACCCACCAGGGGCCAAGCTTTTGCCCCAGGATGACCCACTGTGGGCTGCTAACAGGATGTACACTTGGCTCACGGGACATGTGACCTGTTGTGGGCAAGCAGCACATCAGGTTTCTTTGGATTAAGGCAAATGCTTTCACTTTGGAGCCGGGAACCTTCCCAACCTCCCACTCTGACAAAGGCCCCTCTGGGAAGAATCCCTGGAAGGGGTCCGGCAGCCCCAGCTGTGGGGTCTGATGAGCATCTTGTCCAAGTAGGAGAGATGGAAAGAGATATATCTATTTTAAATTTCAACTTCTATTTCAGATTCTGGGGGGACGTGTGCAGGTTTGTTACATTACTATATTGTGTGATGCTGAGGTTTGGGGTGCAGTGGATCCTATCACCCAGGTAGTGAGCACAGTACCCAAAAGGCAACTTTGCAGCCAGCCCTCTCTGCCCCTTTCAGATTCTCTAGTGTCTGCTGTTTCCTTCTTTATGTCCATGAGTACCCAGTGTTTAGCTCCTACTTGTAAGTGAGAACATCTGGTATTTGGATTTCTGTTCCTGAGTTAAATTGCTTAGGATGGAGGCCTCCAGCTGCAAAGGACATGCTTTTATTCTTGTTTTATGGCTGTGCAGTATTCCATGGTGTATTTGTACCACGTTTCCTTTATCCAGTCCACCGTGGATGGGCACTGAGGTGGCTTTCACGTCTTTGCAATTGGAAATAGAGCTTCCATGAACATACATGTGCAGGTGTCTTTTTGGTCGAAAGATTTATTTTCCTTTGGGCACATACCCAGTAATAGAATTGCTGGGATGAATGGCCATTTTACGTTCTTTGAGGAATCTCCAAACTGCCTTCCAAGGTGGCTGAACTAATTTTCATTCCCAAAAACAGTATATAAGCATTCCCTCGAAAAGAGGTATTTGTTTGCAAAGGAGTTTGCTTTTAAAGAAACAAGCAAGTGAGCTGTGCTCGTGGATGTGTCTCGTGAACTGTGTGGGGGTCTTCTTGGCATTTTCCTTGGAGCAAGAGAGCTGAGCCAAAGGACCTCCGCACAGGTGTCAGGCTCGGCTGGGAAGGCTGTGCTGTGTCCACCATCAGCATCTTTGAAAACGACGGATCCACATCACTGGCTGCAGAATGGACCTTCTGCCCGGTGAGCGCTGGGTGCGGCACCCCTCAGTGGCCTCTGACTGCCTCTTGGAGGACTTTGTAGAACACCTGGCCTGGGGCATGTGACGGAAGGACAGGTTTGTCCATAGCCCACTGTGTCCTTCAGGTGGCTCTGGGGAGCCTGGACTGGGGCGTGTGACAGAAGGACAGCTTTGTCCACAGCCCGCTCTGTGGAGGCTGGACCTGAGAATGAAGCCGGCATTGGCACCTGAGGTGACGGCTGTGTTCTTGTGAGGGGGTGACCGGGCACTTGGAGATGCTCTGCTGTCTTCCAGAATGAGCCTATATGCTTCCTGGAAGATGGACAGTCAAAATTAAGCTTATTAATCAGTTCTATATCAATTCTGAACATTAAGGGGGAAAATGAAACAGTCCAGCTTCAGCTCTATGAGAGAACTGCTTTAAAAATGTAGGACCAGAAGCTTCTGAGGACAGAATTCTAGAGGAGTGGGCTGCAGGCATGAGAACCTTCTCAGGAGCCACCGGTGCTGAATCGTGGCTGTGGAACCCACAGGGGGACCCGCAACAAAGGAGGAAAATGTTCTTGGTGACAAGAAGCCACAGAAGATGGCGGGTGGAGAAAGCCCATCAGGCCCTTCCCCAGCAGGGGCGGAAACGGTCCCCAGCGGAGAGGGCCTGGAAGGAGAGGGCGCCCCCGAGGACTCAGCAGGGAGGTGCAGCTTGATGGGATGGCAGGTGTGAGACAGGAGAAGTGGGAGCCCCACAGGAGCCCGAGATCACAGTGTCAGGCTGAGCAGCCACAGGCCCAAGCCACCCAGGCTGTCTGTGGGACTCAGGGAAGATGGGTCCTGAAGAAGGATGGCTGGAGCCCAGCCACAGACGGGACGTTGGAGGGCAGTGCGGGCCGCAACAGGGTGGGTGGAGCAGATGCTGCTTCTCCCAGTAGGAACACAGGAAATGCAATGGGAAACTTCAGGAAAAATGGACAAAGGACTTAGAAATTCATGGCTAAGGGACACCCTACAAGGTGACGTGGCTTTGAGTTCCAGGCTGGATGGAAGAAAAGAGAAGCCAGTGGGCTGGATGCCAGGACCACGTGCCTTCAGTGCTGCAGGGAGGGCCTGAGCCCAGACGTGTCTGTGGAGAGGAAAGCATTGTCCCCGGGCCCCTGGCTGTGCACAGATTAAGTGTTTACAGCGACAGGCACTATGGTCTCAAGGTCCAGTGTCAGAGGTCACACGACGGGGGCGTGTCAGGCACAGGCACGGGCACGCGGTGGCAGCTCCATACGCATTTGCTGAATGAAGACGATGCTGCTGTTTCGAGCGAAGGCGGGGCTGGCAGCGGCGGAGGGGAGAGGAGTGGGTAAGCGGAGGGCAGGCTGCCAGCACTTCCGCCCAGTGCAGCCAGAAGCCAAGAGATTCCACTTTCGACGCAATTAGAGAGAGGGAGGGAGGGAGGGAGGGAGAGAGACAAACTTCAGGATATTATTTAAAGATCCTGAGGCCGTCAGTGAAAGAATTAAGCTAAGGACTATCAACAATTGGGAAGAAAGGGGGAGGGCGGGCCCTAATGTGAGTGATCTACATTCTCCCTTTTCTTATGTAGAGAGAGACAACATCTCAGGTGGATGAAGAAATAGGAGGACTAAGTGCGTTGTTACAACTCAGGAAATAATCCTGAGAACCTGGCTCCGGGCAAGACCTGGGGGAAGCGGCTGCCTCTGTGCATGGGCGGCTGGAGCCAGGACCCACGGCCCCCTTCTCACCAGCTCTCTGCTGTTTTAGTTTACCTTTTCCATCAGACGGAAGTGCCGCTTCGATGACAAATCGGAAGAGGAACAGAAGCCCAAACCCCAGACACACATTCCCTTCCCGGACCCATCTCCCACTCGGTGGCCGCCCTGGCTGGTGCCCTCCTGTGGTCCTCGGGTCCCCATCCCCGTGTCCACCGCTGAGCACCTGCCCTCCAGGGATCTGCAGCCACCTCCACCTCTGTGGGCCCTGCACTGGGCTTCTCCTCTGGGCTCCCTTCATGTGTGGCTCCCGGCCTTGCGCTGGGCTCTTGCCTCCTGTCTGTTCTCACTCCTAGGCTGCCTCCGTCTCTGCCTGGATGGCTGCAGCCTCCACTTCCAGCTCCTGCCTCTCTCCCACATGCCTGACGCAACTTCCTATTTTTCAGAGTGTGGGCTGGACTGGGATAACCATGGCATCCCCGGCAGGGTTTGCCGCCTGCCCCGTCAGGCCTCAGTATGGCCCAGTCACATGCCCGTGGTTCTACACCTCATCAGTTTCTCTTCGTAAATGGCACTGGGACCTGACACCCCTCCTAGCCCAGGCCTCTGCATCCCACTGCGATGGGGGTCGACGACCTTCTCTGGGCCCCAGTCCCCACGCAGGTGCCCATGTGCTCCCCATTTCCCACTTCGTGACACTCCGGCATCATGCCCCGTGCAGTGCTACAGGCTGGCTCCCCAGTCATGGACCGAGTCCAGCTCTGGGGCCTTCCTGGCCTTTTGCAAACCAGCCCCTGCTTCTTCCCTGAGAAGCACAGAGCCTGGCCTGAGTTAGTGTCCAGTGGGTCTCACCAGGTGCTTTGCATGCGCCACACTCCTTAGCGGTCACTCCCTACCCCTCCAAGCTGGAGCCTGGGAGCATCAGCACCCCACTGTGCACGCAGGACCGGAGCCTCAAAAGTGGGCCTGTTGTCCAGGGCCCCAGCAAGCGCTAGGCAGAACTGTGTCTGGCTGTTAGGCTGTGGCTTTCACTCAGACCAGGCAGGGGCCCTGCCTTCTCAGGTCAGTGGGCTCCCGAGTGTTCCCTGGAGCTTGTGACTGACCGCGGGGGGTTGACACTGGGGAGGGGGTCCAACACTGGGGAGGGGGTCCCTCTGTGGGTTTCCAGCAAGCACCAGCTCTTGCACTATGCGCTTACTAGGACTGCTTCCCTTAGCCCTGGCCACACTCTCAGGGCTGTCCTAGCAGAGCCAGAGGACACAGGTGCAGGCGGCCGTAGGTGCAGAGGGGCCTGGGCCCTCTCTGGCTGCTCAGAGCTGCTCAGAGCCACAGTTCATGCAGGCGCTCCAGGAAGGTGCCCACAGACTCCGCCTGGCATGGTTAGATGGAACTATTTTTCTTCTGGGAATCAGTAAATTTTCACTAATTTCCCCAAACATTACCAGAGTCTGTTTCCTTAAAGTACAAACATATACAGTATGTTCATCATTTAAAATATCATTTCCTTAATGGTTGAAAATGTTCTCTAGCTGTTTCTTTCGAACTGTGAACAATTAGAGAGCAGCACATTTCATTTTAGAAATGAGTACTGTCAGTGATCATCATAAGCATCAGATGGCGGGTAATTAAATTAGGGTAATATACCCGTTTCCTTCTAATCGCCAGCAGCCCACAGTGGCTGTCAGAGCTGTGATGTGTCATGTCAGACCCACCAGCAGGGCCCATGGTAATGAGGCGGGCTCCAGCTAACGCCTGGCAGATCACAGTCCTAGGACGTGCTTAGAACTCACATCTGTCTGGAGGGGCGGGATGCTGAGTGGCTCTGGCTGAGCTGTGAAGAGACTTGCTGAGGTTTGGAGCGTTCATGTCCTGTCCATAAAGAGGAATCACGGGTTCACCTGTGTGTGCGGAGCTGTGCCTGTGTCTGTTTGTGGGTATGTGTGTGCCTTGTGAGTCTGTGTGTCTGTGTATGCCAATGTATGTGTGAGGCTGCACGTGAGGCTGTGTGTGTGTTGTGAGCCTGCATGTGTTTGTGTCTTTGTGTGTGAACGTATGTGTGTCTGTATATCTGTTGTGTGTGTGTGAGCCTGTGTGTACGTGTGTGTGTGTGCGTGTGTGTGGGTGCCTCGCCCCAGCTCTCAGGCTCAGGCTCTGGGCTGGGCCCCCACGGCAAGTGTCACACAGGTGTGCCATGTGCCCCTGCCTCTGGTGGAGAATCCCAGAGTAGGAACCCACGGGGACAGGGTTGCCACGAGACTCTGGCTTGCTTGTCTCTGGAAGCACTTGAGAAAAGGGGCAAAGCGGCCTCTGTCCTGCCCTGGAGTTGGGAAGTTTTATCTGTAAAGTTGATTCTCTCGCTGGCTGTGAGCCGCAGCTCTGTTCTGGGGTCCACTGGTTCAGGGTCCGCCACCTTCAGGGGAGGAAAGTGAGGCTGTGTGCCAGGTGCCAGGTGTCAGGGACAGCAGATGGGCTGGGATGGCCCAGGAGCTTGCACCAGCTTTTCTGCTCAGCCCTTTGTGCCGGAGGGCTCAACCTTCCTCATATCATTCCAGAGCCAGCCCTGCCACTGGGGCCAAGCCCTCAGATCCCAGGTGGGGGCCACCACCAGGTGGGCAAACCCCAGGGATCCATCTCCCTGGGCCCCCTTCTAGGATCCCCCATCCCCACAACCTTGAAACCGTCAAGATGCCGGCTGTTCACAAACTGTGTGCACCATCCTAGCCTGCAGCCATGAGGCACCTGCGATCGGGTGGGTGAAAACGAAGGCACCTCGTTTGTTGGCTGCAGCTGCTCTTGTGACCAAGAGGGCAGAGAAGAATATACAACACCGCATGGGCTGGAGCTGCAAACCACTGGCCAATAATTAAAAAAGTGATTTGTGGACATGAGAAGAATTTCTGGGCTCTGAGCAATTAAAGAATCCAGAGTCTCCTCACTCCCAGGCCCACTTCCTGCCTTCTGTCCTGCTCCGCACCAGGGAGAGGGGCTGAAGGCCCAGTGGGCTGCCTAGTCTTTTGAGCTTCCTTGGGCTCTGCGGATGGGGGCCTCTGGCAGAGGTGGGAGGGCAGGAGGAGAGGGGAGCTTTTCTGCTTCTCTCTGGGTGGCCTTAACGTGATTTGTCCGTGTTTCACTGTGGAGGGATGGAGCTCCTGCCTGGTGGCCCCATGGAGAGCCCTCCACTTCCTTTGAGGGCTCTCCTGGCTGGGAGGAGGCTGCTGCACTGTCCCTGCCTCCGTGATCACTCAAGGTCTCTTTTCGACACTCATCTGGTTTCCCTTCTGGGTGAGCCATTTGTGTCCAGCTGCGGAGAGTACAAGCTTTGTCTTCTCATGGTACATTCGCCAGAGCTTCCCGGGTTTCCGATGTGCCAGGCCTGGTCTGGATGTGGAAAGTGCAGAGAGGGAGCCACCCTCGCCTGTGGCCCATCAGCACCCGAGGCTCTGCGGCGGTCACTGCGCCGTGCATGAGTGCGTGGTCTCCAGAGGGTTCATTTCTTATGTTCCTCACATGGGTCTCGGGAGGTGTTATCGCTCCCGGTTTACTCTCAGAGGAGGGGCTCTGGACGGTTCAGTGACCCCTCCCCACAGTCTGGCACATTTTCCTGCACACGGTAGGTGCTTCAGGGGCCAACGATGATCTAGGCATGATGGGGCTCCCTTAGATGCAGAAGCCATGGGCAGTGGGGAAGGCCCTGGACTCCTCTCAGTGGACAGATCTGGCCGACCTTCACGCCTCTGGCACCCTGGCCTGCAGAGCTCTGAAAAGGAAGGGTCTGAGCAGGAGTGGGGAGGTAGGGGGTGGGGAAGAGGGCCCTGGGAGTCAGCAGGTGCAGGGGGTGGAGGTCAGGGTCCCACCTGCCTCTCCTGAGCCCCTGGCTGAGGCCTGGCCTCTGGCCTCCTCTCTGCATCTGTGGCCGCTGTGGAAGAACCCCAGGTGCTCAGTGGTACCGGCAGAGGCTTTGCCCCTCACCTAGATCTCTTCCATGAGCCTCAGGAGGTGGGGCTTCTGGCCATAATGATATCAAACTAAAAGTCATTAACAGAACGATAATAGAAAAATCTTGAAACATGTGGAAATTAACACACCAGTGAATAATCCAAAGGTCAAAGAGGAAGCCTGAAAGAAAACTAATAAGAAAAGCAGCAGAATGAAAACAAAAACAAAATATGTGAGATGCAACTAAGTGCTGAGAGTGAAATGTATAACACTTAATATTTATGGCAGAAACACTGAAAGATCTCTAATTAATAACCTCAGTTTCTGCCTCAGGAAACTTGTAAAAGGAGAGCAAAAAACCCAAAGAAGCAGGAGGAATAAATGATAAAGAGCAGAAATCAATGATATTAAAAATGAGAAGACCCGGCATGGTGGCTCATGCCTGTAATCCCAGCACTTTGGGAGGCCGAGGCAGGTGGATCACCTGAGGTCAGGAGTTCAAGACCAGCCTGGCCAACATGGTGAGACCCTGTCTCTACTAAAAATACAAAAATTAGCTGGGCGTGGTGGCGGTCACCTGTAATCCCAGCTACTCGGGAGGCTGAGGCAGGAGAATGGCATGAACCTGGGAGGCAGAGCTTGCAGTGAGCCAAGATTATGCCACTGCACTCCAGCCTGGGGGACAGAGCAAGACTCCATCTCAAAAAAAAGAAAAATAAATAAAAAATAAAAAATAAAAATGAGAAAATAATAGAATCAATGAAACAAAAATCTAGTTCTTAAAAAATCAAGAAAATTGATAAATTTCTAGCAAGACTGATAAAAATAACAAGAAAGAAGACACAACCCACCAATGCCAGGAATGAAACAGGGGTGATCACTATAGATTCCAAGTAATTAAAATATAGTAAAATATAGTAAGAGAGCATTACACAAATCTTTTGCTCATAGATTTGACAACTTAAAAGAAATGGACAAGTTCCTTGAAAACCACAGGCTACCAAAACTCAACAAAGATGACATAGATGATCCCAGTAGCCTTTTGATAACCATTCAAAAAATTGAGTTTGTAACTAAAATACTCCCTCCAAATAAATCTCCAGGCCCTGATGCTTTCACTGGAGAATTCCACCAGACCTTTTAAAAATAATCAATACCAATTTTACAATTCTTTCCGGAAAATGGAAGAGAAGGAAAAATTTCTCCACTCATTTTGTGAGGCCAATACTACCTTGATACCCAACCAGACAAAGACAGTACCAAAAGAAAAGGCTATAGATCAATATCTCTTATCACGTTAGATACAAAAATCATTATTAAAATGTCAGCAGGCCAAATTCCACAAAGTATACATCATGACTGAGTGGGATTTATTCCAGGTGTGCAAGGCTGGTTCAACATTTTAGGTCAATCGAGGTAATCCACCATATTAATGAGCCACTGGAAAAAGATAAATGATCATATCAATTAACTCAGAAAAGCAATTCAATAAAATTTATACTTATTCATGATAAAATCTCTCAGCAAGTTAGGGACAGGGAGAAATTATCTCAATTTGATTAAAAGCAGCTAAAAATATCCCTATAGCTGGCTGTGGAGAAATAGGAATGCTTTTATACTATTAGTGGGAATGTAAATTAGTTCAGCCATTGTGGAAGACAGTGTGGTGATTCCTCAAAGATCTAGAACCAGAAATACCATTTGACCCAGCAATCCCATTACTGGGCATATACCCAAGCAATATAAATCATTCTATTATAAAGATACATGTACGAGTATGTTCACTGCAGCACTATTCACAATAGTAAAGACATGGAATCAACCCAAATGCCCATGAGTGATAGACTGGACAAAGAAAATGTGGTACATACACACCATGGAATACTATGCAGCCATAAAAAGGAATGAGATCATGTCCTTTGCAGGGACGTGGATGGAGCTGGAAGCCATTAGCCTCAGCAAACTAACACAGGAACAGAAAACCAAACACCATATGTTCTCACTCATAAGTGGGAGCTGAACAATGAGAACACATGGACACAGGGAGAGGAACAACACACACTGGGGCCTGTCAGGGGTTGAGGAAGGAAGAAGATCAGGATAAACAGCTAATGCATGCTGGGCTTAATACCTGGGTGGTGGGTTGATAGGTGCAGCAAACCACCATGGCACATGTTTACCTATGTAACAAACCACTACATCCTGCATATGGATCCCAGAACTTAAAATAAAATTAAAAAACAAAAACAAAAACAACAAAACAAACAACAACAGAAATTCCCTACAGCTAATATCATAGACATTGGTGAAACACTAAGATCAGTAACAAGGCAAGGATGTTCACTCTCACCAGTTTTATTCAACATACTACTGGAAGTTCTAGACACTTCAATAAGGCAAAAAGTTACATTAAATAAAAGGGATATGTATTGAAATGAAGAAATAAAACTTTTTTTATAATCTATAACATGATTGTAGAAAATTTCAAGGAATCCACAGTCTCTTAGAATTAAAAATTAGTTTATAAAGATATTTGGATGCAAGACGAGCACAAAAATATCATATTTCTACATACTAGCACTGAACATACAGAAAACAAAATTAAAAGCACAATACCTTTATAATAACTCCAAACAAAATCAGTTACGTAGGCATACACTTAAAACAGGAACTGGAGTGGTATGTTGATAATTACAAAATATTGATGAAAAAAATTAAAGAAGGAGATTGACTCAGTAGTAAAAGTATCCCATCAAAGAAATCCTCTGGACCTGATGGCTTCACTGCTGAATTCTACTAAACCTTTAAAGAAGAACTAATATAAATTCTTTTGAAACCCTTCCAAGAAATTGAAAAAGAGAAAATACTTCCAAATTCATTTCACAAGACCAGCATTATGCTGATAACCACAGCCAGACAAGAACACTACAAGAAAAAAAATTACAAGCCAATATTCCTGATCAACATAGATACAAAATCCCTAACAAAATACTAGCAAACAAAATTCAATAGCACATTAAAAGGATCAATCTCCATTATCAAGTGGGATTTATCCCAAGATGCAAGGATGGTTCAATATACACAAATGTATAAATATGATATACTACATTACAGAATGAAGGATAAAAGCCATAAAATCATCTCAATAAAGGTGTAAAAAGCATTTGACAAAATTCAACATTCTTTAATCATAAAAACTCTCTACAAATTAGGTATAGAAGGAATGTACTTTAGTGCAATAAAGACTGTATATGACACACTCATAGCTGACATCGTACTCAATGGTTAAAAAGTTGAAAGCTTTTCGTCTAAGATCAGGAACAAGACAAGGATGCCGATGCTCATCACTTCTATTCAACATAGGATTGGAGGTTGGCCCAGTGTGGTGACTCATGCCTGTAATTCCAGCACTTTGGGAGGCCGAGGTGGGCAGATTACTTGAGCCTAGAAGTTCAAGACCAGCCTCGGCAACACAATGAAACCCAATCTCTACAAAAAAATAAAAAACTAGCTAGGCATGGTGGCATGTGCTAGTCCCAGCTACTCCAGAGGCTGAGATGGGAGGATCGCTTGAGCCCAGGAGGTGGAGGTTGCAGTGACCTGAGGTCACACCACTGCATTCTGGCCTGGGCAACAGAGCTAGACCCTGTCTCAAAAACAAAACAAAACAAATACTCCCACCACCCCCGCCCCCACAAAAAACAGAGTACTGGAGGTCTAGCCAGAGCCATCAGGCAAGAGAAAGAAATAAATGGCATCTCAATTGGAAAGGAAAACTCAAATTGTCCCTGTTTGCAGATGACATGATCTTATGTACACAAAACTCTAAAGACTCCACCAAAAAACTAGTAAGTTTTTTCAGACTTTTATTTTATGTTCAGGAATATATGTGCATGTTTGTTATATTGGTAAATTGTGTGTCATGGGGGTTTTGTATACAGATTATTTCCTCACCCGGGTGATACGCATAGTATCAGACAGGTAATTTTTTTATCCTCACGCTCTTCCCACTCTCCACCCTCAAGTAGGCCCCAGTGTCTGATGTTCCTTCTTTATGTCCACGTGTACTCAGTGTTTAGCTCCCACTTACAAGTGAGAACGTGATATTTGGTTTTCTGTTGCTGTGTTTGTCTGCTTAGGATAGTGGCCTCTAGCACCATTGATGTTGCTGCAAAGGACATGATCTCATTCTCTTTTACAACTGCATTGTATTTCATAGTGTATATGTACCATATTTTTTTAATCCAGTCTATCATTGATGGGCAATTAGGTTGATTCCATGTTCTTCCTATTTTCACTAGTGCTGCAGTAAACATATGCATGCATGTGTCTTTATGGTAGAATGACTTACATTTCTTTGGGTATATACCCAGTAATGGCAATTCTGGGCTGAATGGTATTTCTGTTTTAAATTCTTTGAGGAACTGCCACACTGCAGTACACAGTGGCTGAACTAATTTACATTCCTACCAGGAGTGTCCAAGCATTCCCTTTTTTTCTGCAGCCTCGCCAGTATCTGCTATTTTTTGACTTTTTAATAATAGCCATTCTGACTGGTGTGAGATGATATCTCATTGTGGTTTTGATTTGCATTTCTCTAATGATTCGTGATATTGAGCTTTTTTTTTTTTCATATGCTTGCTGGCTGTGTATATGTCTTCTTTTGAAAAGTGTTCATGTCCTTTGCCCACTTTTTTTTTTTTTTTTTTTTAAGATGGAGCCTTGCTGTGTCACCCAGGCTGGAGTGCAGTGGCACATTCTTGGCTCACTGCAAGCTCCACCTCTTGGGTTCACGCTGTTTTCCTGCCTCAGCCTCCCAAGTAGCTGGGTCCACAGGCACCCGCCACCATGCCCGGCTAATTTTTTGTATTTTTTTTTTTTTTTTTTTAAGCAGAGACAGGGTTTCACCGTGTTAGCCAGGATGGTCTCCATCTCCTGACCTCATGATCCACCCGCCTCGGCCTCCCAAAGTGCTGGGATTACAGGCGTGAGCCACCACGCCTGGCCTTTTGCCCACTTTTTAATGGGGTTGTTTGTTTTTTGCTTTTTAATTTAAGTTGCTTATAGATTCTGGATATTAGACCTTTGTTGGATGCACAGTTTGCAAATATTTTCTCCAATCTTGTGGGTTGACTGTTTATTATGTTGATAGTTTATTTTGCTGTGCAGAAGTTCTCTAGTTTAATTAGGTCTCATTGCCAATTTTTGGTTTTGTTGCAATTGCTTTTGACATCTTCATCATGAAATTGTTGCCAGGGCCTATGTCCAGAACGGTGTTTCCTAGGTTTTCTTCTAGGGATTTTATAGCTTTAGGTTTTAAATATAAGTTTTTTAATCCATCTTGAGTTGATTTTTGTATATGGTAAAAGGAAGGAGTCCAATTTTAATCTGTATGTGGCTAGCCAGTTATCCCAGCACCATTTATTGAATAGGGAGTCCTTTCCCCATTGGTTGATTTTGTCAAGTTTGTTGAAGATCACATGGTTGTAGGTGTGCAGCTTTATTTCTGGGCTGTCTATTTTGTTTCATTGGTCTACATGTCTTTTTTATTTTTTATTTTTTATCAGTACCATGCTGTTTTGGTGACTGTAGCCTTGTAGTACAGTTTGAAGTTGGGTCATCTGATGCCTTTAGCTTTGTTCTTTTTGCTTAGGATCGCTCTGCGTATTCAGGCTCTTTTTTTGTTCCATGTGAATTTTAGAATAGTATTTTTCTAATTCTGTGAAAAATGTCATTGGTAGTTTGATAGGAATAGCATTGAATCTGTAAATTTTTTTTGGCAGTATGGTCATTTTAACAATACTGATTCTTCCTATCCATGAGCATGGGATGTTTTTTCATTTGCTTGTGTCACCTGTGATTTATTTCAGCAGTAGGCTAATAAAGAAGAAAAGAGAGAAGATCCAGATAAATACAATCAGAAATGACAAAGGGAACATTACTACCAACCATGCATAAATACAAAAAAAAAAAAAACCCTGAGACTATTACAAACACCTCTATGCACACAAACTAGAAAACCTACCAGAAATGGGTAAATTCTTAGAAATAGAGAACTGCCCAAGATTGAACCAGGAAGAAACTGAGATCCTGAACAGACCAATAATGAGTCCTGAAATTGAATTAGTAATAAAAAGCCTACCAACCTGGAAAAGCTCTGGACCAAATTGATTCACAGCCAAATTCTACCAGACTTATAAAGAAGAGCTGGCACCATTTCTACTGAAACTACTCCAAAAAATTGAGAAGGGACTCCTCAATTCATTCTCTGAGGGCAGCATCATTCTCATACCAAAACCCGGCAGAAGCAAACAAACAAACAAAAAGAAAAGAAAACTTCAGGCCAATATCCTTCATGAATATAGACGCAAAAATCCTCAACAAAATACTAGCAAACTGAATCCAGCAGCACACCAAAAAGCTAATCTACCATGATCAAATAGGCTTTATTCTTGGGAAGCAAGATTGATTCAACACACAGAGATCAATAAATGTGATTCATCACAAAAACAGAACTAAAAACAAAACCACATGATCATCTCAATAGATGTAGAAAAGACTTTTGATAAAATTCAACACCTCTTTATGTTAAAAACCCTCAACAAACTAGGCATTGAAGGGACATATGTCAAAATAATAAGAGCCTTCTGTGAGAAACCTACAGCCAACATCATACTGAATGGGCAAAAGCTGGAAGCATTCCTTTTGAAAACTGGAATAAGACAAGGATGCCCATTCTTGCTACTCCTATTCAGCATAGTATTGGAAGTCCTAGCCAATCAGGCAAGAGAAAAAAATAAAAGACATTCAAATAGAAAGAAAGTCAAATTAATCCTGTTTGCAAATGATATGATTTTATGCCTAGAAAACCCCATTGTCTCTGCCCAAAACTCCTATATTTGAAAAACAACTTCAGCAAAGTTTCAGGATACAAAATCAATGTACAAAAATCAGTAGCATTGCTATACTCTAACAACATCCAAGCTGAGAGCCAAATTAAGAATTTAATCCCATTCACAATAACCACACACACAAATAAAACTCTTAGGAATGCAACTGACCATGGCGAACTAATATGTTAATTCAGTGAAGTTGCAGGACATGAAATCAACATACAAATATCAGTAGCATTTCTATATACTAATATCACACTTTCCAGAGAAGGAATCAACAAAACAATCCCATTTTAGTAGCTACAAAAAAAACCCTTAAGAACAAATTTAACCAAGAATGTGCAAGACCTGTAAAGTGAAAACTATAAACCATTTATGAAAGAAGGTGAGGAAAATAAGTAAATGGAAAGATATCCCATGTTCATAGATTGTAATACTTAATATTGTTTAAATGCCCGTACTATCCAAACAGATCTATACATGCAATGCAATCCTTCCAAAACTCCAATAACATTTTTCACACAAATAGAAAAAACAGTCCTAAAATGTATATGGAACCACAAGAAACTCCTAATAGCCAAAGCAATTAGAGCAAAAATAACAAGCTGGAGGCCTCCATGCTCTGATCTCAAAATATATCATACAGCTATAGTAATCAAAACAGCATGGCACTGGCATAAACATTAGACACATAGAGTAATGGAACAATTTATTTCTGACAAAGTTGCCAAGGACACACAATGTGGAAAGAACAGTCTCTTCAGTAAATTGTGCTGGGAAAACTGGATATCCACATGTAGAAGAAAGAAATTAGATTCTCACACAATATACAAAAAATCATCTCAAACTGGATTAAACACTTGAATGTAAGACATGAAACTGTAACGTACTAGAAGAAAACATAGAAGAAAATCTCTATGACATTGGTCTGTATAATGATTTTTTGGAATGAACCCAAATGCACTGGCAACAAAAGCAAAAATGGACAAATGGCATTACACCAAACTCAAAAGCTCTGCACAGCCACGGAAGTAAACAGCAGAGTGAAGAGACAACCTATGGAATAGGAAAAAATATTTACAAACAATTATTCTCACAAGGGTCTAATATCCAAAATACATAAGGAACTCAAACAACTCAATAATGAGAAAACAAGTAACCCCATTAAAAAATGGGCAAAGAACCTGAGTAGACATTTCTCAATATGAATGGCCAATAGGTACATGAAAAAAATGCTCAACATCACTAATGGTTACAGAAATGCAAACAAGAACCACAATGAGAGGTCAACTCACATCTGTTAGAATGACTATTATGGAAAAGACAAAAGATAACTAGTATTGGGGAGGATGTGGAGGAAAGGGAACATTTACACAGTGTTGGTGGGAATGTAAACTAGTATAGCCATGATGGAAATCAGTATGCAGATTCCTCAAAAACTTAAAATAGAAACTCCCAGATGATCCAGGATGTGCTGGGGTATGTGTCCAGAGGAAATGAAATCGGAGTGTGGAAGAGATACCTGCACCCCAATGTTCATTGCCGTGCTGTTCACAGTACCCGGGATATGGAATCAACCTAAGAGTTCATCCACGGCTGAGTAAAGAAAGAAAATGTGCTGTATCTACACAGTACAATTCTATTTAGCCTTAAAAAGGGAGATATCCTATTATTTGCAACAACATGGGTGAGCTTGGAAGATATTATGTTAAGTGAAATAAGCCAGGCACAGAAAGACAAATGCCCCGTGAGCTCACTTATATCTGGAATCAAGGAAAATTAAACTCGTAGAAGCAGAGAGTAGAATGGAGGTTACCAGGAGCTGGGAACAGGAGGATGTGGGAGGCAAAGCTCAAGATCTATTATACTACATGGTGACGACGGGGAATGACAGTGTACTGTTAAAAAATAAATAGGCCAGGCATGGTGGCTGATGCCTGTAGTCCCAGCACTTTGAGAGGCTGAGGTGGGCAGATCACTTGAGCTCAGGAGTTCGAGACCAGCCTGGGCAACATAGTGAGGCCCTGTCTCTATTAGAAAATAAAAAATAAAAAAAGAAAGACAAATAAATGGAGAGACAAATTGTGCTCATGAGTTAACGGAATTCCTCTCAAAATCCAAGAAAGGTTTCTTTGTTTTTGTTTGTTTGTTTTGTTTTGTTTTGTAAATACAAACAACCTTATTCTGAAATGTATATGGAAAGGCTCAGGCTGTCAAATAGCTAAAACAATTTTGAAAATAAGTCTGGAGGAATCAGACTAACTGATTTTGAGACTTTTTAATGGAGCTTTAATATCGAAACAGCATGCTAGGTGATGGAATAGGTGCATATGTCAACAGAACAGAGAGCTCACAGACAGAACCCACAAAAATATGTCCCACTGATTTTGGAATAGATGCATAGGGCAACAGAACAGAGAACTCACAGACAGACCCACAAACATACGTCCCACTGATTGTTGACAAAGGTGCAAAAGCAACGCAACGGAAGGCGGGTAGACTTTTCAACAAATGATGCTGGGGCACTGGACACCCCCAGACAAAAACGTGAGCCTCAATCTCAGTGTCTCACACCTTATAGGAAAAGTAACTCAAACTGGATCACAGATTAAATGTAACACATTAAACAATAAAAACTTTTAGAAAGAAATAAGAGAAAATCTTCAGAATCTAGGGCTAGGCAGTTTCTAGATTTGATGCCAAAAGCGCAATTTATATAAAAGGAGAAACTGGTCAATTGAAACTAATCAAAATTAAACGTCATTGCTCTGTGAAAGCCCTTGTGAAAAGGATGAGAGACAAGCTACAAACTGTGTGAAAAATGCTTGCAAACTACAAGTCTGACAAATGACTAGAGTATCTAGAATATGTAAGTCTCTAGAATATATAAAATATCTAGAATATCAAAAGCTCAAACTTAAACAGCAAAAAACCAAACAATCCTATTCATGGAAGGGCAGAAGACATTTCACCAAAGAGAGTATATAGATGGCAAACGAGCACATGAAAACGTGTGTGATGTCATTAGCTAGTAAGGAAAGTCAAATTAAAACCACACAGATCTCGGAGCACACTTACGAGAGTGGCTAAAGTTAAAAAACAGAGACAACGTCAAGTGCTAGAGAGGAAGCAGGGAAACGGGCCCCTCATTCATTGCCAATGGGAATGTCAAATGGCACAGCCTCTTGGGAACACAGGCTGGTGCTTTCCTGTAAAACTACACATGCAGCTTCCATGGGACCCAGTCCTTGCTCTCCTGGGCATTTCCCCACAAGAAATGGAAGCTTATGGTCACTCAAAAGCTGTGCGTGAATGCTCACAGCAACTTTATTTGTAATAGGTAAGAACTGGAGTCTGCCCAGATGTCCTTGAAAGGAGGCGTGGTTAAATAAACCATGTGCATTCACACCATGGGTCACCACTCAGAAGTAAGAAGGAGTGAACTGTGGGTGTGCACAATAACCTGCATGGGCGTCCAGAGAATTCTACTCGGTGTAAAAGGCCAGTGTGTGGCTGGGTGCGGTGGCTCATGCCTGTAATCCCAGCACTTTGGGAGGCTGAGGCGGGGGGATCACCTGAGGTCAGGAGTTCAAGACCAGCCTGGCCAACATGAAGAAACCCCGTTTCTACAAAAATAGAAAAAAATTAGCCAGGCGTGGTGGTGCATGTCTGTAATCCCAGCTACTCGGGAGGCTGAGGCAGGAGAATCGCTGGAATCCAGGAGGCAGAGGTTGCAGTGAGCCAAGATTGCACCATTGCACTCCAGCCTGGGCAACAGAGCGAGACTCCGTCTCAAACAACAACAACAAAAACAACTCAGGGTGTGTGCCGTGTAACGGTGCACACACACAACGTATGTACCATATAATCCCACTTTATAACATTTTGAAATGACAAAACTCTAGAAGCAGAAGACAGATTAGGCCTCTGGATTAGTGGTAGCCCTGGTTTAGGATGGGCTGAGGCAGAGGAGGAGGCTCAGGGAGGAGGAGCGGGAGGAGGGTGGGATGGGCAGCAGGTGTGGTTATGAAAGGTCGGGATGAGGGATCCTTGTGGGGCTGGAGCGGTTCAGGATCCTGACTGAGAGTGGACAGTTGATGTCAATTCCCCTCAAATTTATTTGTAGATTTGATACAATTCCCATCAAAATCCAAGAAAGGTTTTTTTTGGTAAACATAAACAAGCTTACTCTAAAACTTATATAGAAATGCTCAGGCTGTTGAATAGCTAAAACAATTTTAATTTATATAATTATATAAACCTGAACACACACACGTGCATAATGAGTATGAGCAAGGCTATGTAGGTTTGGTTGATTTATCAATGCCGTTATCCTGGTGATGTTACCTCTGCTGTTTTGCAGAATGTTGCCATTGCGGGATGCTGGGGTAGGTGACGAGGAGTCTCTCTGGCATTTCTCAGAACTGCATGTCACACTCCCATGACAGCGACGTGCTCACCTCAGCAGATGTTGTGGAAGCAACGTGCTGCCGGCCCCATTGTGGAACTCTGGGTCTCGGACTCCTGGGTTCCAGCTCTAGGACACTCCAGCTGCCCTCCCCTGAGACATGGGGCTGATCCCAGTACCCTCCTGCTAGGATGGCAGTGCGGGTCCTCCCGAGCCATTGTTTGCGAGGCATGGAGAATAGCAGGATGCACATTGGGCTTGCAGGTGTGGAGGACCAGGGATGCTGCGCCCAGCCAACTGGCTGTGGAATGAGGAGAAATGGCTCCCCCAGGACACGTGAGGCTCATGTCCTCACCCCAGGGGAGGGACAGGCAGCTTTGTGTCTCCCTCCTGCAGGGACACGTGAGGCTCACGTCCTCACCCCAGGGGAGGGACAGGCAGCTTTGTGCCTCCCTCCTGGCTTCCCTGGAGTGTGGCCCAGTCATTCTGAGACAAGACTCTTGTGTCCCTCCTGGACACCCTCCTAACTGTCCTAACTGGAACATCCTGGAATTTTCCATGCCCTTTCACGGCCGCTCAGGTCGATTTCCTCAGGTGCCCAGATTTGGGGGGAAGGTCCAGCATCCTCCGGTTTGAGTCCTCCCGTGGGCCTCTCCCTGACCCACACCCACTTCCACGTTTCTGAGTACTCCCGGTAGAAAGTACACAGAGAACCCAGAAAAGGGACTTTGCCTACCTTATCTAGATATTTAATGCAAACAGGAAATTTTGGATTAAATTAGGTTCCCAGCTTCATTGGATATGCACAGCTTGTCTGGGGCAGTCACTGATTGAAGGGCAGCTGCTGGGGCACCGGCTTGTGTGTGTGTGTCGGGGCAGGAGCTGTCTCTGTGTGTGTGTCTGTGTCTCTGTGTGTGTGTCTGTGTCTCTGTGTGTGTGTGTCTGGCAGGTGTGTGTCTCTGTGTATGTGTCTCTCTGTCTCTGCATGTGTGCTCTGTGTGTGTGTCTGTCTCTCTGTGTGTGTATGTGTCTGTGTGGCAGGAGTGTGTCTCTATGTGTGGTGTGTGTGTCTGTGTCTCTGTGTGTCTGTGTGTATCTATATCTCTCTGTGTTTCTGCATGTGTGCTGTGTGGGTGTCTTTGTGTCTCTATGTGTGTGTGTGTCTGTGTGGGGGGTGTGTGTCTCTACGGGTGATGTGTGTGTGTGTCTGTGTGGGGGGTGTGTGTCTCTCTCTGTTTCTGTATGTGTGCTCTGTGTGTATGTCTGTGTCTCTGTGTGCATGTGTCTGTGTGGCAGGTGTGTGTCTGTGTGTGCTTTGTGTGTGTGTGTGTCTGTGTGGTGGGTGTGTGTCTCTTTCTGTTTCTGCATGTGTGCTGCGTGTGTGCGTCTTTGTGTCTCTCAGTGTATGTCTCTGTGTGTGTATATGTCTGTGGTATCTACGTGCATTGCTGGGTTCCGAGCTGATGAAATGAGTCTGGAGAATCTGTCTGAGTCTAGGATGGACCCAGATCACCCAGACAGGGTTGTGTTCGATGAGAAGCAAATTCCTGAAAACAAATGAAGGTGCAAAGAGTTTTCAAAAGCAACCGTTGAGCACAAAGTAAAGGAAGATTCTTTTAATCCTGGTCTGTTGTCGTGCGTCACAAACAGCCCTAGCAATTGCATCTGGGGAGAAGATGCCAGAATACGGCCAGCTTAATAGATGTGAGGGTTGGGAGTTGCTGGGAGAAGTACCCATTTGCCTTTCCCAAGTGTTACACTTTTAGAAAAAGTGCAGTGGTTTTATTTCTGGAATTGGCAGCAGGAACGTGGAAGGCGGGGAGCACTTTAATGCTATATGCTGCATATCAGGTATGTTTTCCCCAGTAATGAGTTTCAATTTGACAGTTCACTTATCTGTGGTTATTAACTATGATTTTGACCCATATGAACAGTGACAAATTGTCTTTAGGGTATATTTGTATTCGCTACCTCACAGGCTAAATTCTAGACACATTTTCCATAATATTTGGTCCAAGCCTGTCTAATCACATGGACTGAGACTCCTGTGATAATAGGTGGCTGTCCCACTCTAATCCCTGGCATGTCATAGGGTAGTTCCAAGTCACGTATGCCATTGTGTTTGGTAATGGAAGGAAAGCGAGTTTCTGAGATGTTTCCTTCCAGCTCCCAGTGCAAGCCAGTTAACCATGTCATTAGAGCAGCTGTGCACATTTCGAGCTGCTTGCCAAATGCCTTTGGAAACCAGGCTTTGAGACGCCTTTGTGACTCTTGTTTGCATGTTTTTTGGCTATGATATCGAGGCATTTGGTTCTGCATCCACGCTGCTGTCTATAGCAGCTCCCTCTCACCACCTTGCATGGGAAGCTCCCAACATGCAGGCAGGGTCCCTGTGGGAAGCATCTTCTCGCCTGGCCAGCATATTGAGGCCGGAAGCTTCGCTGCCAGCAAAGATCAAGTCCATAAACATGAGGTGCAGCCGAGGCCTCTCCCCTTGGCGCGCATGCCTGGCAGGCTGCACAGGCGAGGTGTTCTTTTGACCTTGACCTGCTCCCAGGCACACCTCCCTTCTCTGGCACGCCCCTTCCGGGCATGCCTCTTTTCTCTGGCACGCCCCTGGGACTCTTTCTCTTCCTGCACCTGCTTGCCCTCTCTGAGACTTTCGGTGGACTTTCCCTGCACTCTGTGCTTTCTCTGACTTTATCAGCCCCATCCTGTGCCTTTATCATGGAGTTGCCCACTCTGGTGCATGGCCCACCCTCAGTCACTATAGGGAAAAGCCATGGGCTGTTGAAAGCTTCCTTCCAGATTCCACCTAAGGCTTCGCATCTCCAGGCTCCATTCCACTTTCACCCAGAGTCCAAGTTCCAGCTACACCTTCCACTCTTGACTCTGGATTTTTACCCCTGGAACCTGAGGAAGGATTCACCTTCCCAGGTTGATGTCAGCTCTATCCTTGGGTGCTCAGATGTTCACCCTCTGCCCACTGATCCCCCTGGCTGTGCTTGGGGGCACTGAGGCCAAACCCTTGGGTCAGCTCATGGAGCTGGCGCTCATGAAGGCCCCATGTACCAGTCGTGAGGCCTCAATGCCTGTGCAGTTGGACTTCCCTGGAGACGTGTGTCCTGCTGTATGCTTCATTGTTCTCTTTCCAACAAGGCAGGTGATAGCAGAACCATCAGTATGTCACGGCTTTAATTTCAAAGCAAAAGTATTTCCTATGGGCACAGGAGACTTCTTCTTCCAGTGCTTTGGGAAAAACCATAAGTGGGCATGTTTGGATTTGGCCCCCACCCCATATGAAGCTCTCACCATCTCCTGTTTTCCCTCCAGCACGGTGCCAACCCCCCACATGCCTGTTACTTCCCTAGAAACTTGGAATAGAAACAAGCTATTTTCTAAAGATGTGTTGGTTCTCTTAGCAAATCCAGCATTGGGACTCCTGATCAAACAGCTGTGTGTGTCTGCATCTGAGCGTGTTCCTCTCTGCATTCCTGTCTGCCATGGTCATCTCAGTACCCATAATCCATGGTGTGTAACGAATCACTCCAACACATAGGTTTAACACTGAGGTAAAGCAGCAGGCAGGTTTTTTTCTAACAATTATGTGCTCAGCAATTTGGGCTGGGCTCAGTTGGATGGTTCTTCTGCTGGTCTTATCTGGGGTCACTTTCTGACTATAGTCATCTGGTGGCTTGACGGGCAGTTGGTGCTGGCATTGGCTGTGTGGCCTTCCACTCCAGAGCCGTGGTCCATGGGAAACAGAGTGAATCTTTCAAACTCTTGAGACCTCATCTCAGAGGTCGCCAGGCTTTGCTTCTGCAGCTTTCTGCTGGTTCAAAGCATGTCACAAGGCTGGCTCAGATCCCGAAGGCAGGAAGGGGGCATTGGGGCAGGGATGAGATGATTCACTATGGCCATCCTTGTGTTTTGCAGACAGGTGGAGGGATACTGGCCAGAGCTGGCCTTGCCCTATTTCTGTTTCAGGGAGGAAGGTGACAGGTTCTAGGGGGCATGCACGGGGAGTTCAGGAAGGAGAGGAAATAAAAAAACCTCCCTCAAGGAGAGAGAGAGAGAGAGACGGATGCGAAGGAGTGACAGAAGCATGTGCATCAAGCCACCAGTGTGTTGTCTTCCACTAACCAGACTGGCAAAGATGATGAAGTGTGGGAACAGTCGGTACTGACGAGGATACGGCACCACACACTCTCAGCTCTGCTTGCGATCCTGTGGGCAGGGCTTCCTGTGTGGAAGGAAATGTGCTGACAACTTAGAATGTGAAACTTCCTTGATGTAGCAGCCTAGTGTTGGGATTGGCCTTGGGATGAATCACACAGGAGTGCAGCATCTTATGTGTGAGGCAGCATTTCAATAGCAGGGAGGCAGGGGAGAGCCACCTGTCCACTGGCGGGCTAGGTGAATGAAATATGCTTTAGCCATGCCATAGAGTTCTGCACAGATATTAAAAAGAATATCTATTAGTACTGATAAGTACTGGTGAGATCACCAATATTAAAAGTATTAAGATGAACTTATTCAGTGAAAAAGTATATAATATGCTCTAAAATGGTATGGGCACATGCAGGCTTGGCTTTCTGTCAACATGGCTGACAGGTGCCAGGGGCTGTGGCTGTCTCTGGGGACAATGGCAGGGGACAGGGGTGGAGGGAGACCTGCTTTTTGTGATATCTGCTTTTGTGCTGTTGAGATTCTTTTATTTATTTATTTATTTTTTTTTAGGATTTTTTTTTTTTATTATACTCTAAGTTTTAGGGTACATGTGCACATTGTGCAGGTTAGTTACATATGTATACATGTGCCATGCTGGTGCGCTGCACCCACTAACGTGTCATCTAGCATTAGGTATATCTCCCAATGCTATCCCTCCCCCCTCCCCCGACCCCACCACAGTCCCCAGAGTGTGATATTCCCCTTCCTGTGTCCATGTGATCTCATTGTTCAATTCCCACCTATGAGTGAGAATATGCGGTGTTTGGTTTTTTGTTCTTGCGATAGTTTACTGAGAATGATGGTTTCCAATTTCATCCATGTCCCTACAAAGGACATGAACTCATCATTTTTTATGGCTGCATAGTATTCCATGGTGTATATGTGCCACATTTTCTTAATCCAGTCTATCATTGTTGGACATTTGGGTTGGTTCCAAGTCTTTGCTATTGTGAATAGTGCCGCAATAAACATACGTGTGCATGTGTCTTTATAGCAGCATGATTTACAGTCCTTTGGGTATATACCCAGTAATGGGATGGCTGGGTCAAATGGTATTTCTAGTTCTAGATCCCTGAGGAATCGCCACACTGACTTCCACAATGGTTGAACTAGTTTACAGTCCCACCAACAGTGTAAAAGTGTTCCTATTTCTCCACATCCTCTCCAGCACCTGTTGTTTCCTGACTTTTTAATGATTGCCATTCTAACTGGTGTGAGATGATATCTCATAGTGGTTTTGATTTGCATTTCTCTGATGGCCAGTGATGATGAGCATTTCTTCATGTGTTTTTTGGCTGCATAAATGTCTTCTTGTGAGAAGTGTCTGTTCATGTCCTTCGCCCACTTTTTGATGGGGTTGTTTGTTTTTTTCTTGTAAATTTGTTTGAGTTCATTGTAGATTCTGGATATTAGCCCTTTGTCAGATGAGTAGGTTGCGAAAATTTTCTCCCATGTTGTAGGTTGCCTGTTCACTCTGATGGTAGTTTCTTTTGCTGTGCAGAAGCTCTTTAGTTTAATTAGATCCCATTTGTCAATTTTGGCTTTTGTTGCCATTGCTTTTGGTGTTTTGGACATGAAGTCCTTGCCCACGCCTATGTCCTGAATGGTAATGCCTAGGTTTTCTTCTAGGGTTTTTATGGTTTTAGGTCTAACGTTTAAATCTTTAATCCATCTTGAATTGATTTTTGTATAAGGTGTAAGGAAGGGATCCAGTTTCAGCTTTCTACGTATGGCTAGCCAGTTTTCCCAGCACCATTTATTAAATAGGGAATCCTTTCCCCATTGCTTGTTTTTCTCAGGTTTGTCAAAGATCAGATGGTTGTAGATATGCGGCATTATTTCTGAGGGCTCTGTTCTGTTCCATTGATCTATATCTCTGTTTTGGTACCAGTACCATGCTGTTTTGGTTACTGTAGCCTTGTAGTATAGTTTGAAGTCCGGTAGTGTGATGCCTCCAGCTTTGTTCTTTTGGCTTAGGATTGACTTGGTGATGCGGGCTCTTTTTTGGTTCCATATGAACTTTAAAGTAGTTTTTTCCAATTCTGTGAAGAAAGTCATTGGTAGCTTGATGGGGATGGCATTGAATCTGTAAATTACCTTGGGCAGTATGGCCATTCTCACGATAGAGATTCTTTTAAAGTAATGTACACACATGGCTAAATGCAAAAAGACAGTGGGGCAGGGAATGAGTTTGCTTTTGCTGAACTTTACATTGACTAATAAAGGCACCCTTAGACAAATATGTTGTCATCTATTTCGAAGACATGGCTAAGCCAAAGAATGTGACACAGCAGAAAAGAGGAAACAGACTTTCTCCCCCAAGAAGGCTTCTGGTGGGCAGGAAGATCCAGAAATTGCAAAGAACCTCCATGCCCTCTTCTCAGGAATGCACAGGTGGGTGCTAGCCGAGACCACCAGGACCAAGTGATATGTCCCGGGAACTGGGGATCTAAAAGAGAAGAGGAATCTGTGGATAACTCAGGCCATGGTGGGGGCCCATCCCGGTGGGGACAGAGTGGGGACAGAACACAGAACAAACCCACCCCCGAGGGCTGGCAGCACCGGGACCCAGGAGGGTGTGTAGTGGATGGGATGGAGGTGCCGTGTGCTCAGGATTATTAGGGGCTGTGCCACAGGCTCCTTTCCCTGTCCTCTGGTGGCTACATGTGTGCGTCCTCTGTAACTATCTTGCATTTTGGAGAGAAATCCACAGTACGGGAATTGAAAGGAAATAACCTGGCATCACAGAAGAAAGAACCTCCTTCTAGAAATTAGACCTTGTCAAAGAGCAGAGGCACCTGGGTCATGGTTTCCAAATGCCTTTTCTCGCTGAAGGAACCAGGGCCGGCTCCAGACCCCCACTGTGGGAAGCCTGCAAAGTGGGCCTGGAACAGCCAGTTGTGCCAGAGCAAGTCTCAAAGTATCACCACAGGCTGCTCGGTGCAGGTGCCTTCAGGATTGAGAAGGTGGAAGACGAGCCACAACCCAGTGACAAGGCACGACACCCCTGGTTGGGGAGCTGGCCCCGTGTGGGTGCCCTGGGCAGGATGCAGCACCTGCGACAGCTTTCTCTCAACATGGGAAGCAACCAGGCGTTTCCAAATGAGGTACCTCCAGCAAAGCAACTGGGCTGGACCTTTCAAAACAGCAACAGGTAAATAACAGCAATACAAAGTGGAAGCTGTTCCACGCTAAAGGAGACTGGAGACACTATGACTAAATGCAGCGTGCAACTATTCACTGGGTCACCTGCATTAAAAGAAACCTGCCAAGGACATTATGGGATAATTGAGGATATTTAAATAAGGACTGCACATTTGAATCTTCAATAATTGTGCTGATTGTTATGCAGGCTCTTGTTTTTAGGAGATAGAGGAGAAGCTGAAGTGTGTGGGTGTGGGGGACCCTGAGGTCTGCAAGCAGCTGTCACATTCCAACACCACACCCCGCTTCGAGTGTGCATGCACAGCCCCGGGGCTCCTCGCGTAAAAGTGCACGCAGTGCTCGGATTGTCATTAGAAGTGTTTGGAGGTGGGACTTGAAGCCCCTGAACCCTGTGTCATCCCAGCCAGAAGGAGTGTGTCTGAGTGACCTAGGGTGGCTGCTGTGTGCAGCTTTCCCAGCCCTGGATGAGCAGGACCCGTTCTTTAGGTGACTGAGCTTTCTCTGTCCTCCGCACTTTACCAACACCCGCTTGCGTACTGCATGGGACAGCCCTTCCCGTGAGCTCTGCGGTGGCACTCTTTGGCTAATGGAGCTGCAGAGCCCAGGCCATGATCTCTCGAGGTTGCCTAAGCATGGGTGGGTGGCTGTGTATGAACGCAGTCCATGTGATCCTCCAGAACTGCTAGTTCTGCCACCTGGGGGCTGTCATCTCCAGAGTGGGGCCGACAGCCAGACACCGATGTACTGAGGCAGGAAAACCGCAGCACTCAGAAGTCCCCACAGCTGGGTGGGTGCAGCCACAGGCCCTGCACACGGTGTGACCTGCGGGGCCAGCAGCACAGCCAGCAGTCCTGGAGCAGCACTGACTCAGGCACAGGGCTCCAGCACATCCCTGCCCCAGCGCCCGCTGCACCTGCCCTTGGCTGGGAGGTGGTGGTTCCCAGCCCTGGCCGGGGAGGGCAGCTCATCTCCATGCTCTGCAGTTTCTCCTTGCATTTCGTCCTCCTATTTCCTAAGTGGATTGATTTAGTCCCAAGGACATGGTTGACTTCCATGCAGGCCTGTGTGACCGGACGAGAGAACCTGCCCTTTTAATCATAAAACCAGGAGACTCTCAGCCCAATCATTGCTTCACTGAACCCAAAATGACCACAGTGAAAAATGCTTATGACTCCTGGTGGGAATAATTCATAAAAGTTTTAAAAACTTCCTCATGGTGTTCTCTAAGCTTCCAATTTTATGTGACAAGGAACAAAAAATGACCTCTGTTGTGCAGCCGTGACTCCTCATCACACGCTGAATCTCAGCAGGGTTTGCTGAAAGATGAGGGAAAACACAGCTGCACGGGGCAGGCAGTACCCCAGCTCCTGGCAATGTCCTCCTCAGTTTCATTACCTGAAGCTGCAATGGCAGTTTTGTTAGGAGAAAGTCCTGGATTCAGAGGCTACAGACTCTTGTGTTCCTGGAGAAATCCACTAAGATGGGTGAATGATGGGGGAAATTAAGAACAACAGAACTATCCAAGGGCCAGTGTCACTGGGCTGTGCTCAGGGCGATCCCATGTGGGATGCATGTCCCTTTGGGGATAGTCAGGTGTGTGGGGGCAGGGAAGGTCTGCACAGGGGCTGCAGGTGGTTGTCTGAGGGCCACAGGGCAGCGAACACCCACTGGAGGGGGTGGGAGGACCTGCCGTGCACCTATGGGTCACCTCTCTCCCACGCTGCCAGGCCTGCCATGGAACTCAAGTGAAGCCTCAAGAACACAGCCTCCCTCCCTCGGAGACATGGCTTTCCACGTGGTCCCTCCAGCTCACACTGCTGCAGGGAGCTAAGATCCCACTGGGCTCCACTGGGCTCACAGCCAGATACAGAGTCTCACCAGCTCTCCTCACTGGTGTCCTGATGGGAAGCATTCAGTGCCTGTGGTCCACGACTGGGGGCCCCAAAGACATCCCCCTCCTCCTCCCCGGAACCTGGAAACATGGAAATTAAGCTTGCAGATGGGATTGAGGGGTTGATCAGGTGACCTTACGGTAGGGAGATTGTCCTTTGTCATCCAAGGGTCCTTCACAGTGGAAGAGGGGCTTGGAGAGGAGGTTAGAGAGACGGTGGCATGAGAAGGACTCAAGGCAAGGAAGGTCCTCCCCTGGAGCCTCCAGGAGGAGCCAGGCCTGCCGCAAGTCGAGTTAGTCCAGGTCGACTTTGGAGCTGGACCTGCAGAACTCTGGGAAGTCCACACTTGTTGCTCCAGGCACTAAGTCATGGTTGTTTGTACGGAAGCAACGGGAGGCTCATCCAGGGCCCTCAGCAGGAAGTGCTCATGTGAGAGGGCGGCTCTGTGCCCTTTATGCAGAAAATCCCTGAGTTTGGCCCCAACAACAAAAAAAACATGCTTCTTCTTGTGTCCACTCTTCCTGAAAAATTTCTCCTTTCTCTATCTTCCTTTTGCTGGATTGCAGGAGGATGAAAACCTTGATTTGTGATGGCTCTGGCCTCAGTGGGGGACGCGTGAGGCTCCTGGAAGGTGTGGGGGCGGTGATCTTCAAAGTGGGATCAGTGAAGCTTTCTAGGCACCTGCATTCTTCAGTATGTGCACCTGTACTTTAGCACTTCTACTCTCTGAGCAGAGGCCTACGCATCCAGCAGACTCTCAAATGGACTCCCACGTGTGAGGATGAGGCCCTCTGGGGCGGGAGAAGGGCAGGACACATGGCAGCTGGAGGCAGCAGCAAGGATGCAGGTCAAGCCCCAGGGGAAGATGTTCTTGTGGGGCACCCTGGACTGGGAAGGGCAGGGATCCAGAAGGCACCAGGCTTGAGGGCATGGTTGGGGTACCTCCAGAGACAGGGTTTGCCCAGGACCTCTCCACGTGGGCAGGACTGCCTGGGTGCAACTGGAATGCGTGTGGTTTCTCCCATGATGCCGCCTGGCTTCCCGAGTTCCCAAGGACGTGCGTCAGGCAGCCCCTGAGTGGCCTGCCAGGACGGCACTGTAAGGCCATCCTCAGAGACCCTTTCCTTCCAAACACAGTGGGGTACCAGACACAGCTAATCAGACAAATGAAAATTAAACGCTACCGTCATGTTAGAGAAAATTAGCATTGCTGGGGCCCAGAAATAAAGCTGATACCCAAGGCATTGTGTGGGTCGAAGCCCCTGGGAGCAGGCAGAGGTGGCCTGGGGCTTGGATCCAGGGAGTCAAAGGGAGTGTGTGCCCCACCAAGGCGGCGAGGGAGCGGCTCCCAACATACACCAAGGAAGGGGTAGGGCAGGAGGCAGAGCCCAGGCAAGGCTGTGAGTGCCATGTCCAGAGGCACTTTCTCGGAATCTGTGCCTGGGAGGTGGACAGAGGCACCAGGGCTGTGAAACCAGGTGGGGGCTGAATCACTGGTGGGCTTGTTGATCAACCTTGTGATGCCCTCCACGTCTCTGTGAGTCTCAGGCCCCGAGACTGAGCATGAAACTTGCTTCTGGGCCCAGGACCCTGTTTGAGCTGCAGAGGGAGCATGGGAAGAGAGAAGGGAGGAAAATCACGGCCTGATCGAAATCATAGGGAGCCCAAACCAACACAGTAAACACGGGAGGAAAATGAACCACACACAACAGTGAACAACCACGTTTCCAAACACAGACGTGCAAACTGTGAAACACAGCAGCACATGTCCAGGACGCAAGAGTGCAGATGCTGATATGTTTCATGAAAACACAGACGTGCAAACCGTGAAACACAGCAGCACATGTCCAGGATGCAAGAGTGCAGACGCTGACATGTTTCATGACAAACACAGACGGACGTGCAAACCGTGAAACACAGCAGCACATGTCCAGGATGCAAGAGTGCAGATGCCGACCTGTTTCATGACCAGGGAAATGAATAGATGGCTTCACGTCACAGAATCTGCTTCCTCTACTCATCCATCAAAAGGGAGAGAAAAGTGAATATCACTCAACGGGTACAAAAATGCCTTTGAAGAAATCATTACTCATTTACTCTAAGAAATGTTAACAGATGAGGGATAAAAGGGGATTTCCTTACCCTGACAAATATGGAAAACATATTTGATGATGAAATTCCAAAAGCACTCCCATCAAAGTCAGGAGTGAAGAGAGAACGTGTTCTGTCTCCTCTGACCTGGATGTGTCCTGGTGGCTGCAGCTGCTGGCGAGAGCCATGAGCAACAGGCAATCCACCGGCTGGGGAGTCAGAAACCCAGTGACGGTTATTTGAAGACAGCAGGATTGAAAATGCAAACATATCTGCACACCGTTCACACTTAAGAGACTGGCTGGCAAAGTCATTGGGCACAAAAGCAACGTTAAAAACCTGATAGCGCCGGGCATGGTGGCTCACGCCTGCAATCTCAGCGCTTTGGGAGGCCAAGGCAGGCTGATCACGTGAGATGAGTAGTTTGAGACCAGTCTGACCAGTATGGTGAAACCTCATCTCCACTAAAAAATACAAAAATTACCAGGGTGTGGTGGTACACACCTGTAATCCCAGCTACTTGGGAGGCTGAAGCACGAGGATCGCTTGAACCTGGGAGGCAGAGGTTGCAGTGAGTTGAGATCGTGCCACTGCACTCCAGCCTTGGTGACAGAGCAAGACTCTGTCTCAAAAACAAAAAACAAACTTACAAAAAAACCCCTGATAGATTCATTTCCACCGATAATAACCAACTGAAGCAACAGGAGAAAAGGTACCATCCCCAATGGCAACACAAGCTGCAAAGCTCCCACCAACAGATCTAGTAAAAGATGAGCAATGCCCCTCATACAAGAAGATGATGAGGAAACCCATAAATTATAACATTGTCCAAAGACATAAGGAACCCACACATATATGAGAGGTCTATCATGTTGATTGACACAGCGTAAAGATGGCAGCTCTTCTCAGATGAATTTATAAAATCAATGCGATTCCTATCAGAATCCCAAATGATGTTTAATGACACTGACAGCAGATTCTAAAGTTCACTGGATGATAAAAAGCCCAGCCCAGGTGCACCTGAAGAGCGGCGGTGGGGGCTGCCGTGCCCAGCCCAGGCACACCTGAAGAAGGGTGGCGGTGCGGGCTGCCGTGCAGAAAGTCAGTGTTATTCCAGTATCCTGAGCACATGTGCGTGTCCACACCCCTGCAGAATCATAGTCCATGGGGGAGGAGGCAGAGGGTGCAGGCTGACCCTGCCACACAGGGGCTGGGGCTATGATGGGGCTGCCTGGAGAGAAGGGGAACCTGCCGCATAGGCACGTAGGAATACAGATAGAAACAGAAGCCAGTCACAAGAGAACACAACCCAGAAACGCTTGAAAGGCTGAACTGTGAAAAGCCAAACTTGAAAACTTCTGGAAGAAAACAATGGTTAACATTAGGATATGGAAGGGCTTTTTAAATCAGGCAGAAACGGCAGAAACTGAAAAGGAAAACAACGATGAAGTGATAATAGTGAAATGAACGAACATTTATTCAGGGCTTCCTTCATGCCAGGCACTGTTGAAAGCACTTTACAAACACATTGGTTGAATCTTCTCAACAGCCCCATGTGGTCGAGGCAGTGGTGGGACCCCTTTGCAGAGGTGGAAACTGAGGGACGGTGACTTGGCTGAGGAGCAGCTGGTCAGGAGGAGAGCCTGGTTCCCAGCCTGTGTGGCTGCGGACACTCCGCTTCTGACTGCAGTGACAGGAATTTGATTATAATGAATAAAACAAACCAGGAATCAGGCCACCTTCTGTATAACAAAGGATGTCGTGAAGTCTAGGAGAATGTATGTGTGATGCAATGCACGTAACTGAAAATAAATTAGTGTCTAGCATACGATAAAGCCACCCGCGGCAAGACTAGAAATCCTGCAAGGGAGAGGTCACGTGACCACTGGCACACGCAGGGTGCTCAGCCTCTCCGGACGCCAAGAAACATCGCGGAAAACAATCATGGGAAACCGTCTCCTACCCACGTGACTGGCAGAAATTATGGTCTGACAATAAGAAAAGGTGGAGATTTATTTTATTTTTAAACAGTTTTAGTAGTAAACGATATACAAAAACTGTGTGTATTTAATGTATATAATGTGATGGGTTTAAACATGTGTACACACCTGTGAAGCCGTCCCCCTCCCTACAATCCAGGTAATAAACGCACTCACCTGTGAAGCCATCCCCCACCCCTACAATCCAGGTAATAAACGCAGTCACCTGTGAAGCCGTCCCCCACCCCTACAATCCAGGTAATAAACGCACTCACCTGTGAAGCCGTCCCCCACCCCTACAATCCAGGTAATAAACGCACTCACCTGTGAAGCCATCCCCCACCCCTACAATCCAGGTAATAAACGCACTCACCTGTGAAGCCGTCCCCCACCCCTACAATCCAGGTAATAAACGCACTCACCTGTGAAGCCGTCCCCCACCCCTACAATCCAGGTAATAAACGCACTCACCTGTGAAGCCATCCTCCACCCCTACAATCCAGGTAATAAACGCACTCACCTGTGAAGCCGTCCCCCATCCCTACAATCCAGGTAATAAACGCACTCACCTGTGAAGCCATCCCCCACCCCTACAATCCAGGTAATAAACGCACTCACCTGTGAAGCCGTCCCCCACCCCTACAATCCAGGTAATAAATGCACTCACCTGTGAAGCCGTCCCCCTCCCTACAATCCAGGTAATAAACGCACTCACCTGTGAAGCCGTCCCCCACCCCTACAATCCAGGTAATAAACGCACTCACCTGTGAAGCCGTCCTCCACCCCTACAATCCAGGTAATAAACGCACTCACCTGTGAAGCCGTCCCCCACCCCTACAATCCAGGTAATAAACGCACTCACCTGTGAAGCCGTCCCCCACCCCTACAATCCAGGTAATAAATGCACTCACCTGTGAAGCCGTCCCCCTCCCTACAATCCAGGTAATAAACGCACTCACCTGTGAAGCCGTACCCATTCCCCACAATCCAGGTAGTAAACACACTCACCTGTGAAGCCGTACCCCTCCCTACAATCAGGTAATAAACGCACTCACCTGTGAAGCCGTCCCCATCCCTACAATCCAGGTAATAAACCCACTTATCGCCTCCGAAAGGTTCTTCTTGCTCTCTTGTCCCTTTTTTTGTGGTGAAAACAAGTTTTGAGATCTCCTGTCTGAGAGCTTTTCAGTGTACACTGCAGCGTTGTTAGCTATGGGTACCATGTTGCTCACAGATCTCTAGAAGGTAAAATGACGCAGCTGCTATGGAAGAGAGGACCGAGAATCCTCAAAAAATGAAACATCGAAGCAACCTATGACCCCAACCCCACTGCTGGGTATATACCTTACAGATTGAAAATCAGGCTTCCTTCCTTCCTTCCTTCCCTTTTTTCCGTGTTCCGGTGCTTTGCTCTGGGAGGAGGTGAGGTCGTGTAGTCTAACAATGAGGGCCGAAGCTGTGTCCGGCCGGGGCCTCCATTAGGGGTCTTGGAAGTGTGGACCATAGGGTCACTGGGTCACCAGCTCAGATTGTTGCCACTGACAAAGGGACGGCTTTCCTCAGAGGGCCCTCGTGCCGTCTCTCTGAAGGGTGGCGTCCACTGGGCCTGGGGTTCTGCCTTGTCTTCTGCAGCGTATCACTCCCAGGGGCGTTTTGTCTCTGGCTCCCAGGGGCCTTTTGTCGCTGGCACCCCTGCAGGTCCTTGCAGCCTGCACACCCTGAGGCCCGCACGTTGCAGGTCGACCTGCATCTCTCTGTCCCCCCAGAATGCAAGTGCTGCCGAGGTAGCTCCATGTCCCCTGTCCGCATGAGCAGAGGGACGCCTTCCACCTGGCAGCTGTCTCCTCAGACCTCTGTGCAGCCCTTCCCTTTCCTAGACAAGCAGAAGGTGGAGCAAGTCACCTGCAGGGTTCCGGGCCATCGGCAGGGGGGACACAGAGTGTCAGGGCTGCCTTCATGTGGCTGACCTCATGGTCTGGCTGTGGCATAAGGAGAGATGAGACGGAGGACAAGCCATGCTTTGCAGCTGCCACAGAAGGACTCCCCGCCCTGAGCCTCAGCCCTGGTTCCAGCACAGCCTTCCAGAGAGCTCTTCTGGCAAAAGAGCAGCTCCGCAGCCAAGCAGATCCTGGAACATTCTAGTCCTCCTGGGGCCTCTCCCCCTCCACACCACTGTTCCCAGCATCTTTCCAGCCTGGATGTCCCCCGCAACGTTGGTGCAAGCCTGTCCCTTCCTCAGACCAGCAGCCCTTAGAACCATGTGGGACCAATACTGTCTACACCCTCCGCTGTGATGAGACGCAGAGTTTAATGGACTACCAAGGCCACGGGCTGGGGGAGTTTGGAGGCTTGGCCTTCCCTATGGTGGTAACCATTGACCCACAGGCCAATGACCAGCAAAGGGCTTGTACCTGCCTACTCCAAGATGTCCATCCAGTTATTCACGTGGGGATTGAGGCATGGCTGTTGGGTCTGTCCAGGGACCCACTGGACACCCTGTGATCCAGGCCTGAGCCAGAACTCCACGAGTCACCTGGCTTCTATGTGCCCTCTCTAATCTGGGGGCCGTGACAACTTTTCATGTCTCTGGGCATCCTTGGCAACTCAGACCCTGTGTCTAGCAGTCCTTGAATGTCTGGGGACCCCACCCTGGTGTCCGGCTGGCTAAGTGGCCACACAGCTCCTTCTGGGGAAGGATTAGGGGACCCTCACACGGATCCTTGTTGCAGGGTCCTTTCTCCTGGGCAAGGGGTTGTGGTTTTGGACTGAGGCCACTGATCCCTGGTTGTTTCAGCTCACCGCAGGGCAGCCCTGAGGGGCTGGTGTCCAGAGCTCCCCAGGAGACTGACTGAAGCCCTGTGTCCCTGCACCGCCCTGGACTTCTTCCTGTGCCCTTCCCTCCGCCCCTCCCCACAGATATCGATCCAGATAAATACCCTGAGCTGTCCTGCATACAAAGTCCAGCTCCACATCTGCTCCTGGGGGTGCCACCTGTGACACCTGCTTACAGAGACAGGGGAAGGGGCTCATCTCAGGCTGGCATCCTCCAGAGCCAAGGATTTGGGGACCAGTGCTTTCTCAAGGAGGTGCTCATGGGAGCCAGGAACGGGAGGAAAGCAGTCCTGGCTGGAGCGGGGAGCCCAGACTCCGCCTGATCCAGTGGGGGCTTCCGGGCCTCAGTGGCTCTTCAGAAGTCTATCTTGCCCCAGGCCTGGGCGTGGGGCTGTTGGTCCCAGGTTAACCCAGTACCATAGGGGGAAGCAGTGGCACCAGTGCTCAAGGGCAGCCTCCAAAGGCCAGGTGGTGCCTGCAGGCTGAGTCTGCAGAGGCTGATGGATGGGCGCACGGTGCTGGAGGAAGATTGTCTGGGAAGTAGGCACCAGCCAGTGCACTATAGGGGCACAGGTCATTGCAGAGTTCGGGACTATTTGTGTTCCTATCACCTCACACATTTGCCTTGACTTGAGTCAAGAGGAGGACCATAAGTCCTGTGAAAAAAGGTAGAAATGAGATTTCTCAAAACAAATGAATCAGTGCTCTGCGGGGAAGGCTTGGTGAGATCTTTACATCTGAAAAACAGCTGGCGCAGGCCACAAAGCTGGTGCTGCCCTGGTAAGGCCTCTGGGAGACTGCGCGACCATGGTTCAGACCAAAGCCGATGATTCAGCCCAGTGATCTGCAGCTGGTGGGTTCGGGTTAGGATCACCTGTGTGGTCACATGTGGATAAAAATGGAGAAACGTAATCACTCTGCTTCTGTTTCATGTATTCTTCTCTTTCTTTGGAAAACATCCCAAACTCAGTCTCCACAGAACCCGCCACAGGGACTGCGTGGGAAGTGTGTGGTGTAGCTGAGGAAGGGGACAGGGAACCCAGCTCAGGATTTGGCCAAGTGATTCTTCCCCAAGCTCCTGGCTCTGCCTTAACTGCCTAGAAGTACATCAGGACTGTAACAAGTTCATCATGGGAGAGGTTTGACCACCAGGTAATATTCCCTGTGGGCAGGGCTCCTGGGTCCATTTTGATGGGTCTGTGGTTAGAGTTGACCTGGCAGCTTTGAGAAGGAGAGACTTGTCTGTGCATGAACAAGAGGAAGGACTGATGTTGAAGTGGTGGTGCCATTCCCATCAGCTGTTCTATTCCACAGGGCCCAGTAGACCCACGGCCCTGTGTTAGGTCTGGCCAGCTGGCACGGTCACCTACTTCTGACTTTTTCCAAGACTGCAGCCAAAGGATGGTATCTCTGAAGGCAAAAATATGGCTTGCTGAAAATGTCCATCTTCAGTGAATGAGATCTGATTTTTTTCCTAGGAAGATTTTTGAAATCTAGATGGAACCTTCTCCAAACAGGCAGAAACAGTCCAGCCTCCAGGTAATCTGCTGAGTGATGCTGTCATTCCGGAGCACAGGCGAGCTTGTGGGCACTGCACCTGTGACGTGTCATCCCCAGCACAAGAATGCCATCACCCTGAACAGCACTGGAGAAACTGAAGCTGCGGGGAGATGCTGTGGGAGGGAGCAGGTGCCAGGGCAGCCCTCCTGTGTTGGGGCTTTCTGTGAAGCAGGAAAGGGCTGTGTTTACGACGTGGTGGAGGGAGAGCTGCTGTGGGCAGGTAAGGCCTCCACCCAGGAAGTCAGGAAGATCATGGATGGAAAGGGCTGTCCCAACGGCCCCCAATTCCCACGCACAGCTTGAAAGCTAGGCTGCACCAGTGCCCTTGGAGATGCTGCAGCTTGTTCCTGGAAGTCAGCAGTCCTGCCCAGGAAATGTGTGTGTGCACAGCTCACCCCCAAAGACCACGGCTCTGCGGGAGGACCCTGGGGGTCGAGGTCTCCACCTCCTAAGGGCAGTGGTGAGACACACACCTGTTCATGTTGGCTGACATCGAGTGTGTTACCTCTGAGCACTAGCGTGTCTCATGGGCGATATCCACTTCCTGCATTCTTAAAGATGAGTTGGTTGGCTGCAGTGTTGAAGTTTCCCAAGGTTTTAGATCGGAGAGAAAGCAGTTATGACCCAGCAAGTACTAATGTTAATAATAGTCTCCACGGAGTGCTGTGGCAGCAGGAGCCGCAGTGAGAGGCAACCCAGCAGTGAAGGAAGAGGGAGCCACTTGGGGAACCGTGTGGTTCAGAGATGCCCGGGTAGAAAAGGACCAGAAAAGGGCTCCCTGGGCTACACGGCCGGAGCTCCCTGGCAACCCTGGAGTGGAAGGGCAGGAACCAGCCTGCAGTGGACGGAGGCGCCAGGAGGTGGTGAGAAGTGAAAACGAGAACCTGGGCCACTTTCCAGGCTCTGCTGCTTGGGGAGGAGAGAAGCTCGAGAGCTCCAGGTTCACAGAGGATGCCTTCAGTACGGGAGAAGCTCCAGCAAGTTTGCTTGTGAACGGAAAAGAGCCGTGAGCTACGGGGTGATGAAAACACAGAATCAGCAGAGAGTTTTGGGCTCCTGAGGTCCTCGGAGCTAAGGAGAGGGGCTCAGGACAGGACGGAAGGTCAGCTTTGGCCAGGGAGCAGACTCTGCCCTCCCGAGGAGCAGGGACAGGGGTGGCCCAGGCATGTGGAAGTGCAGGTCGCGGTGGAGGAGAGGAAAGTAATACGGAAGGAGCTCTTGTCCAGAGGCCGCTGTTGGCCATTTGTAGTTTTGGGGTAATTTTTGCAGAGGAGGGGGAGTGGGTCGTGCAGGAGCTGGAGAGAGTGGTGTGACTGGAAGCAGCCCCAGCAGGTGCAGGAGACACACCCGCAGGGTGTGGCCCAGGGGGGTCTGCAGAGGGGCAGCTGCCGGGGCAGCAACCTGGGGGGAACAGTTCTCTCAACCTGGGCTGGGTCCCGGGAGCAGGGGTTGGGGGGGGGCATCTGCAGGGCGGGGCCACCATGGAGATAGGGGAGGGTGGCAGGAAAGTACCCCAGTGGTGAGCTGGCGGTCTCGGTGTGCTAGGAAGGAGGAGGGGGAGGGAGGGGCCGTGGATGCTGGAAGATGGAGGGAGGGGCAGAGAAGCTGGGGCGCAGAGGCTGCAGTGTGGCAGTGAGTGAAGAAGAGGGGCTCACGGACAGAGGGTGGTGCAGGCTTACCACATCCGAAGGTGCCCTTCCTGGCATCCTAGGCAGTAGACAGCACTGCTCAGGCCCACTGCACATCAGCATCATCCAGGAGGTTTGGAAAATCGCATGCTGGAGCCTGTTCTGAACCAATTAAATTAAATTAGAGCCTCGTGTGCCCAGGCATTGGCATCATTAAAGCTCCCCAGGTAATTTCAGTGGGTGCCCAAGGCCCTGGTCCACTGCCCGGTAAGAATGCTGGGCCTCAGGGGAGAGCGAGTGAGGACATTTGAGATGAGGAGTCAAGCAACTGAGAGACGAGGGCAGGGGTTCTCAAATTCTGGCATCAGAATCACCTGAAGGGCAGACGCAGGGCCCCACCCCCAGGGCACCCTCAGTGGGGCGTGGGATCCTGCATTTCTGGAGGGCTCTGGGTGAGGCAGGTTCTGCCGCTCTGGGGACTCCATATGGAGAACGGTCCCTGGCCTGGGTTGTTGCTTCTCTTGTCCACATGGATGTTTGAGTGCGCACGAGGGGACAGACCTGGATCGTGGCACCCCAGTCCCCAGTGAGTGAGGTGGCATGATGAGGTCAGCATTGGCAGCAGAGAGCGGGGCCCAGGACACGGCTGGGTGGCAGGCACTGATGGGGGTCTCAGGGAGAGGAAAGCAGACCCCGCCTACAGCCTCCGGGCCCTCATGGTCGGCTGTCGGAGTCCGGCTGTCCCTGCTGGCTAGCCCTCATCTGGCAGGATTCGCCCATGAATCTGCAGCCAACTTAACAACTTAAGCCCTTTGTGATAAACGCCTCTAAAATCTCTTTTACTCTCCTTGGAAGTGAGCTGAATATATCAGAATCAGATCAGAAGGATAGGGTCATGCGGGCACACAGAAGGCCTGTGGCGTTTGCATCAGCAACGTGCTAACGCCTGCCCCTCCATCTGCATCAACTGCTGATGAAATTGGCTGAAAATCAGTGTTCTACCGTTACAGGAAAAATAAACCAACTCGTGTGTGTGTGTTGAGTGTGAGAGGGAGTGTGCGAGTGTGTGAGTGCGTGTGAATGTGTGTTGAGAGTGTGTGTGTGAGAGTGTGAGAGTGAGTGTGAGAGTGAGTGTGTGAGTGTGTGAATGTGAGTGTGAGTGTGTGAGCATGAGTGTGAGTGTAAGAGTGTGTGAGAGAGAGTATATGTGAGAGTGTGTGTGATTGGAAGAGGGCATCGCAGTTTTATTGGAAAGTAAATCATCAAAGGTTGTGATGGCTTTAGAACACAGCAATTGGACCCTGTCATTGGGCTCACGCTCACAGAGCAGAGCAGGCCCCCGCCTCTGACGTGGCTGTGAGCAGATCCACCCCTACATGACAGTTCCCGTGGGCTGGCCCAGGACCTGCTGGGCCTGGAGCAGCTACTGCTGCAAGAAGAAATCAAGGAGTGATGGCCACTTGGTGACCCAGGGAGTCAAAGGCCAAACTCACTCTCTCAATAAGAAGCAACTGCAGGAGCATTTGAATTTGAAGTGGCCAAACCTCCACGTGTGGGCTACACACCAGGGTCCAGCTCCTGGAGGTGATTTCCAGAGGTGGTCCTGAGCTGAGAGCCAGGGTCAGGGGGCAGCAGGAAGGAAAGGGGCCCAAGACAGGCACGCATGTGACTGGGATGACAACGTGCGTGACCACGCAAGGGCCCAGGATGGCGGCATGTGTGACTGACTGTGCGGGGCTGAGCTGGGGCTGGGAGCTGTCGGCCACTCAGTGAGGCTGGGCGTGGAGTCAGGGGCTCGCTGGGAGGCAGCAGGACAGTGGAGAACTTTGCTCAAGGGAGCAGTGGGCTTAGACTCCCACTGCAGGCCGGCCCCACTGGCTACAGCCGAGAAGGAGACGGACGGTGCTCGTGCAGAGGCGCGGGCTGTTGGGGAGTCCAGCGGTGGGGTGAGGAAATCGCCAGGTTCCAGGTGTCTTCCGGCAGGAGTCCGTGGGGCCTGGTGCCTATTTAGATAGTTTGCTAATGGGGACATCAGGGATGACCTGGGTTTTCTAGTTGGCCAGCTGAGCGAGGACATCGTCACTGAAGGAAGAGTGGGCAGCACGAAACACATGTGTAGAGAGGACGCCAGGTGTGCTGGGGCCATGCTGGGCCCGAGACCATCTGAGCACAGATGTCCACCAGGCTGTCGGACCCAGGGCTTTGGTGCTCAGGAAAGCAGCTGCTGCTGGAGAAGCTCGGGCCTTCTGCGGATGGACGTTGAAGCCGTAGGTGCCTGGGAGCCTCTGTGGGCTCCTGGTGGCGCTGGGGAGCCACGCTGATGGGTGGCAGGCAGGCCTCGGAGGTGGGAACGCCTTGTGAATAGGCACTTTGCCTGGGAGGTGGGGGCAGGTGGGCAGAGCCCTGCTGGAGAATGAGGGTGAGGGCCAGTGGGCCCTGCCAGGGGCAGAGAGCACCACGCTGAGAACTGTGGGGGCCACGGGGACGTGTGTCAAAGCCCAATGTGCATGGGGGAGGCAGAGCTTGAGCTGAGGCGGGGGGTGGACAGGGACGCTGAAATGGGGCAGGGATGGGTTCGCAGGCATGTGGGGTGTGGGTGGGAGCTGGAGGCACGACCCGCAGGATGTGGTGGGGTGGGGGTGGGGGATTAGCAAATGCAGGGCTTCCTAGTCCAGCTCAGTGCATGGAATAAGCCTCTTTCAAAAGGGAAGGAAGTGTCTTTATTGGGTGTGTGGAGAAAGTAGGAACAGGACACCGCGGACTCATCCCCTCATCACAGGAGGCTTCTCACAGGCTCTGCCCCTGTCCTTACAACAGAAGGGCTGTGTGTGCACATGATGTGTGTCAGTGGGGTGTGTGCATGGATGTATGTGTGCATGTTTGTATAGATGTGTGACAGTATGTGTGTGTTCACGTGTGTATATGTGTGAGTGTGCATTGGTGTCAGTAGGAATGTGTGTATACATATGTGTACATGTGTGGCATGTATGTGTACATATGTGGTGCATGTGTTCATGTGTATTTGTGCCAGTAGGAATGTGTGTATACATATGTGTACATGTGTGATGTGTATGTGTATATATGTGGTGCATGTGTGCATGTGTGTTTGTCTATGTGTGTGGTCAATGGGGTGTGGATGTGTGTGTGTTTGTATATTTGTGCATGAGTGGTGTGTGTGCATGCATGTGTTTTTGTGTAGGTGTGTGGTTAATGGGGTTGCATGTGTGTGTGCATGCATGTGTGTGTTTTGTGTGTGAGTGGTGTGTGCACTGTATATTTGTGCATGAGTGGTGTGTGCATGTATGTGTGTGTTTGTGTATGTGTGAGGTTAATGGGATTGCATGTGTTTGCATGCATGCACGCATGTGTGTTTTTGTGTGTGTGTTTGTGAGTGGCATGTACGTGTGTGTATTTTTGTGTGCATATTTGTGCAGGAGTAAGTGGTGTGTGTGCATGCATGTGTGTTTTTGTGTATGTGTGAGGTCAATGAGGTTGCCTGTATGTGTGCATGCGTGCATGTGTGTTTTTGTGTGTATGTGAGTGGCGTGTGCATGTGTGAGCGTGTATTTTTGTGTGCATATTTGTGCATGAGTGAGTGGTGTGTGTGCATGTGTGTGTGTTTTTGTGTGTGAGGTTAATGGGGTTGCGTGTGTGTGCATGCATGCAAGTGTTTTTGTGTGTATGTTTGTGTGTGAGTGGTGTGTGCAGGTGTGAGTGTATTTTTGTGTGCATATTTGCGTGTGAGTGTGTGAATCTTTGTGTGGGTGGTGTGTGTGTATGTGTATGCATTTGTGTGTATGCGTGTGCCTGTGTGTGGCATGCGCATGTGTGGGTGTGTGTTTTTGTGTGCGTATTTGTGTGTGCATATCTTTGTGTGTGAGTGCTGTGTGTGTTAGTGTAGGCATTCGTGTGTATGTGAGTGTGCACCTGTGTGTGCTGGCGGGGAGGTGTTATGTGTCCTTCCTTCCTTCGAAGCTCAGCTGAGGTGTCAGAGTGAATGTCATCAGCTTGACGCCATTCCATAAATCAGAGCCCTTCTCACTGAGACCTGATCATCAGTTCAAAATAGCTTCAGCCAAAACACTCATTACTTATTAGCCTAACCTTGAATCCTGTTTTTGTTTCTGAAGAAATTAAAAAAAAAATCTGTGAATAAAATAATCTGTGACTACATACAGGCTGAAACCGGCTAAAACCTACTTCATTTTGTTTTCCAATTTCAAGAAATGTAGAGAACGGTATAGACTGGGTAAGACATAGCCCCCCACGGAGCGTGGAATTCCCGAGAAGGCCTGAAAGAAGAGGGTCCCCGTGGGGGGTGGGATTAGCTCCAGAGCTGCCCAGGGAAGAGAGGCCGCTGTGTGGCTGCACATGTGTGAAGCTGAGACCGAGGGTCCAGCCGCTCTGAGACAGGAGGTGATGGAGCAGCAGCAGGGGCCTGGGGAGGGTGGACGGGGCGCCAGGGGAGGGGAGGGGAAGGAAGCTGGAAGAAACTTCCAGGGGTCCCTGCAGAGGCACCCCTACTCACCTGCCTGGGAGGTGCAGATAAAGCTGAGCGCCCTGTCCGAGCCCAGCCTGGAGGCCAGGACTGGCTCCTCGGTGACTGGCAGAGCCACACAGGTGAGAGAACAGGAGGGAGGGTGGCTGGAGGTGGAGGGCTGCCGGGCTGGGCTGTGGGGACTGTGATTAACCAGGGAGCAGACCGGCTCCCAGGACGATGGTGTGCTGCCAGAGAAATTCACCAAAATGACCAACTTGCTAAATTTGTTCAATTGAACCAAAAAACAACTTCTAAGGATTATTTGAAGACCATATTCCTTTCCGCTCAATTTAACTGGCATTTTCTTGGTGAGTAGAGCGGTTTTGTCTTCTTTAACTACATTCAGGTACTTCCTCTTCCCAAATGTAGTGATGAGAATGTGTCCATAAGGAAGCAAAAGTACTTAGTGACAGTTTTCAACAAATGGACCATTTCTTACAATTCTTTTAAGAAGCATATATTTATTGAATATATTCAGGAACTGGGGGCGGAGAGAGGAGGGAGAAATAGGGAGAGGGAGAGAGAGAGAGACAGAGAGAGAGAGAGAATGTGTGTACTTCTTCAAGTATGCAAAGTTATCTGGGTTAATTCAGTGAATTGGTCATTAAGCAGATTGATTTTTTTGTGTCCTCTCTCTCTGTCTCTTTTTCTTTTCTTTTCTTTTTCTTTTTCTTTTTTTTTTTTTGAGACGGAGTTTTGCTCTTGTTGCCCAGGCTGGAGTGCAACCGTGCCATATAGGCTCACCGCAACCTCTGCCTCCGGGGTTCAAGCGATTCTCCTGCCTCAGCCTCCCAAGTAGCTGGGATTACAGGTGCCTGCCACCACTCCCAGCTAATTTTTTTTTTTTTTTTTTTTTTTTAGTAGAGACAGGGTTTTGCCATGTTGGTCAGGCTGGTCTTGAACTCCTGACCTCAGGTGATCCACTCACCTTGGCCTCCCAAAGTGCTGGGATTACATGCATGAGCTGCCATGCCCGGCCTCTCTCTCTTTCTTTCCAAGTTTCAGGAATTGGCATAGCAGTGGTTCCAGTGAGGATCTGTGGGGCGTGGGCACATAACAGCAAACACTACACTTACTGTGCCAAGCACATCATGGACACGGCACGTGACCTTGGCCAATCCCGTGAGTCATTCCGCAGAGCAGGTGCCTCAGTCACCCCTTCTCCCTGACACAAACTCAGACTGGGCACTGCCACTGGCTGCTCCCTACTCATGTCTCGGGGGACGCTTCGTGGGCAGTGAGGGCACAGAGGCCTGGCAGATTGGAGAAGGCAGTGGGGCAGAGGGCAGGTGGCGTGGCTGAAAGTGGAGAGTGCCTGGCAGGAATGAGAGCAGGGGCTGGAGGGAGAGAAGGTGCTCGTCCCCAGAGCAGGTGGGATGTCAGACTGTGAATGATTCAGGGTTCTGCCAAGGCAGTGGGTCCTGATGTGCTTTGGGGACAGAGTCCTTGGAGCTGAGGCACGTGCTGCCAGACTTGGGCAGGACAGCCCCGCTGGCAGGTGCCCGGGCTTTCAGCAGGGGAGGGGAGAGGGAAGGCAGGAGCAGGGTCTGAGCCAGCCCTCTCTGAGCCCTTTCCCTTTGACCTTTCATGATTTTACATCTCAGGGACCATTCTAGCAGGGTCACCTAAATGTAGACCCCTGTCTTCCGTGTGCAGTTAATTTTACTCAAATGTCTAAGAACAGCCATCTTGCCAGGACTGTGGTGGCCAGCAGGCAGGGTCACAGGGGATCCACTGTGGGGAAGCCGTCCCTGGCTACTGCTCTCATGAGCTGTCCCTTTTCAAGGCCGTTTTAGTGACTGAGTCATGAGGGGAGCGGAGGCCCCCTACCTCCTGCCTGTGCTGTGGGTTTGTAGGATTTCACCTGACCCCAGACGGAAGGGCCTCTCACAAGGCCCACTGGTGTCTAATGACAGCCCTTCTGCGTCTGTGATAACACAAAGCTGTGATAACACAAACGTGCTCCTGTCTGTCTGGTATTCAGCTCAGGTTAAGTGTCCCTGATCGCATTACTTTATTTTTTTATTTTTTGAGACGGTGTCTAGCTTTGTTGCCCAGGCTGGAGTGCAGGGGCACAATCTCAGCTCACTGCAACCTCTGCTTCCTGATTGCATTACTTTAATTTTCGTGTGAATAATGGCTGGGTGGTTTCTAAGGGCAGACATTTCAAAATCTATGGAGAATAATTTCAGTCTTCAATGAGACTCCATTCTGCATGTGGATCTGGTGGGGGGATTTGGAGTAATTGAATTCAATATGAACACCTATGTGGAAGCCGATGTGGGTGAGGGCTTCCTTTGCCTGAAGGTAGGGGTCTCTGTGGCTGGTCTCTGTGGGGTGCGTCTGACGTTTGCGGGGTTTTTGGGTTCTTGACTCTTGAGTTCTCTCTGGACTTGAGGGTTTCTCGGTCAGGTTTGGCTCTGGGTGCCAGGTATTTGAAAGTCTTGTCTGGGTATCTTGGCAGCTCCTGCAATATGCACCTTATACTCTGAAAAGGCCCAAATTTAGATTTAGAATGTCCAACTGTTCTTTTTTTTCCATTTAAAAATGTTATTTCTTAATTGTCAAATAATAATTGTGCATATTCATGGGTTACATAGTGGTGCTTCAGTATAACTTCTGTATCATGATCAGAGCAGGGTAATTAGCACCTCCTGCAGCTCAAACACCTATGATTTCTTCATGTCGGTCACATTCAATATCCTCCTTCCAGCGACTTGAACTCCGCACCGTGTCCCTGTCACCAGCAGCCATCCCACAGGGCCACGGGACACCAGGACCTCTTCCTCCCAGCCAGAAGCAATGGTGTGTCCTCTAACGAAGCTCTCCCTGCGAAGCAGCAGTTCCTGGGATGAAAGGAGCTCACGCCGGAGGAGGACGTTGATCTGAAGGCCGCAGGTATTTCTGGGCTGCTGGACTCAGTCTGAGCAGGTGGGGTAGTGCGGCTGACTTGTCTTGGGTGGTCTTGCTCAGCAAGTGCCTCTGTGGAATGCTGCTCAGAGACCCCCTCTCTAGGTATAAATTGGCCTCCTCCATGTAGGATGGAGCTCCTGCTCAGGTGTCTCCATAGAGCTTCAGAGAGCCACCTGCAGCTCCCAGCACACGGCAGCATTGCAGCATGGGGCACTCATGCATACGCTTTGTTCTGATCCCACCTCCTACTCCTGGCTCTACAGGATTCCTGCTGCCATCCCCAACAGCCTGCCTTCGCGTTCCCTGGTACTGGATACGGGGAGCTGGGAGCCTCAGGCATGAGAAGCCCTTGCCGTCGGGGCGGGTCTGTCCCGGGAAGGCAGGTCGTGTCTGCCATAGACAGTGCCTCCTGCGGTGTCCCCATCTCCGTGGAAGGGGACCTGGGTGACCAACTCTGTGGCTGGACCAACTGCTCCACAACAGGGGGAGGGGAACCAGTTTCACTGCTCAGCCAGGGCCCACGTTTGCCCTGAATCTGCTCTTGGCCGGGTGCGGGGACCCCAGGGGCCCCCGGCAAGGCGCAGTCTGGAGATGTCCGTGAAAAGAGGCAGTTTCCGTGGGAACAGGGTGGTCAGGAGCCCAAGGAAGCCTCAGCATGCCCTGAGCTGGGGACAGAGGAAAGAGTGGTGGACGCGGGGCTAGGGACCTTGGACCTTGAGCTGGCCATGCACAGACCCAGGTAAGATCATGCTCCAGGGCTCCTGTTCAAGGTGCAGACGGACACTGCTGCTCTGACCTCTGATGTGAGGGTTCACATGTGAAATACGTTGAGTTCTTTGAAACGAAGGTGCTGAATACATTTGCTTACTGTTGATCAGTCCACGTTTTCTACTCAAACCTTAGTGAAATCGTGCTTTCCACCACAGTACTTGCTTAGAAAACAAAAAGGAAGCCTTGAGTGGCTGGAGACAGTCACAGCACCTCACATTTATTGATTGCTCACTGTGGGCCAGGCACCGTGCAAGACCCTTGCAGGTGTGACTTATTAAACCTCACAATCCCTACGAAACAGACACCATTCTTATCCCCATAAGGCTTCGCCCTGGGCCTCTGACATCGACTTGCCCATCTCTGTCCATGAGGCCACTGTTTATGGCGGAAACCATCGCTCACACCTGCCCTCCACCATGATTCTGCAACAGCCCCTTGAATCCGCCCCCACCCTCTGCTTCTCTGTCCTTTCATATGACCGCCTCCAGGCCACACTCTCCTTCCTGGGAGATGCGTCCTTCCTCCCGGATTTCCTGAGTGCCCGGGGGGTTTCTCCCCTCCGAGTGTCCCCAGCACATCACTCTCCTGCGGGGCTTACTGACTCCCGCGTTGCTCTCTAGCTCTGCCCACGGGGACCTCTCTTCTGGGCAGGCAGAAGGCAGGTAATCTCTTTTGTGTAATAACAACACACGTCTAGGTCATGGGTGTCGTGGATAATCCATTTGCATAAAGAAACAAAAATACTGTTCTGCTTGGTTGGATTGACGGTTTAAGTGTGTACAGTTTTGGCTGGGCCCCCGTTCCCCAGCACCGGCTACCCCGCCATGTGCATGGATCACTGCTACAACCACGGCTCCTGCAGAGGCAGATAAATCCTTGGCCAAACTCTTTCCCCTTTCCTCCACCTTATTTCTAGAAGGAGTGGCCCACACTGGCCATTCACAAGGAAGGCAGAGCCGCTGGGCTTCCATGGTGAGCCTGGCTTCTCCATCTTACTTCTAGAAGGAACTTCACATGCTGGCCTCAATATCTTTATTTTTTTTAATTTACTTTTTATTATTATTTTTGAGACAGAGTCTCACTCTATCGCCCAGGCTGGAATGCAGCGGCTCAATCTCGGCTCACTGCAACCTGTTTCCTGGGTTTAAGAAGTTCTTGTTCCTCAGCCTCCCAGGTAGCTGGGATTACAGGTGTGTGTCACCATGGCTGGCTGATTTTTGTACTTTTAGTAGAGATGGGGTTTTGCCATGTTGACCAGGCTGGTTTTGAACTCCTGACCTCAGGCGATCCACCTGCTTCAGCCTCCCAAAGTGCTGGGATTACAGGCGTGAAAGACTGTGCCTGGCAGCCCTCAATATCTTGCAGGCGACGCAAGGCCTGTCTGCAAATGTGAGCCCCACAGCAGAGTCCTTCCCGCCCACGGAGGCCCGGAGTAGCCCTGCATCTTGCTTTGGCCGTTGAGGGTGAGCAAAGGCACTGGGTTCTAATTCTGTGTGGCACTGGGGGCAGTGCCTCCCTCTGCCACAGTGATGGGCGGTTTCAGACAGAGGCTGCTGGGTCTTTCCGGTTCTGGAGTCAGGACAGTGACATGGAGCAAAGCCCAGACCCTCCCAGAACGAGCTCGGCACACACCTGCTGATTTCATTCCCCAGATGTGGGGCATTGTTTGTCTCTGTGCCATAACAGCCTATTCGAACTGTCCCAAATTAGCTGTATAGCCTGCTTTACTCTAAACTAGTAGTCTCTAATTGAACATCCAGTTGATCCTTCAGGGAAGGAAGAGGTCACAGGTTCATTCAGTAGAACTCAGAGCCACCATGGCTGTTCCTGGAGGAGGGAAGAGGGAACCTGGGTTTTCAGTCCCCACCTTCCCCAGGCCCCAGGCGTCAGTGGTTGGAGCGATTGTTCAAGACAGACAGGTGGAGGAGGATTTGCAGCAAGCTCAGCTGCGTGGCAGACTCCCCCGAAAGGGCCAGGCAGACACTGCCTGCTCCAAGGGAGGAAGGAGAGGGAGGCTCTGCACTAAGTGGGTGGGGGGTGTGAGCTGCAGGGGAGTCTCAGCAGGACCCACACCAGCTCCACCTCCACTTCTGCAGGAGACCTCCCCCGAGGGATTATGCTGGGGTGTGGGCTGGGCAGGGCATGCAGGGAGCGCTGGCCATCTGAGCTCTGAGCCACGCCCCTGGACACTAAGGCTTCCTCCATGTACCCTCAAACTCTGCTTGGGTCCAACTGTGCTGAATGACCACAAAGCAGGGCTACCGCACACATTCAGCCTCCTCCAGCAAGGGACACAGAGGCAGGAGGTCCAGGCCTGCTGCACGAGCCCACCACATTCCTTCCTTCCCCTGATAGGATGCTCAGGGTTGGGGCTGGGAATATCAGCTCCACACAGAGCCAGGCAGCCTGTCCTCAATGAGATGTTTCCTCGCCGATGAGTCACTTAAAATGGGGTGACTTGAATCAAGTGTTCTATGGGTAGAGAAAAAAACCCTCGTTTCTGCCCATAACTGTGAATCCATGATCTGAGTTAGGTTTTGTGTTTCTGACCAAAACCGTGAATCCGTGATCTGAGTTGGGTTTTGTGTTTCTGCCCATAACTGTGAATCTGTGATCTGAGTTGGGTTTTGTTTGAGCCACTGGCTTCAGGGGGACATTTTCGCACCTGGAGAGTTTCATGAGCAGAAGTTTTCTCATGAAATCCGCACAGTCCCAGAGGGTGTTACAGGAGGCTGCTCCTTCCAAATGACCCTGAAAGCTAAAAGCAGTAAAGAAAGCCAACTAGACATGGCACTCGAATGTCCACTCACCCACAGCAGTGTGGGTGGCCTTTTCCTTTGGGGTTAAAAGGAGGCAGAGCAAGGTCTCCATGGCTTCCCTTCACTCTGAGTGAAGAAAGTAGGGAGTGAAGTCCACTCAGAGGAGGAATCATCTGATTTCATTTTATTTTTTTAAAGAAAGGAGCACTGGGCTGTGGGTCGAGCCTTGTCTTTGTCTTTGAGGCTTGCTTGGTGGATTTCCAGAAAGACCCCAAGCAGCTGCAGAACCGAGTCTACGTGATCTGCTGGCTTGCTGCTTCACCCGGCAGAGTCCTCCTGTCTCCATGTCTGTGCTAAGCTTTGTGCCTTCAGAGGGAGGGCCAAGGCCAGTCCATACCTGCACAAAGTGTGTAAAGACACATCAGAGGCCTTTTATAGGTGGGCCAGGCTGGGAAGGCGGAGGCAACAGATACAGTCCCATATGCAAAGACAGGTGACATGCAGGAGCACCTCAGGTCTGCTGACAGCATCTTGGAAAGAGCCTGTGGCGTGACCATCAGGTGAGAAAACGGGGAGGAGGTGCTCTGAGGCCTGCAGATGCAGCACATGCCAGAAGCCCCTGCAATCGCCTAAGAAGAGCAGAGCCCCTCAACCTTTCACTTGCAACCAAGGTACCTGGGCATCTTGCCAAAATGCAGAGTCCCATTCTTCACATCCTAAATCTTGCTATTAAGTAAGGCAGATTTCATTTACATCAAATCAAATTGCAAATTTGGTTTCTCTGTGTCCTGGCCGCAGAGCCATGCCTGACTTGGGTGACCACTCTGGACAGTACGGGGATGTTTTGGTCATGGGAGAAAGTTGTGCAGATAGTGGGGCTCTGGCTTGAAGTAAGACAGTGTGTGCAGAGTTGCCATGTCAACTGCAATACCATCTTGTAACTCAAGTATCATAAGAGGGTTTGGATGTAGCTTCATTAAGAGTCAGACCATGGAGGTATGGGAGAAAATTAAAGCAGCTGTTAATTTAATGTGAGTCCATATTCTTGGAGAACTCATTGAAATCAGGACTTCTAATTAATCTCGTCTGTCCCATTGTTTGCTTGAGTAAATGACCACAGTGTAGCAGCGATTGTAATATGGTGCCCTTTCCTGGTTCATGCCTATTGGATCCTGTGCTTTGAGTCTGGAACCTAGAGGAGCTTTTGTTGCCTGCCCGAGTCCATGCAGGGCTGAGTCTAAACCCTGCTCAGACGTGTCCATGCTCCCCCTCTCACTTCCACTCTGTTCCCAGCCTGCCTCTCCTAATCTATGGCAAATCTTTGAGGCTGTTCAGTCTGCTTTCAACTTCTCTCTTCTCAAATCCATCCTCCCCACAGTTGCTCGAAAATTGAAAATTAGTTGTCATCAGACTAACTTTATGATGTACATAATGGACAATGTGATAAAGCAGGAAACAGAAAAACAACTCGTACTGGATGGGAGAAAACCGTCACATTTGCCAGCAATTGGATACCCAGGGAAGCTCAGGAGGATTAAGTGAAAATCGACTGGAGCCACCCTCCTCAACAAAGTTCAGGAAGTTGGCCAGATTGTGCTTAAAATAGGGCATTTTCCTCTAGTGGCAATAGGCAACTAGAAAATGGACAGGACCCAACTGTGGTGACTGCCTGGAGCCGAGGGACACGGCAGGGAGAATGCCCCCATGCCGCTCATTCTCCTGGACTCTGCAGCCAACAGGCTTCTCCGTCTCTGGGGGCAACTCTCTCGGTTCAGGTTTCCTGCTGCTGGGCTGGAGAGGCTTCATCCCAGCCCAAAGGGCCATCCCACCCCTCACCCGAGCCCCCACACATGGGAGCTTTGGTGAGGGGCAATTGGACCATCTCAGTAGCTGCTGCCAGTGGAAGCCACAAACAAACACAGACCTGATTCCAACAGCACCTGCCAGTGAGTTCCCACCAAAGGCAAGATGGCTTCTGCCTCCCAAGTGCTCCTACCTCCCGAGTGCTCCTGCCTCCTAAGTGCTCCTGCTGGCAGCCACACCGTACCCTCTGCCTCCCGCTTCAAGCCCTCCAGTGGCCTGAGTTTAGACCTCCAAGCCTGTGTCAGGCTGGGCTGTGCCCTGAACTGTGTCCCGGCGGCCATTCCCCACCCACACCCAACCACTGCCCACGGCGGCCTGTGCGGGGGGCGCCATCTACCAGGGAGCCGCGCCGATGCTGGAGCAGGCCAGAGGGGCTGGAGAGCTGACACCCCAGGGAGCAGCCTCACAGACGCTGGGGCGGGTGGCTCCGAGGAGCGCTCTGCCTGGTCTCAGGGTCCCCAGTGCACTGCAACCCCGTGGCCCCACTCAGAGCCCCTCCGTGGACTCCCTTCCTCACCCTGTCTCACTGCGCCACTCTCCCGGGGGATCCTGACAGACCCCCTCCCAGGTTACTCACATGCCCTCAACTCCTTGTCTTCAGGTTAGCTTCTGGGTGACCCTTCCTGAGGTGGATGTTTCTCGAAGCGTTTTAGCTTCCAAGCCCCACTATGCAGAGTGGGCTCGGCAAATGCCTTCCTGCAAACACTAGGCCATCGGCTCCTCCATGCCCCAGCCTCAGGGAGTCATTAGATTGTCAGGGCTGAGTCAGTGCCCAAGGTCACACAGCAATTAACTAGAGGCCCAGACTAGAACCAATGTCTGACTCGGACACCCTAAGGCTGACTTTTGAATAGGTGGACCCGGAGCCTCGGAGCTGAGGGGAGGAGTCAGGCACAGAGGATGAGAGACCTGAGACAGCAGGCTGTGCTTCCTGATTTGACACTCCTCTGATTCCATGTTGGCTCTGGGCTCCTTAAAACAAGGCCAGTCCTGCAGGTGGGCGGGATGTGTGGTGGGGACCAGAGCCTCTCCAGCCGGAAGTCAGAGGCCCAGGGTTTTGGAAGGACTCCAGGTCTTTCCTTGCATCTGGAATTAAAACCTTCCCCGGCTGAGGCGCGTAGATCACCTGAGGTCGGGAGTTCGAGACCAGCCTGACCAACATGGAGAAACCCCGTCACTACTAAAAATACAAAAAATTAGCTGGGTGTGGTGGCCGCGTGCCTGTAATCCCAGCTACTCGGGAGGCTGAGGCAGCAGAATCGCTTGAACCTGGGAGGCAGAGGTTGTGGTGAGCCGCGATTGCACCATTACACTCCAGCCTGGGCAATAAGAGCGAAACTCCGTCTCAGAAAAAAACAAAACAAAACAAAACAAAACCGTCCACCTGGGGAAGCTGTGTCTATGCCACTGAGTGAGCACAGTCCTGCTGGGAACCTGGGCCCCTCCCTGGTTGCCTTCAGATGCCCCCGGGTTAGCTCTGGGAGCCCAGGCTGCTCTCAAAAACGGGGGAATTGCAGCCCAGACATGCAGGCGGGGGGCTCCTCCCTCTTCCACATTCTAGCTTGGAAACACATTCGCAACCACAGGGAGGCCATCGGCAGAGCCTGCATTTGCAGGCAGACAATGCGGAAGGAGACCCATGCTGAGCCTTTGATTAGAAAACAGAGGCCTGGGGCGGGGCCGGGGGGAGGGGGTCCTCAGACCGTCTCCCGGGGCCACTTCCACATTCCTCCTGGCAGTTCCCGGGCAGTATCAATATCTTGCGTTTATGTTGCAGATGGAAGTATCGCACCATCTTTACTTTAGAGAGAAGACATTTGAAACAGTTGCCTTTCGACTGGAACCAGCTAGGCACTTGATCCAGGGTCCCCTTTGGTGTGGCTGCAGGTGCTTTCCTTCTGACATCTGGAGCAACAGCTAGAAAATTAAATGACTTGTGCGCCTAATTGCTTTGTTCTTTTAAACCTATTAGGTTGGTGCAAATGTAATTGCGGTTTTTGACGTTACTTTCAATGGCAAAACCACAATTACTTTCGCACCAACCTATTTGGGCTTTGGAGCTATTTTAGCCACCTCCCAAACCTGCTGGCATCATTAATAAATCCCCTTATTCACGTGACCATAATTCACATCCTCCTTCTCACACTTGTTTTTCTGGCGTGCTGGGAAGGGAGAGGGAAGCATGGGGTGGAGACGCCACAAGGGCATGGAGAGCCCAGGGTGGAGATGCCGAGATGGCAGAGGCACCCGCTGAGGGCTTCGTGGGCTGCGGTTGCTGCCTGGGAGACCTCCAGTCATAGAATGAGCTAAATGATTCTTGAAGTTCGGTTATTGCATTTTAATGACTTAATATCTTTGTTTAGCCACAGAGCTCTCCGGACTGGGGATGGCTGAGACACAGCCTGGGCTGGACTGAACAGCTTCCAGAGGAGAACGGACAGGTGCCACGTGGTCAGGGAAGCCCCCACGGAGTCCGACGTGGCGGTGACTGCGGATGCCCCACGGTGAGCCCGAGTCCAAGGGAGCAAAGAAGGAGAGGGCGTGTTTGGCTGCGTGAAAACAGTAGGAACGTTCTGAAATCACGGAATCCTTATGAGAAGAACTCGTCATCCAATACCCAACAGGAGCTGCTCCTGCCCCGGTCTTCACAACGCGAGGGCTCCATCCTCCGTGATCCTTGATAGCTCAGCTCTAGGATCTTCACAACGAGAGGGCTCCGTCCTCTGTGGTCCTTGATAGCTCAGCTCTAGGGCCGCGCACATTCTTGGTAGAGTGGGACGTGTCTGCTGTTTTTCTAAAAGCTATTTTTTAAAGGCCTCTGCAACACACAACATACGTTCTTTTAAACCGCAGTGAAAACTTGAATGTAAAAATGGGCCTCACGGGAATCTTTTCAATATTTTACATTTCTTCGGATACTTTTCAAAGCCCCTCCATTTCTCCACCTCCCCTTTCTCATCTGGTCTCAGCCGGCACAGTGTGGCACGGAGGTGGACCGATTTCCTCAGGACACCACAGCCAAAGCTCGGAAAACCAGGTTTCCTGAGTTTCAGTTCAGCCATCCACGACTGTGGTGACAGGCATCGTGTCTTTCTCTTTAAGAAAAAAAGAAAATTGTATATAAATCACTGCTTTCAGGTAAAGGATTTTTAAAAAGCTTGCAATACCTGCAGTCATTTTTATCTGAAATCAGAAAGATGTGAAATTTGTGAGCTGATACGTAAATGTGCATCTGAAAAGCCCTCGCGCACAAGATGACAGGGTTGACTTCTGGCTTTGGTGTCCCCAGGCCTGAGCATAGGCAGTCCTGTGGCTGCCTGGTGGCCGTCACGCCCCATGAGCTGGGGACGCCGGCATGATTCCTTCTCTCCCGGTGGCCCCTGGCTGCCCTGGCTGCTGCCCTTGGGGACCTGGCCTTCTAGCTGTGCCCGTACTGTCTTCCCCAACTCCTGCCGCTTAGGTGGGGACAGTGGGGCGAGTGGCTGGTCCCTCTTGACGCTGTCCTATTGCCTGAATTTACTGTGTGAAATAATCGCTTTTGAGTCCATTTTGAAATGTCAAGGAATGAGAAAAGCCTTGAATATTTATAAATGTTGGGACCCACTTGCAGGATCTCTTAAAGGGGAAAGACGTCAGATGCGGAGGTGCGGAAGGAGACTGCCTTGTGCTTCTTTAAATAGAGAAGGTGCTGGCAGCTGTAGTGGCAGTTTTGGGGCTTCCAGGGAGCACTTTTCCTGGTGCCTGCTAAATGCTAGTCTAGTCCTGCACATGAGCGTGAGGCGGCAAGGCACAGCCCTTGACCTTCTTTCCATGCCTCCTCCCTCTCACTCGCTCTAACTCTCCAATTGCTTTAAAATATTTAGAAGGAATATGCTATATTATTTAAAAGCTAGATTGGCTCACTGACCTAGAGAGCTCAGCCTAGTTGGCAGAGAAGCCCCACCGAGGCACAGGCATGATGTGGCAGGGGGCTGGGAGGCACTTGACTTAGGAAGCAGGAGAGGAAAGGGGTGGCCACAGAAACTGAATTCTTGGTTGAGGAAGATGACATTGTTTGGGAGAAACTAGTTCTCAGAATATGCAGCATTCAGATATTAGAGATATAACTTGCATTTTTTTTCCTGAATAATTGGTCAGTGAAGAAAGCTGGGACAGAGGAGGTTAGGAGCTGTGCAGGCTTGGGGGGCCTTCAGGAGGGAGAACCGGTGACAGCAGGCAGCCTCACTAGGCTTGTCCTCTGTGCCAGGCATGCTCCATGCACTCCCTTGTTGATCTGTGACGAGGGGCCACAGAGCGGGGAGACGGGCACCCAAAGCTGCAGCTCATGTGTGGTGGAGCCAGGACAAAGCCTAGGTCACTGTCTCCACAGGGGGATCCCTGGGTGGGCATCGGTGCGGCTCACCAACTCTTGCTGGCACCGCACCTCCAGGCCACGGCAGCATGACATTCCCTGTCCCTGAAAATGTGAGGGGTGACCACGTGACTTGCTTTGCCAATGAAATTGGTGAGAAGTGACCTGGTGGAAACTTGAAGAGCTAGTTTCTGACTTGCTACTTCCTCTTCCCACAGCTCAGCAGGGATGAAGTTGTGAGGATGGTGCCTTCCTCAGGGTGGGACCCCAGTGGGGATGAGAATCAGCAGGGCCCTAGGCCCCAGCAGTGGCTTTCGCATGATTGAGAAGTAAGCCTTTCTTTGTTTTAAGCCCCTAGGATTCAGGGAGATGCTTGTCAAGGCAGCATAACCCAGTTTTCCCTGACTGATACAACCCCTAACCTTACACCATGAATTAGAAATACATGTCTGAAGCATAAGAGGCTTAGACATCATTGGATTCAACCCCCGATTTAATAGCTGAGAAAACACAAATGTCCATAATCTTGGCCAACATGCTTGTCTGTGATTGGAGCTGTGACAATGGAACCCACGTCCCTTTGGGAGGGGTCTAAGTTTTGGAGACCTCAGTCTGGCCAGTACTTCCCTCACCACCTCAACAGCCTTGGCCTTTCCTCTCATTTTGTGCCCCTAGAGGAACCCCTACCCTCCACGCCCGGCCGTCCATCCATCAGCTATGGACAGCAGCTCTTCTGCTGCCCGGAATGTACCTGCAGAAATGTGGACAGTGGTGACCTGGGCAAGCAGAGCTCGGGGTCAGGGGTGCTCCCCTCAGCACCCAACTTAGAGAGGGGAGAGAGGGAGGGGCTCAAGCAGTGATGTGGAACTCTCCAGGACCATGCAAGGTGGGATGCCCAGTCAACAGGCGGTTGGCAACAGAGTGTTTGGGGATCTTCTGTTTACCACACCTGATGCTTGAACCCTCTCTGCCTTCACCCCTAGCCAGCCCAATGGTGTTGCACTGGATGTTGCCAGGTGGTCTTATGGATTCAAATTCTTTCTCAGGTTGAGAAGAGATGCTCTTAGTAACAGAGCTTCATGATGTTGGCTCTTTCTGGGAAACAATTCTTGAGAGGGGAGAGAGAAATTCCATGCAGGCCCGCCACAAAGCATGGGGGTGTAAGGGAGTGGGGGACAGAGGTGAGGGAGAGCTGGGCACTGTGCAAAGGCCTCTCCAAGATGTGGGTTGATATGGGGTGAGGGGCTCTAGGGCAGCCAGTGTTTTGCAGAGTGTGTTGGTGGGGGCTGCAGAATAGACCCCACCTCACAGAAAGGCTGGGAGTTCCTTCTTCCCACCACAGCGCAGACCCATCAGAGCTCCAGCTTCCAGACCAACTGAGGGGCCCAGGCACCACTTTGGAAACTGCTCTGCTAGGAAGAGGCAGCGTCGTGAGTGATGTCTAGTTTAAGTCCATGTTAATTAGAGAATATATAATTGTGATTGTGATTAACCATGGTATGCTATTCCTCGTGCTTATTCTGCTTGGGGTTTGTTGAGATTCTTACATCTGTGTTTGTATTTTAAATTTTAATTTGGGAAAACTTTTGGCCATTATTTCTTCAAATACATTTTATGTCCTCTCTGTGACTTCAAGTATCTGTGTACTCGATACACTCAACCTCTTTTTAATTTTTTTCGTTTTCTTATGTCTATTTTCTCTCTGCGATTCATTGTAGATCGTTTTAATTGCATTTTCCTCATGATCTTTTCATCTGCCATATCTAGTTTGTTATTAATCCCACTTATTATGTATTTTATGTCAGATTTTTTTTGAAATTTCCACTTCATATGTTCCATTTACCTCCTCATTATGTTCACACTTTCATTTATATCCTCAGACATATTTGTAATATTTATCATTGCTCTTTTCAGATCCTAAATGGCTATTTTTATCACTCTTGTAATTTTGGGATCTGCTTCTATTGTTTTATTTTTCTCCTAGTTATGGGTCATATTTTCCTGTTACTTCACATGGCTGGTGATTTTTGATTGGGTGCTAAACATTGTTTTTCATCTTTGAGTGCTGATTCTGTTGGATTCCTTTAAAGAGTGTAGGACTTTGCTCTGGACTGCAATTACTTATTGAACCATTCGGCCTCCTTGAGGCAGGCACCTAGGATTTGTTAGTGTAGCCCTTCTAGGATGAATTTAGCCCCATTTCTAAGGTCTGACCCTTCTTAGGATTGTACCCAACACCCCATGTCTCATGAGGTCTCTCCATTCTCTCTGATGGAAGTACTGAGTGCTCTCTCTGTGTGGGCCCTGAGTGTCATTGGACCTGCCACTTTGTAGGGGGTCTTTCTGCGGCCTTATTGAGCCTGACCCATGCATTGCAGTTCACTCCACAGCCAAGGACTCATGGGGCCCCCTGAGGTTCTCCAGACCCCTCTCTGCAGACTTCTCCCCTCTCTGGCATCCTACCCTGCACACCCTCATTGCCTTGGCCTCTTCCAGAGAAAAGCATGGGCTTGGAGCTGGGCCTGTCCCTCCACTAGTTTCTGGGAACTGCCTCTAGGCTGCAAGCTGGAAAAAGGGAGGGCTCAGCTCTTTGGTTTCTCCACTCTCCTGAATCACAGTTACCTGCTACCTGTTGTCTAATATTTGAAAACAGCTATTTCATATATTTTGTTTATTTCATGAGGAGACCAATTCCCACAGCACTTAACCCTTCATGAATGTATAAGAAGCCAAGTGGGTATAAGGTTTTTGTTATTTAGTTTATCCTTAAAATAACTTTCTTTTTAGGCCTGTCTTGTCAGTCCATTTACTCATCTTAAAGAACAAGAATACAGTGTGAAGGGGACCTGCCTCCACTCTGCCTCTCTCGGCTCTGGGCTGTGATTCTCTGCACAGACCACGTTGCATGTGGCCATTTGCCTATCTGCTTCCCTTGTTGGGTGGTGATGCTCTTGGAGAATGGGAGCCAGAACTTGTCATCCTGGGACCACACAGCTAACCATGACCTGGCCCGTAGTAGCAGTGAGTATGCATGTGTGTGTCTGTGTGTGCACATGTGTAGAAGTACATGATAGACATGTGGGTGCTTGTTTAAAAGCAACCCCAGCCCAAGGCAGGGACTGAGGAAGAGCAGATCCTCCCATTTCCATGCAGCCCCTTCCCTCCCCCATGGGTGCCTCAGCTCAATTCCCAGCTGTGTGCCAAACAGCAGAATGTGTGCCTGCAAACTCTCTGCCCCTTTTCCCTTCTTCAGCAAACAAGTCCTCTTAAAGGAGGAGATTAGATTCACTCCAGTAACACGAAGGGCTTCATTGGAGGATCTGGCCAGCCTGGCAAGGAAGACGCTAAGTTAAGTTTTGGGGGATGGTGCCATGACCTATATAGGGAGTCCTCTGGCTCTGCTGCTGGGACTGTGCTGCCCAGGAGGCTGTAAGCATCGACAGGGAGGATTAGAAGCATGACCTCCACCTGGATTTGCCTCCCTGCAGTCACAGAGCAGAGTGGAGAGTGGAGCTTCAGTGGCCCTAAAATGTTCACCTGATGAGCTCATAAACCCATGTACCTCATGAGCTCATAAACCCATGGTGTCCTCCTGCGGTGCTTCCTGGGTTCCTTGGGTGGGGGCTGCTGATCATCAGCTTCTAGGCCTCGTCCCCATCCCCAAGGTGGGGTTAGAGGGAGCAAACTCGCTTCCCTCAAGGTCAGAAGGCACAGCTCTGCTGTGTGCCACATCTCAGGGGAGAATGGGGTGGGGGGCTGTGGTGCCTGGGAATGAGCTTGCAAAGCAGAGGGCAGTCGTGAGCTCTGATGTGGTCCCTCAGGAAGCCTGTGGAGTCAGCACTGAGTGTGCTGGCTCAGCACTACCTGGCTGAGCTGTTTGCGGCAGGCTCACAGAGAGCAGCAGCCACCACACTGGGCATCCTGTAAGGGCAGCTCACTCGCTCCCAGATAATGAGGAAGAGGCTGAGGCCCAGAGGGAGGCCACAATTTGCACAGTCTTAGGGGAAAAACCAAACACCAAATCCATAGTCGTGCTTCAGGTTCCTGGGTGAAGGAAGGTGAGAATTTAGAGAAGCTGTCAAGGCCTGCCTGGTTATTAGGCAAAAAGCATCACATTCTACATTAAGATGGAGATGAGAACTTTCATCTGTCCATCCATCCATCCATCCATCCATCCACTCATCCATTCACTCACCCATCCCATCATTCATCCATTCATCCATCCATCCATCCATCCATCCATCCATCCTTCCTTCCATCCATCCATTCACTCACCCATCCCATCACCTATCCATCCATCCATCCATCCTTCCATCCATCCATCATGCATCCATCCACTCATCCATTCACTCACCCATCCCATCATCCAGCCATCCGTCAATCCATCCATCCATCCATCCATCCATCCATCCATCCATCCATCCATCCAATCATGCACTCCTTGATTTCCTTCACATACTTATCAAATACCTGCTATGGACCAGGTGCTATTGTAGGACCAGATAGGTATCAAGCAAGAGGTAAACAAGACAGACAAGTTTCCTGCCTTCCCAAGTTTCCACTGAATTTTATCTTCTCATAGGAAAAGCAAAACAAAGCACCAACAGCCACCATCACTGTTATGGAATAAATGTGTCCCACAAAACACATATTGAATCCCTGATCCCCAGTGTGATGGTATTTGGAGATGGGGCCTTTGGGAGGTGATTGGGGTTAGATGAGCTCATGAGGGAGGGGCCCTAACCATGGGACTGGGCTTCTTATGAAAAGAGACACCAAAGCATTCTCTGTCTCTTTTTCTCTCCCCCCTCTCTCTCTTTCTCCACCCCCCGCCTTGCTCTCCCTCTCTCTCCCTTGCCTCCCTCATGCACACAGAGCAAGGTCTGGGAGCACATGGTGAGAAGGTGGCTGCCTGCAACCAAGAGTAGAACCTGCCTCTTCCAGAACTGTGAGAAATAAACTTCTGTCATTTAAGCCTCTAGTCTATCGTATTTTGGTGGTAGTCCGAGCTGACTAATGCAACCACCAACAGCAACTAGGACACAACATGAAGGATTTTTATTTCCTAGAGCAAAAAGCAGCCCAGGCGGGTAAACACGTTTGTTGACATGGATGAATGTGCATCTCAGTTTCAAATTCGGTTTCAAAGAGCATCAAAGAGATAAACCCACAGCTTCTGTCTGATTAGCAAGCTTTTAAAGAAGCAATTTGCTTACATGGAAGCGTGGTCTGTGTCTTTCACAGAATGGCACGAAGCTCCTGTGGTCCCCTGTGCTGCGGCCACTGGGTCTTCAGGGAAAGTCCCTGAGCCTCATCTCAGACCCTGTTCGACTTTCATTGATCTCTAAATGGTGGATGTTTTCTTGCTTAATGTCTTCATAGAGGAGTGATTTATCAGTGAGGAGAAAGGGGTGATCTCCAAGAGCTCTTTGATTAAGTGAACTCTGGAAGCCAAACACGATGACCTGCCAGTGTCTTGATGCCATGAGCCGATGGCCAGCAAAGAGCTGTCAGGAGCCCCCTAGCTTCTCAGCAGATTGGGATTTCAGGTTTCGGTTCCAGGGCTAGGAAAGAGGTCCCAGGGCTCATCTGGCTCAACATCTCATTTTAGCCATGAGGAAATCATGGGAGAGGAAGAGGGTTCCCAAGGGTCCCTGCTGTGTCATTTTTTTTTTTTTTGACAGAGTTTTGCTCTTGTTGCCCAGGCTGGAGTATAATGGCACGATCTCAGCTCACTGCAACATCCGCCTCCAGGGTTCAAATGATTCTCCTGCCTCAGCCTCCCAAGTAGCTGGGATTACAGGCATGCACCACCATGCCCGGCTAATTTTGTATTTTTCATAGAGACGGGGTTTCTCCATATTGGTCAGGTTGGTCTCAAACTCTTGACCTGAGGTGATCCGCCCGCCTCAGCCTCCCAAAATGCTGGGATTACAGGTGTGAGCCACTGTGCCCGGACTCTTGATGTGTCCTTCTAAGTGGGAAGTCCACTGTGTTTGGCTCAGATCATCAGTGGGGAAGTTGGATCCCTGGCCCATCTCTGTTCCTAGGAAGAAAAGGCCACATCCCTTCCCAGGGAACCAGGACCAGCAACTCCTGGCAGTGGCCTCTTGGCTGCAGTCTTTTCTGAAAAACACTTCCAGTGTTCTCAGCTTGAGGTCAGGCTGTGCAAGGGAGGCAGTGCCCTGTGGGTCCCCAGACGATGTGCAAACATCAGCCTTGAACCCTCAAAGACGAAGCATTCCCAGGGGGCCAGTCAAGAGGGGCTTCTGGCCCTCAAGGGGTGAGGGTCTCTGTTTCCCTTCTTGCCAGAGACCATTTTGAAAAGTCTCACGAGACTCTGAGATCTGCCTTTCAAGCTCTGAAAGGTCTCTGTTAACAGTTTTCATCAGTTTGGTGCTAATGAGGCTGAGTTTGGAGATCTCAGTGCCTGTCTCTGCCACTGGGCATCTGCTTCCTGTGCTGCTGCACTCTGAGGGCTGTAGGAGGCATGTTTCTCAGAGGAGAAAGACCATGTGAAAAGCAAAGTTGGAGGGAGAGCCCGGTGTGCATTCATACAGACACACATGCGGTGGCGGGGGCCCAAGGTGGCCCGGGGATTCTCCCCGGTTCCACCCCAGGGCGGATGCTTTGAAAACCCCTCCCCTTGAGAGTGGGAGACCCTGTGAATATGACAGAATGGCATTCTCATGATTAGGTGATGTTCAGTGGAAAAGAAGATGGGATCTTGCAGATGTGATTAAGGTTTCTAATCCGTTGGCTTTTAGTTAATCAAAAGGGAGATTATCCTTGTAGGACTCATCTAACCAAGTGAGCCCTTAAAGCTAAAGTTTTCCAGCTGGTCTTTTAAAAACGTGTCAGCCATATGTTGGGAACTGTCCCTGGTGGGGGGCACAGGGCAAAAACTCCAAGAGCTGAGCATGGCCCCAGAACACAACCACCAAGAGAGTGGTGGTCACTGGAAATGGAATTATGTCAACAACCTGAATTATCTTAGAAGACCCCTGAGCCTTAGATGAGAGGGCTGCCCAGCAGGCACATCTGACACCCTGGTCAGTGGTGAAAGACCAAACGTGTCCCTCCTAAGAGCAGGAACACAGCAATCAGTCCCCTCCCCACAAGCCTCAGCCTGGCGAGGCCCTGAGAAGAGGACCGAGGTAGCTCGAACAGGGACTCCTGACCCACAGGGACTGTGTGATATTCAATGTGTTTGCTTTATTATTATGAATGTTTTTGAATTGGCTTTTGTTGCTCAGCATAATTTCTTCAGATTCATCCAAAATTTTGTGTAGGAAGAGTTGGTTCGTTTTTATTGCTGAGGAGTTTGCAGGTGTGTGTGCACCGCAAGTTTCTTTAACCGCTTGTCCGTGAGTGAATGGTATCTGGGCAGATTCCAGGTTTTGCCTATTACCAATAAAGGTGCTGTGGAGGTTCATGTCCAGGTTTTCGTGTGAGCAAAACTTTTTATTTTTCTGGGACAAATGCCCAACAGTATAATTGTTAGGCCATGTGATAATTGGAGTTTAGTAAGAAACTCCAATTTCTTATTTGCCTGTTTTCTGAGCAGCTCTACCATTTTACATAACTACCAGCAATAGGCATCAGCCTCTCCGCCTCCCTGCCAGCATTTGATAGTGTCTTAGCCATTCCAATAGCTGGTACCATATTGTGATTTTGACTTTGCATGTCCCTGACAGCCACTGATATTGATCCTCTTTTCCTGTGCTTCTTCGCTACAGAGCTTTTTGCTCTGTAGAAACAGAAGCTACAGAGCTTCTTGCTCTGGGTTCCATCTTCCTTGGTAGACTGTTCATGTCTGGTGCCTATCTTCTCATTAAACAATTTGTTTTTACATTGCTGAGTTTTGAGAGTTCTTTATCTATGTTGGATAATAGTCATTTGTTGTATATGTGGTTTGCAAATATTTTCTCCTAGTGTGTAGTGTGTCTTTTCATCCTCTTAATGGAGTCTTTCTCAGAGCAAAAACTTTTGATTTTCCAGCAGTCAAATTCAATCAATGATTTCTTTTATGAATTGTGATTTCAATGTCAAGTCTAAGAACTCTTTGTCTAGCCCTGGATCTTGAAGATTTTCTCTGAAGCTTCCTGGAAACATTTTGTGGTTTTACATTTTACATTTAAGTCCATGAGGTATTTTCAGTTAAATTTTGTGTTAAGCACAGGACTTCAGTGGAGACTCTTCCGGTGTTGGCCTGCGGGTGTTCAGTTGCTCCAGCATCATCGGTTGAGACTCTGTCTTTCCTCTGTTGTATTGCCTTGGTGCCTTTGACAAAAATCAGTTGGACATATACTAGTGGGTCCATTTCTGAGTTTTCCATTTTGTTCCATTAGTCTGTTCCTCTGACAACACTGCCAAGTCTTGATGGCTGTAGCTGTATAGTAAGTCTTGAAATTGGATAGACTGGTTCCTCCCAATTCATCCTGTATTCAAAATTGTTTTTTGCTATTTTTGTTCCTTTTTAAAATACATATCTACTTAAATTAACATGTTTATATCTACAAAAAATCTTGCTGTGATTTTTATGAGGTTTGTGTTAAATTGGTTTATCAGTTTGGAGAGAGTTGACGTGTTTACTATATGCAGTCTTTCAACCTCTAAACATAGCATGTCTCTCCACTTGTTTAGATCTACTCTGAATTCCTCCATACATATTTTGTGGTTTTCAGCTGTTAAAGTGAACTAAATATGGTCTGAAAAGGACTCTGTACTTTTATATTTGAGTCTTTGTGGATGAACTGCAACCTAGCTTAATAGGTAGACAAGACTGAAAACCTAACTTAGGAGTATGCACCTGTAATGCATATTGAGTCTCAGCATGAGCTGAGTCTTGGCCAATCCCAGCAGGTGTACTTCAACCACTCATACACCGCTGAGTGTTCAGATTGTGTTCAAATAAGGCAAATGCTGAGCTGTAACCAATCCAGCTGTTCTGTACCTCACACTTCTGATTTTTGTACATCATTTCCTTTTTTTTTCTATTTTTTTTTTTTTTTGGTCTATAAATCTTCCACCATGTGGCTGCATTGGAGTCTCTGTGAATCTGCTGGGATTCTGGGGGCTGCCCGACCCACAAATCATTCGTAGCTCAATTAAACTCCTTTAAATTTAATTTGGCTGAGGTTTTTCTTTTATCACAGCAGACAAGTGTGTACATCAGTTCACGGATTTACGCCTAAGGATTTCAGGTTTAGAGCAATGGTCAATGGTACTGCTGTTAATTTCAATGTTTATGTATTTGTTGCTTATGTATAGAAATACAATTGATTTGTGTATGTTTATCTTGTATCCCGTGGCCTTACTGAACTCAGTTCAGTTCTAAGAGTTTTTGTTTGTTTGTTTTTGGTAGACTCCTTGAGGTTTTCTACATGGAAACCACGTCATCTGCAAAGAGAGATAGCTGCATTTCTTCCTTTCTACTCTGTATTTAAAACATTCATTTTCTTCCTCCCTCTCTGCCTGCCCCTCCCATTCTTGCCTTATTGCTGTGGCTCAAACCTCCAGTGGGATACAGTATGAAAGCAGTGAGGGGACTCTTTGCTTTGTTATTGCTCTTAGGAGGATGGCTTTCAGTCTTTCACCATTGAGTATGACATTAGATGTAGGTCTATTTTTACTCATATTCTTTGAGTTAATTCTGCCTTATCCCTAACTTGGTGAACTTTGTAAAATCATGAATGAATGTTAAATTTGCCAAATGTTTTTTGTGCATCAATTGATAATGATCGTATGAATTTTCTTCTTTGACTTGTTGCACAGTGGATTACATTTCAAACATTGAACCAGCCTTGCATGCCTGAAATGATTCCCCCTTGGTCATGATGCGTAATCCTTTTCACACATTGTTGAATTTATTTTGATAACAATTTTTATGTTTAAGTTGATGAAGATATTATCTGTAATTTTTGGGGTGCTGTTTCATCTTTTTACAAATCAGGGTAGTGGTATTACAGAACATTTGGGAAGTGTTCCATTCTCCAATATTTTCCGGAAAAGATGGTGTGGAATTGATGTTAATTCTTCTTTAAACAATTGGTAGACTCATCCAGCAAAACCATCTGGGTCTGGAGGGTTTTGTTTGTTTGAAGTTTTAAAAATTTCAGATTTTTAAAAGCTGAGCTCCTAGCATTTCTGGATTGTTGATCTCAACATGCTTGCTCAGGCCAGGCTTCGGAATTGGGGTGGGTATGGGCGAAAGCATGGGGGTGTCTCATCCTTGAAGACAAGCTTGTCAAACCCATTGTCCTTGGGCTGCATGTGGCCCAGGATGGCTTTTAATGTGGCCCAAAACAAATTCATAAATTTCTTAAAATATTATGAGTTTTTTTGTGACTTTCTTTCTTTTTCTTTCTTTCTTTTCTTTCTTCTTCTTTTTTTTTTTTTCTCATCAGCTATTGTTAGTGTTAATATATTGTATGTGTGGCCCAAGACAATTCTTCTTTTTCCAACATGGCCCAGGGAAGGCAAAAGCTTGGACACCCCTGCTCTAAGAGTTCACCATCAGGATGGGGCAGCAGCCTGTAAGCAACTGTCTGTGGCAGCCAGAGGGAGAGAGAGGGTTTAGAAAGGGCTCAGGAAACTAGGATACATGGATGCAGAGGAGGGCCCCCTGAGACCACAGGGGCAGAGCCTACAGTGATGCAGCCACAAGCCAGGGAACACCGGGAGCCTCTGGAAGTGGGAAGGGGTAGGAAGGAAGGCTCTTTTCCTGGAGCTTCCGGGGCCTGGTCCTGCTGCCAACTTGGCTTAGTGCTTCTGGCCTCTAGGGACATGCAGGAGTAAATGGGCACTGCTTTCTGCCACCTGGTTCCTGGTAATTCATTACAGCGGTGCAGGAAACTAGTGCATGCGCCTAGTACAGAACTCTTCAGGCCCCATCTGTTCCCTCCTGGTTGGTCTCCAAGGAGACAGTGGAGGGCAGGGGTGCCCATTTCCATGCATTCACACCTTTACTTGTTGGTGCATTTGTTTTGAGCACAGACTGTGGGGAGAGCAGTGGGCCACGGGCTGAACAGCAGGGTATCAGGGAGGGGAGAGACAGAGGGAAAGAGAGAGAGAGGGAAGAAGAAGCATCAAACCTGGCCCTAGCTTCCAGGAGTGGGTGTTTGCTAGGGAGGGAAGACAAAAGCAGAGGTAATTAGAAGACAGAGAGAGGAAGGGTGAATGCTGAGTATGTGCCTGGAACATAATGGGTTGGTGCCCCAGGGCACGCTGCGGGAGTGCAGCCCTGGGCTCTGCTCTGTGGGTCTGAGGGGGTCACCTGTGTCCTGCTGGGTGTCCAGGCCCCGTGCCGGGCACCTCCTCACGCTCCACCGGCTGCACCCACCCACCACGCAAAGCTGATTCCTCCTCAGTCCCATTTTGTGCACCATGCACAGCGAATAGCGGCGCTGCTCCTTTCTGAAGAATATTCCTTTTTGTGTTTCTTTTAATCAAAAGAGATTGTGGAGGCCTTTTCATCTTCAGCAGGGAAAAAAACCCCTGAGGACTCCCAACACCACAGCAGCAAGGGATGCCTTCCCTCGTTAGGGAGCTGGAGCCTGGCTCTTCAGCTCCTTAATGACCAAGCTCCCTACTGCCCAGCATGAGACCACGTCATTGCATCTTACAATGCAAAAAGTAAGTTTAACAGAAACTTAAACATACTTCACCATTTCTTAAGGAATCCTTAAAATGTTAGCTCTGGAACCTTCAAATTCAGCAAACATGAGGAGGTGCTGGCTCAGACTGCAGCTTCTCAGCCCCGGAGAGCGAGTGTTCCAGTCCCTAGCCTGCTATGAGTGCAGCGCTGAGGAGCTCCGACTTAGGGAGCTGCATTTATTTATTTATTTTTAATTACACTTTACGTTCTAGGGTACATGTTCACAACGTGCAGGTTTGTTACATATGTATACATGTGCCATGTTGGTGTGCTGTACCCAATAACTCGTCATTTACATTAGGTATATCTCCTAATGCTTTCCCTCCCCGTCCCCCAGCCCCATGACAGGCCCCGGTGGGTGATGTTCCCCTTCCCGTGTCCAGGTGTTCTCATTGTTCTGTTTCCACCTATGAGTGAGAACATGCGGTGTTTGGTTTTCTGTCCTTGCGATAGTTTGCTGAGAATGATGGTTTCCAGCTTCATCCATGTCCCTACAAAGGACATGAACTCATCCCTTTTTATGGCTGCATAGTATTCCATGGTGCATATGTGCCACATTTGCTTAATCCAGTCTATCATTGTTGGACATTTAGGTTGGTTCCAAGTCTTTGCTATTGTGAATAGTGCCACAATAAACATACATGTGCATGTGCCTTTATAGCAGCATGATTTATAATCCTTTGGGTATATACCCAGTAATGGGATGGCTGGGTCAAATGGTATTTCTAGTTCTAGATCCCTGAGGAATCGCCACACTGTCTTCCACAATGGTTGAACTAGTTTACAGTCCCACCAACAGTGTAAAAGTGTTCCTATTTCTCCACATCCTCTCCAGCACCTGTTTTTTCCTGACTTTTTAATGATTGCCATTCTAACTGGTGTGAGATGGTACCTCATTGTGGTTTTGATTTGCATTTCTCTGATGGCCAGTGATGATGAGCATTTTTTCAGGTGTCTGTTGGCTGCATAAATGTCTTCTTTTGAGAAGTATCTGTTCATATCCGTTACCCACTTGTTGATGGGGTTGTTTGTTTTTTTCTTGTAAATTTGTTTGAGATCTTTGTAGATTCTGGATATTAGCCCTCTGTCAGATGAGTAGATTGCAAAAATTTTCTTCCATTGTGTAGATTGCCTGTTCACTCTGATGGTAGTTTCTTTTGCTGTGCAGAAGCTCTTTAGTTTAATTAGATCCCATTTGTCAATTTTGACTTTTGTTGCCATTGCTTTTCATGTTTTAGCCATGAAGTCCTTGCCCATGCCTATGTCCTGAATGGTACTGCCTAGGTTTTCTTCTAGGGTTTTTATGGTTTTAGGTCTAACATTTAAGTCTTTAATCCATCTTGAATTAATTTTTGTATAAGGTGTAAGGAAGGGATCCAGTTTCAGCTTTCTACATATGGCTTGCCAATTTGCCCAGCACCATTTATTAAATAGGGAATCCTTTCCCCATTTCTTGTTTTTGTCAGGTTTGTCAAAGATCAGATGGTTGTAGATGTGTGGTATTATTTCTGAGGCCTCTGTTCTGTTCCATTGGTCTATATCTCTGTTTTGGTACCAGTACCATGCTGTTTTGGTTACTGTAGCCTTGTAGTATAGTTTGAAGTCAGGTAGCGTGATGCCTCCAGCTTTGTTCTTTTGGCTTAGAATTGTCTTGGCAATGCGGGCTCGTTTTTGGTTCCATATGAACTTTAAAGTCGTTTTGGGAGCTGCATTTAAATGGTGTGTGGGAAGGACCTGAGGTCCACTCTCCTTCTGAAAGTTCTCTCCAGCTTCTTGATTCTCTGTGGTTGGATGATGCTTTCCTTCTTCCTGGTCCACTAGCACCCCTTAGCTTCTTCTTCCACATAAATGAATTTCCTGCCTTTCTTCTGCCTTATTTCCCCTGGGGCTTCCCTCCGCCCTGGTCCTGAGGTTGCTGCTGGTCGTGGCTTCTTCCTCTGGTCTCAGGGTCTTCGCATGCGCCTTTACCTGGAATGTTGCAGCTGCCCCCCCACCTGCCCCAAGGCTGCTCCCTCTGGTGTGCGCTGCACACTCTAGTTCTGCATGGGGGAGGGGGTCCTTGCCACTCAATGGCTTGACCCCTTCCCTGTGAGCTGTCTGAGGCCCCCTGTGAGGTAGGGGGCAGGACTCGACCCTAGAGCCTGGGCTCAGACACCAGACCAATTTGAGGACTAGCTAAAACAGGGATGAGCGGAAGCAGCTTTCTATAAGACGTGCCCACCAGGGTGCCATGTCAATTCACCATTGCCGTGGCAACACCTGGGGTTTCTGACCCTTTCCATGGCATCAACCTGATGGCCTAGAAGTCACCACCCTTTTTCAAGAAATTTCTGCATAAACCACCCCTCAATTCATGTATAATTAAAAGTGCCCTTAGCTGCTGCTCTGCTCACTGTGCCTGTCAGGTAACCCCGCTCTGCATGGAGCAGCACCTTGGCTGCTGCTGTGCCCTGCTGTGTCAATAGAAGTCACTGTCTAACACCACCATCTCCCCCACCAAACTCTTTCCTAGTTGAAGCCAAGAACCCTCCTGGGCTAAGCCCCAGTTTTGGGGCTCACCTGCCCTGCATCCTCTAGGTTCCCAGGACAGTCCCAGTATAGGGTGGATGGATGGGTGTGGTTAATTGACAGGACAGGACATTTATAAGCCCACATGTGCATTCATGATACTGACACACACATCATCCCCTATTTCAGGTTTATTTCATTTTTCCTCCTTCTGGTAACAAAAATTACAGTGTCATTTTGAAAAAATAATCAAGGGCAAACAATATGAGTTTCAGGAACACTTTAAAGAAAATTATGTATTTAAAAAAAGGGAAGTAACTTCTCTCAAGAAAAAGTAACCATTAGGGAAAAAGCAGTGTTCTTAAGAGGCTGAAAAGTGATTGAGTGAAAATTACACCTTCCATATGGCATTCTTACTTGGTGAATTCAGAATACCAGAAACAGCCCCAGAAAAGGGAGGTGTTTGCAGGAGAAAACTACAAAAGCTACAGAAACACAATTATCACTGTGATTATGGACAGGAGTGACCGTGGAAACATGCAGGTTTCCTGTTCTGAGAAATGTTTAAGATGACAATAGAAAACATCCTGTCTGCAGGCCGGGTTTGCTGTTTGCACAAGAGCTGAATATTCGTGGACAAATTTGTCTGTTTTTAAATTATCCCTTTTTTTGGGAGGAGGATGGTGTCCTATAAGCTAATTCCAGAGACACATCATTCTGATTGTTGCTAGAGGTGGAGTCTCTGTGCAGCCTAGGGTCTCTCTTTCCCCAGCCTGGCCCCTTCTCCAGACACAGAATAAACCAACTGGGGGTGCCCCACAAAGTGGCCCTTCCCAGAGGGATGGAGGATGGGGGCACGTTCTGGCTCAACAGACAGACCTGAACACTTTGAACCTCCTCAATTTCCTCATCTGTAAAATAGGAATCATGAGCACCCACACCTGCACCTGCCAGGAAGAGCCATGAGCAGAAAGAAAAGGAGCCCTTAAAAGAATGTGTGCTCAGAAACTGAGACCCCGGACACACCCCGACCCACCCAACCTCCACTCCCCACCCCAGCCTCCACTCCCCACCCTGCTCCTCCACCTTACATAAAGCAAAAATGGGCAGGGGGCAAGAAAGTCGCTGCCTGGAGGCCTGGGCCTTGCTGCTGCCCTGCCGGAGAGCTGCACCTGCACCTGCCCACTCCGTTGTGAGGGTCTGGGGGGTGGATGCCGCCTGAGCCCTGGCTCCCCCTGGATGGATGTGCCTGTGCCCCTCCTGTCAGGTCAGGCCACTGCCTGGTCATCACAGGTGTGACTGCAGCCAGTGATTGGTCAGATTGGGGGTCCCAGGTCTCATCCACTTGCCCTGATTCTGGAAGACTCCGAAGGGCTGTCCAGCTCTGGACTTCCCCAGGGGATTGGCTGGGACCTTTGCTGAGGCTGCCTCTTCTTCCTCTGCCCCCAGGCCCTCCCTCTATTCCCACATTGCTGTGGAGCAAAGGCAGCTTCTCCATTAACTTCCATGGCAGACTCAGCTTCTGGGGAGCCTGGGCGGCAGTTGGTCCATGCACCACGTTGGTCCTATCTCCACAGCGCCCCTTCCTCCTCACCCTGCTCGAGGCTCTCCCTAGACTCATTGCCCCCACCTCTGTGCCCTCCAGGAGGGTGCAGACCCCACCCTTATGTCTGGTTTTATTTACTGGGGTGTCTCAGCCCCTGCAGCAGGGCCTGGCACATAGCAGTTTCTCAACAAATATTGATAGAAAAAATGACACTCTGGGTCTTGTTTTACACATTTTTTAAGGTTTTGCTATGTTCAAAGTTGATGTCATGCTCAATTATTTATTATCATGTGTAAAAGTTGCCATTGACCATTTTAACGGTGTTGGAGTCTGTTGGGGGCACTCTCACAAAGTCCCACAGGCTGGGTGGCTTCTAAACCACGGACATCCCTTTCTCACAGTTCTGGAAGCTGGAGGTCTGAGGTCAGGGTGCCAGCAGGGTTGGATTCTGGTGAGGGCCTCTTCTGGGTTGCGGAGAGCCACCTTCTCCCTGTGTCCTCGCGGGGGGTGGGGCGGTGGGAGAGGGCAAGAGAACTGCTCACTGGGTGCCTTTTAGAAGAGCGCTGAGCCCATCCATGCGGCTCCATCCCCGTGGCCTAATCCTCTCCCCACATCCTCACCTCCCAACACCAACCTTGGGGGTTGGGATTTCAATCTGTGGATTTTGGGGGGACACAGACATTCGGTTCATTGCAGTGGTAATTAAGTTTAGCTTCAAAGTTATTTAAAGCTTGGGAAGAAGAAGGTAGGTCCCGCCTGGCCCTAGGATGCGGGAAGGCTGGACTGGGGGGGCTACCACGGTTGTTTTGTCCCCACACTTGGGGCTGACACATTGGATGCCTGATTGGAATCAGGTGAGAGGAGACAGAAAACTTTGTTCTGATCAAATAACAGATGGATCCCAGGGTGGGAAGGAATAAACGGCAAACCACAAGGGCCCAGTGAACCAGGGAACACACAGCAGCCTCTGGAAACGAAGGGGTTTCCTGGGGAGAAGGCAGTGGATGCTGATTGGTCAATATTACAAGTCCAGCCCGAGCCAGGTGCGCCTGCAGATGACCTCCCGGAACGTTCCCAGCCCATGGAGGCAGGTGGGTATTGCACGTCCAGCTCGTGCTGGGCACACCCGCAGATGACCTTCCAGAATGTTTGCAGGCCGTGGAGGCAGCTGCTGTGGTGTTGGCTGCACTGTGTCCAGCAGGTGCCTCGTGTGCCCATCCCGTCATTCCTTTAGACTTGTCTGCAAATTGTGCTCTCCTTTCTACTGTGCACATGATGTCAGGCTCTGGCTAGCTCCACCCTTGCTACTGAAGAAATAGATGTGTTTGGCCGGGTGCGGTGGCTCACGCCTGTAATCCCAGCACTTTGGGAGGCCGAGGTGGGCGGATCACCTGAGGTCAGGAGTTTGAGACCAGCCTGACCAACATGGAGAAACCCCACCTCTACTAAAAATACAAAATTAGCTGGGCATGGTGGCACATGTTTCTAGTCCCAGCTGCTCAGGAGGCTGAGGCAGAATTGCTTGAATCTGGGAGGCAGAGGTTGCGGTGAGCTGAGATCGTGCCATTGCACTCCAGCCTGGGCAACAAGAGTGAAACTCCATCTCAGAAAAGAAAAAAGAAAAAAAGAAAAAAAAAAGAAATAGACGTGTGCTTTGCTTTTGTTTATAGCTTTAAAACTTTAAAAAATGTTTAAGCTTTGTTGTTCTTTGTTATCTGAAAGGGAAATCAGCCTTCAGGCAGAATGGCCCTGAGACTGCAGGGATCCATGTGTAGCCCTGGCTCTTGACCTCCACCTGATCCGGCCGGGCCCTCTGCCTTCCAAGGTAAGGCTCCCAAGGCCAATGTGTGGTGTGTGACTCTGCATGGCACATGGCTCCTGTGTGGCACGTGGCTCCCATGTGGCACTGGCTCCTGTGTGGCATGTGGCTTCTGCATGGCAGGTGGACCCCATGTAGTCCCATGTGGTGTGTGGCTCCCACGTGGCATGTGGCTCCTGTGTGACGTGGGGCTCTCATGTAGCACGTGGCTCCTGTGTGGCATGTGGATACCATGTGGTCCCATGTGGTGTGTGACACGTGGCTCCTGTGTGGTGTGTGTCTCCTGCGTGGCATGTGGATACCATGTGGCATGTAGCTCCCGTGTGGCACATGCTCTTGTGTGGTAGTCTGGCCTTTTTTCCTGTTCTCCAGGCTCAGGGCTGGCTCAGGCTGAGGCAGGTGAGGGTGGGACCTGGGATCAGGGGTCCCGGGGGTTTGTGGGTGGCCTCTGAGGTCTGCCTCATTTCCATCATCTTCTCTTATTGGTCACTGTTTTGTGTGTTACTGAGAACCACCTACAAGGACAAGAACAGATTCCAGAGAATGCCTCTTCCTGGACCAGGGAAAGTGCGGGTTCCAGCGAGACTTCTGAGAAGCGTCACGTCCTCTGATGAGTCACCTGGCCTGCAGGTTTCAGGGACCCATTTCCAGGATTTCCTGGGCTCGACAGGCCCCATGAGCCCCATTTCTACAATCGGGAGTCTGTGTCTGTTGAGGAGGGGTGGAGGGAGTTGTATTCTATGGGTATATGAGGAAAGGCTAAACAGGATAGAACCTGGAGCATAAAAATGGGCTTCTAGGAAATGGTGTAAGCTAAAGAGAAAAGTGAAAGAAAACTCTCCCCTGGAAAGCTACAAATAAACAGAATAAAATGAGTGGAGTAATATTCTCCGGGACCTGTTCTTAGAGAAATTCTCTGGAAATGTTTTAAAGTGAAATTAATACTTCATACTACCTTTAATGTAAGCATGATTTGTTTTTAATGTTATATTAAATGTCAATTTGCAAAAAAGATTCCGTAGGTACCAAGGATCCTGCTTTTCCCAGGTAAAGGCAACCTGACCATGTTGGCTGTGTTTTAATTAAACCTGGGCCCCGGCCAGAGTGGCTCCCTGTGCAGGGTTCTCATCAGCAGAGGCTCTGTGCTCACGGGTGAGTGGAAACACGTTCATGGGAAAAGACTGGAATTAAATTGTCTTCCTGGGCGGCCCTGCATTGGTCAGCAGAGGTGAATCCCCTGCTTCCCCCTTTGGAGGGCACTTGGCCACTCCTCCTCCACTCTTCCCCTTGTTCCAGAATTTCTAGGCTCAGCGCTGCAGTGGGACCCTGAGCTGAACAACCCGACACCCAGGCTCTGCTCCAGCGAGGCCTTGCTGGTTTCGCTGGCTTCCTCTAGGACACCTGCACTCTGAGTCAGACTCCGCTCCCCAGAAACAGCCCCGGGACCCTGGGAAAAGGCACTGGCCAGGGAGGTCACGACCTTGACCAGCTGACCAAGTGCAGGGCACAGCTTGGCTGCCAGCCAGAGACTTTGCCTGGGGCTGTGTGTGCGGCTTCTGTGTTCAGGGAGGAATGAGTCTCATCTCAACCAACTCAGAAGCCAGCACTGCTCCAGCTTTTATTGCAGGAGGATTCCGGAAACTTCCATGACCTAAGGAACGTGGGTAAATGCAACAGAGGAAACAGAAGCAAACCAGGACAGGCCGAGAAGCCAGGCGGGAGAGCTGTGGCCTGCCTGGGCTCACCCTGACACCGCACAAGGAAGCACAGCCGGACTAGCGTAGCGAGGGCGCCCAGGCCTGCCCTGCACCTGCGGGAACCACTTGGGGCAGGCTCCTGTTTCGTGACACAGGCTCCTGTTTCGTGACACAGGCTCCTGTTCCATCCACGGGCAGGGTTGGCCCCGCGAGGCCCACAGACATGGGTGGAGCTCCCTGAGGCACCCTTGCTGGGTACTCCGGGTGCAGAAGGAGGCGTTGGACACTGCAAGGCCAGGAGGTGAGGTGCTGTCCAGGCCCTGCCATCATTTTCAGCAAACCTGCAGAGCTGCCCTCTGCGCCCCAGCCCCCTGTGTGAGGAGCAGAGACGGCTGTGCACCCGGGAGGCCAGTGACGCTCCTGGACGCAGCATGGGGAGGCTGGATGCATAGGGTCCAGGGCGTATGCATCCTGCTCCTGGCCCTGTTCCTGGCCAGGCTGGCTGACCCTCACTAGCCGCTCCACCTGGATGCTCTGGGGGCACCAGACCCAGCCTCTCAGAGGGAAGCAGGGCCAGGAAGAGGCAGGCACTGGCCAGGGGCTCTTGGAGAAGCGGCCCTGAGAGTAGGGGCCAGCCCATGCCAGGCTGGGGCTGAGGGTGTTCAGCTCTGCCCTGGAGTCCTTGACCTTTGTGGGGGCAGCCCCTAGACCCCAAATGTCCACAGCGTCTGCCCCTCCCCAGGGTGCCAAGGATGGCTCAACCCAAGGACAGCAACTGACCTAAGGCTGCTGGTGCCCAGTGGACTCTGACGTGGGCTGTATGCATCAGTGAGTGTATGTGAGGGTGTGTGAGTGTGTGTGTGTGCAGGAGGGCAGTGCGTGTCTGCTGCTTCCTTGTGTGTGCATGTGTGAGTGGTGCCGTGCATGTCTGCTGCCTCCATGTCAGTGTGCGTGTGCCTGTGAGAGTTGCCTCTGTGTGTGTTTGTGTGTGTTTGAGTGGTGCCATGTGTGTCTGGTGCCTTTGTGTGTGTGTGTGTATGTGGGTTACCATGTGTGTCTGCTGCCTCCTTGTGTGTGCATGTGTGTGTGTATGTGAGTGTGAGAGTGGTACTGTGTCTGTGGCCTCTGTGTGAGTGGGAGTGTGCGTGTGTGTGTTTGCATGTGTGTGTGTGCTTATGAGTGCTGCCATGTGTCTGCTGCCTCTGTGTGAGTGGGGGTGTGCATGTGTGTGTTTGCGTGTGTGTGTGCTTGTGAGTGCTGCTGTGTGTCTGCTGCCTCCATGTGAGTGGGAGTGAGCGCTGGAGCATCTGAACTCCTGGTCCCCCCAGCGGGGACTCTCCCGCCTCCTGTTGGAGGACGCCGGATGGGTGCTCCCCTGGGAGGGATGAGGCAGCCTGTCTCCAGCCCTGCTTGCACCAGTGCATGCACATGGACCCCCTCAACCTTCCCTGAAGTCCAGAAGGGAGGCCTTGCTAGGGATCCTGTGGTTCCCCTTCCACAGATCTCAGGGCTCCTGGAAAGCCCAGGAAATTCGAGCACACCAAGGAACAGACTGTGCCCCCTCTGCTTTCCAGGCCTCCATGCATTATCCTCCTAGACTCGGGGCCAGCGGGGAGGGAAGCGTCCTCAGCCTCAGTGGCAGATGTGGAAATGAATGATTTGCTGGAAAACACAGAGCTAGTGGATGGTAGGGCTGGGGTCTGAACCGTCGTCGGGCTGAGTCCACCATGTGTGACTTTTCGTTCTATGCCACTGCCGTCTGTGTGTGGGCAATGCCAGTTGCCTCCCCAGGTGCCGGGTCATGAGTGGATACAAGGATGAGCCCAGAGGACCTGTGCAAGGTCAACAGGTAGTGCCCAAGGTCAGCACCTAACATCCCCCTGCCTGCTGGAGGGGGCGTGTCCATGGCCCACCGTCTGCGGCTCCCGTCCAGCCTCTGGGGTGTGGGGGCCTCCGTGGTTTATTTAGGTCTATAACAGTCTTTCAGGCAAGCGCACTCTGGAGGGACCAGGGTTCCTCCCACACAGATCATAATTTCAGTCCCAGAATCTCATTCCCAAGAAATATCGTTTAGGACCCCAAGGAACTTTTAATTAACTCAGCCTTTCGTGGAGCCAGTAAATGCAAATAGCTAGCGATGAATTCCTCAAGTTATCTGGGATAAATGATGGCTGTGGAAATGATCTCTCTTAAGAGCCGTGGGAATTCGTGCAGTTTGAAGGGAGTCTGAGTTTCTGAGTCTGCCCGTGCAGCACGTCCCCTGGAATGAGGTTTGTGCTCTGCCTGCGTTCATTTTTAGAGCAAAAGAGAAGCAACACCGAATTAAAGTGTGTTACGTCTGTGCCTAATAGACGGATTACCAATAAATAATAGGCAGTTGATGTGCCCTGCGAACAGGCATTTTGGAGGAGGAACCAGGTACCGCCTTGTGGTGGGGGACGACACCTGGGCAGGCGACAGGGGGCTGGTGCCAACCCCTTGACTTCCAGGCAGAGTCAGTCTCAACTGCGGAAGTGAGTTGACCCGCCCTCCACTCCGCTCCGCGTGTGGGCTGATTGCTGGGTGTTTCCACTCCAGGCTACCCTGCCGACCTGTCCTTCCAGAACCTGGTCCCCACCAAACCACCTTCCCAGCAAGGCTTTCTAAAGGGAGTTCTTAGAATTTGGGATCAAAAGCACAGAAATGAGAGCCCATATAACAATAGGGAAACAGCGAGACACAGACCTTGTTTTTGAAGCTGGAATGTGAATTAAGCTCAATTTGGACGGCCTCGCTCGAGGTGCAATAACTCTAAATTAGCTCTAAAGGAAGGATGGGCGGCTGAGATTGATGCTCGCGCCTAAGAAGTAAACCGCGCTTATTGGTTTTATCTCCGCCTTACAGGAAACAGCCCTTAATAGAGGGGCATTTACTGTCACTTCCTGAGGAATAAAGACATTAAAGATGTTTGATACTTAAAATTATGTTTATGTTGTCTGTGAAAATGTGATAAGTACCCCCCATAAAAACAGCAGAGAACGCCTCTTCTGCTAAGTTGCAGATTCAGAGCCTCATCTGGAAAGAGCTCCCGATGCACTGGGACGCGTTGCCTGGGAGACAGCTCCAACCAGCCGCAGGCAGGGGCGTCCCAGCGAGGGCCCAAGGGGCATGTCTGCCCCGGCCCGCTGGGGTACATCTCCGAGGGCCCTTTCCCTGCCCTCCCCTTGCCAGCAGGGGCCCTGGCCCTGGGAATAGACGAGGAGTCTCCCTGAGTGGGACCCGCCCTGCTGCCAGCTCTCAGCTCAATTGCTGGGTCTAATTTGGTAACAGGCAAGTGCAAATTGCTATCAGTGCAGCTGCAGTGATCAGGAAGGAGATTCTGAGGATGTTGTTGGAGAAAGCCCTTGCCAGGGTGGCTTTGCCATTTATATGCAGATTTGCTAATGCAGATGAAGGAGGGAGAGATGAAGGGGCCTAGGAGTGCTCTCCTTTCGAGTCTCCTTGAGGTCTTAAGTGATCAAAATGCAAATGTATATGAACAAGGAGGCAAAAGCAAGTATCTGAGCTTTGTTTTTGACAGGAGCTAAGCACGATGCTGCTTCTGTCACTGCCAGGGCATCAGACCACGTGGGCCTGGAGAGAGCCACAGAAGCCTCCTTTACCATGGGCTGGAAGGGACCAAGGCTCAGTGACACCAAGCCCATTGTCACAGGACCCAAAAGCCACTCTCACTTGTGTAGCTCTTCATTCATTCATTCATTCATTCGAGCACTGGGTGAGCTTTTCTCAGGAACCAGTCACTCTGCTGAGGGTCAAGACTGTAAAGATGATGTGCGCAGTTCCCTGCCTGGAGTGGTTTCAGTGTCCCGTGGAAGTGGTCACGTAATCAGGAAACAAAAGACCACGTCACGTGGGGTTTGAGGGAGAAGCCAGGGCCCTGGCTGAGCACGGGAGAGGGAGCATTTGGGATTTCTGGCAGCGTTGGATTGAGGTTTACGGGACCCCTCAGCTTATCAGTCAGGCGATGGCTTGCACACCTTGCACGGCTTTCCTGCAGCCTCCCCGAGCCCCCTCTGGCTCAGAAGGAACCTGCGCTCCGTGGGGATGCTGGAAGCTGCCCATGGGCCCCGCTCCTGCCCTGTGCTCGGCAGTCAGGAGTTCCCAGGTCAGGGGGTGTGCAGTGGTGCTGGCGGGGGCAGAAGTTGCTCAGGGCTTTGTCAGCCTGAGCGTGGTGGTCACCGCGAGTTTTGGGAGGGTGTTGGGCAGAGGTGGTCAAGGGCAGGTGAGGAGGCACTTGGCTCCTGGAGAAGGTGCTGAGGCAGCCAACCTGGATGGACCCAAGGATAAGGGCTGGCCATGTGACTTCCTGGGGGACTGCCAGGCTCTAGGGTCTCAGGGCCCGGATCCCTGCCCCTCTGTTTCCTGTTGGCCTCTGTTTCCTCGCCTGTAAACAGGGATGTTGTTACTGCCTCCCTCACAAGGTGAGGATTACATTGCTCAGATACAGCATCCAGCCCCGAGCTGCTGCACCACACACAGTCCCAGGCTTTGCTGTTGCTACTGGAAGCGGGAGCCCGGAATTTGGGAGCTGGCGCAGCTCCATCGGTGCCAAGATGGATGAGGCTCTGGGGTCAGGGGTCCACGGAGGAAGCTGAGTTTTGCTTCCCATCTCCTTCTGAGCCCAGGGCACACTTAGAAGGTGAGGCCAAGAGAAGAAGGAGCCCAGAGCAAATGCCTGGCTGCACGTCCGCGGGAGCCCAGTCAGTTCCTGGCCCGGCCTGGCCTCTGCCTCAGGGGACAGCTGGGGTTCCAGGAGCAATCAGGGCCCAGCTGGAAGGACAGAACCTCACGTGGCTTGAGTTCTTCTGACTCTCATTCTTTGTGGGGCCACCTGGGCATGATTTAGCAATCCTCTCCTTGAATTAATCCTTACATAAAACATTTAAATAATAATCTTAAATGTGCAATGACAAGTAATAAAGCTAATTAAGGGTAATTAGGAAGTCTTTATTAACTTCCTAAGTTTATTATTATTAACTTCCTAAGTTTCCTAAGTTTCATGGGAAACTTCTAAGATAGGAAAATAATGAAAGATCAATATGGCGAGGGGACAGGACTCAATGTGACTCTGTAAATCAACGGGGGCTCACTCGAAAGTAGAATATTTCACACTCGTAAGGTGAATTAATCTAAGTGTCAATAAGGAAAAACAATTACAACGTGGAAAGTAGCCAAATGTCCCTGCAGGACTTGTGAAAACACAGACCTTGAGGAAATGCTCTCCCGGTGAGGCGGCAAATGTTTGCTGGATTGGGGACCCACCTGGCTGCCCCAAGGTAAGTGGCCATAATAATTATTGCAAAACAGGTTGGTAAACTCAGGGCCCATCCATCTTAGTCAGTATCACAGGTTTTAACAAATGGCACCTGGGAAATTAAAATCCCCTCTGACTTCTAATATAAATGACTGATAATTAATGTTCACTTAGGAATTTCAAATATATTTTAGTGTTCTTTGCAACATAACACGAAGTGGCAATTATCAGATCTGGGCTAGTGACATATAGTAGTATGTTATTCTGTTGATTTATGGTTTACCATTTCTGAACATTATGTTAATATTCCAAATGCCAACAAGTATATGCAAATCCTATTTTGTAAGACGGAGAAAAAAAAGGATGACCCAAAATATTCAGTAATGCACCAAGTGTAGTGCCCGAAGCTTAGTGACAAACTGTGAGCAGAAAGGTTCACGCACACCGTGCCACGTTTCATAGAGCTAAGTCAGGCCTGTAACCTTTGACAGGAGGGGCCAGGCTTGGAAACTCAGACTGAAACTATCAGCAGGTAACAGGTAATGGGTGCAGCCTGTCTCAGAGGGCTCAGACGTCATGCCTCACCTCCCAGGAAGGAGGATAACCAAGGAGATTTCAGAGGGGCCACAGCATCCTCTTTGATTTAGCTCGTCAGACAACACCAAACCAAGTGGCGGTTGTCGGGGTGTTTCCAAAACACATTTCTCCTATTGTGAAAGTCAGGCTGTTGTAATAATATAATCCTGGATTTTTGGCCTGTCTGGATTTTTTGCTACAGTTGCCTGGATGCACCTGCTCTGCTCAGCTCCTCTACAATTTCTCTTCTTATCTGTTTTCTCAAGGGCATTGGAGGCAGGAAGGCATGATCCGAAGAGAGGAAATTGTTCCAACTCAAACAGCATCTTACTGCCCAGTGTGTGGCTGGCAGTGGTATGAGAAGACCAAACTCTGGGCTGTCCTGAGAGTCGGCAGCCCTGGAGGAAGCTGGGGCAGGGCCTCTGTCCAGCCAGCAGCAGGGGGACTCAGAACCCCTACTGGGCCACCTTTACATGTGTGTGCACGTGTATGTACACAAGTATGCACACACAAACATATATATCATCTGAATATGTGTGTGCACATGTACGTACACACGTGTGCACACAAACACACATATATCATTTGAACATGTGTGTGCACATGTACATATACATGTGTGCACACACAAACATATATATCATCTGAACATGTGTGTGCACGTGCATGTACACACGTGCACACACATATAATCATCTGAAAATGTGTGTGCATGTGTATGTACACACGTGCATATGCAAACATATATGCATGTGCACACTTATATGTTCATATATGTATGAATAGATATATTTATATAGATCTAACTTCTAATTATGGGTAAAAACTTATTACAAAAGCAAAACACAAGGTAAAGAAGCAAAATTCACAGCCACTGCGTGGTTCACACAGACCATCTCACTAAACCCTAATGGGGGTTCTCACCTTCATACCATCTTAAGAACAAAACAAACCAAGAATGCAGTCTGTGGTTCATGGAGGTGAATCATAAAGTGTGTCCAGGTTGATGAGCTGTTGACATCAAGGGCAGGTCAGGCTGGAGTGCCAGGATTCGGTGCTGAGAATGCCTAGATACCCATGGCACATGTGGCCTGCCTTGTCTGGCCTGAGGATGCCCCTACAGGTGGGCCCGTTAGCCCTGATGTCTGCTCATTATTCTAACGGCACTCCATCTGCCAGGATGACGATGTGGGCCCTGGAATGCTGGCGTCACAGGATGGGCCTGAAGGGAAATGGGAGGCGCTGGCGGGGGGCAGGGTTGGCACCTGCTTTTCAGGGCCTTCCGAGGAGCAGGGGGACAGAGAGCAACAGGTGATCATGGAGGCTCTGGAACACACAGGGACAGCTGGCCTGGGCTTGGGGTCTGGGAGGGAAAGCTTCCTGGAAGAAGTGGCACCTAGGATGAGACCTGCCGGGGACTCGACTGCATTGAGGCAGAGGAAGGGAGACGGAGGAGAGGAGGGAGCCTGCTGGGGGTCCGCAAAGGCCTGCAGCAAAGGGCAGGATGGGGAAGCCCAGCCACGAGAGTCGGCTCGTTATCAGAAGAGGAGGAGGAGATTTGGACTGAGAAGGAGAAGAAAGTCTTGAACCCAGACACCTTGGAGTTTTTAAAATTTCAGAACGGAGGAAATACCAGCCAGCCCGTGGATCTGTTGGAGAGGTTTGCTAGAATCACACTGACCTTCAGCAGATGGCAGATCACACTGTGACCGTCAGCAGACGGCAGGACAGTAATTGTTTCCCGAACTTAGCCAAAAAGAAGAAAAAAAGCTCTTTCTGATAAAGGGTCGTTATGTCTCCACAAAATCTGGGGGCTCCTGCTGGAAGAAGCACAGAGGTGGGAGGCACCCTCAGGCGTTCTGTGAGGTGCTCTGTCCCCTTCCCAGCCTGGAGTGCTTCACCGTGGGTGGAAAGGACCCGCTCACACCGCTTTGCCCTGGCCTGGGCACTAAGGCAAGGCCAGAGGCCCCAACTCCTAGTGGCCTGGATGTAGCTCTGTGTTCTGTGAACACAGCAACCCCGCAGGTTAACTTGTTAACCTCTCTAATCAGGAGAGGTGACGTGCCCACCTCTTTCTCTTGGCACTCAGAGGCAAATGCCAAGAGGCAGGCATGAAGTAACCTGGGCCAGCGGCCGGCTCTCCGCTGGAGTGGCAATGCCTGCAAACAGCGGCCCGGCTCTCCGCTGGAGTGGGAACGCCTGCTAGGGGCCGGCTCTCAGCTGGAGTGGGAATGCCTGCAAACAACGGCCCAGCCGGGGATCTCGGGAACCTGAGCAGCACAGGGTTCAGAGGTCAGAAGAGTGGGCTTCCTCCAGGTGGCAAGGAAGGGGTGGTTGGTGAGTCCAGGTCAAAAAAGCAAGCTCCTCGCCCCCGTAAGTCTGGTACCCGGGGAGGGGGAAGGACAGGGAAGCCCTGGAGAGGAGAGGGACAAGGCTGCGAGGCTGGCGTGGATTGGATGCCATCAGTGTGACCAATGCTACCCTAAGCAGGGTGTCTCAGCCCTGAGAACACACCACAAGGAAGGTACTGGGGTCTGTATTTTACAGGCGCGTCTTAGAGGGGAGAAGCAAATTTCCCACGCTCCCCTCAAGGAAGCACTGGATCCAGACGTGGAATTCCGCCCTGCCCAGGGCCTCCTCCACACCAGGTGATTCCAGGATGCCTGAAAGGTAAACACCACCTTGATGAACAGATGGTTTGTGGGAAGAGGTGGGTAAGCGCCTCTCACTGGGATGGCGCTGCTGGCAGAGGCTCTGTGAGACCCCAAAGCTGAACAGGACCAACGTGGGTGCAGACGGGTTGGCTGAGAACCCCTCAAGTTCTCAGGAGAGAAGGTCATTTTCCGAGAGCTTTTTATAGCACCTACCATGCAGCCAATTTATCCAGTCACTTAGTTTCACAGCACAGGAGAAGATAAGTTAGTTAAGTCGTAATAGTATAAGACAATAATTTCAATTTCTAAGGTAGAAGAGGTTGAAGGCAGAGCCTCGGAAATGAAGGGCAGTGAGTTCTGAGTGTGTTGGTGCCTGGTGAGGACCAGGGGCACCATGGGAGTGTGTTCACCGAGTCCCAGCCTGAGGGCAGGAAGCCTGACTGTGCCTGGAAGTGGAGGTCCTCCCTGGGGCTGGGTCATGGAGACCTGGGCGCAGAGCCAGGCCAAGAGGCATCCCCGCCATGTTCTCAACAGAGCACGACAGCGGTTCCTGAGGAAGGTGTTAACATCACTGCTGTTTCCTTTTGCCACAGGCCTCGGCCAGCCAGGTGAGGAAAAGGAGCAGGTGGAGGGGCAGCTTGTGCTCCTGCCAAGTTGGCCCTGCCGATGGCTCAGGTGGGCTGGCTCAGTCCCTCCCCTCTCCCCTCAAGGCACACACCCTGGCAGGATATCCCCGAGGCTCCATGTGGAAGGAGAAGGAACCTCGGGCTGGTCCTGTCTGTGGCCAAAGCCCCCACCAACCCCAGCGCTGCTGTTAGCCTCTCGTGTTAGCGCGACAAGGGTCTCCTTAGCAGGGGGTGCCTCCCGCTGGGGCTGGGGGGATGGACTCTGGGCTCTGCAGAGCCAGCAGCTCAGGGATGACACCACAATAGGTGGTTAAAAAGAAGAGGGTGGGCTTGTTCCACAGTTTAAGGAAAAAGGAGGAAGAGAAGAAGGAGGACGAGAAGTGGGTGTTAGCACAGTCAGTCTGGGACCTAAGACCGCCCTGGCACTTTTCACCAGCAACAGTCCACAAAATCTGGGGACTCCTGCTGGAAGAAGCACAGAGGTGGGAGGCACAGTGGCATCCTCTCTGGCCGACCCCTGGAAGCCCTCCAGGGACCCCGGCCCACCTGCCAGGCGGGTTGAGGAAAGTGTCCCTCTGAGAGCTGGGTGTGCTACAGAGGTCCTCATGCACTCACCTCTGCGGTCTCAATGACATCAGTGTTGTGGCAAAATGGTTTTGAGCACTGGACAACCGAATGACAGGTGCTGGGAGCACAGTTCATTATTTTGTCTCATTAGCAACAAGGAAATACCAAATGGCTCAAGGGGAAACCCACCTGGAAACAGTGTCCTGAAGGCAGGGCTGTGCTGGCGGGTAGGAAGGGGCGGAATGTAAAGTGAGCTGAGCTGCAGTGAACAGTTCTCTTTTCACGGGGTAGGGAGATATGGGAGAAGAGCTTCCTGACCATCCTTGCTGTGTTTTCCTCAGCAAAGTCCTTCCAAAGGCAGCCCGGGGTCACTGTGTGAAGCCACCATTTTTAGCATCCTGGCTGCTGCCGGGCCACAGAGGCACCAGCCAGCTTTAGACTCCTGGAAAAGCAAGGAATTCAATCCCTCTTCCACTCAAATGTGGGCTCCCAATGTTCTCTGCAAAGACTGAAGTGCTGCCATAATTTATAAGCTGGAAAGAAGAGGTGCATTGTATCGATTTTAGGAGTGTGCTGAGTCTTTTTAAGCTCATGCATAATGAATGTTCTTTGACTTTTTTTCCAAACAAACTTTCAAGTGGAGCTGTTGTGACGATGGCTGAATGTAGTATGAAATGCACGCCATGAAATGGAACAGAGACAATGGCTGATGTGAAGAGGGAGTGAGATTCCTGCCCTATTACGAACTGGAGGAGCTTCCCACCACAGCCCAGGGGAAAGCCTTTGGCCGGCTAAAGACCACAGCACGTGTCGGACCTCCTCCTATGGGCTCAGGGCCCCTCTCCGTGCTGCCTCTCCACCGGCAGCTTTGTCCAGGCAAGGAAGCCTGATACAGGCACACCCCCGAACTGGGGCTGAGCCCGGGAGGATTCTTGGCTTCCTGCAGGAAAGAATTCAAGAGCAAGTCAACGGAGTAAAGTGAAAGCAAAGCAAGTTTATTAGAACAAAAGAGAACAAGAAAACGGCTGCTGCACAGACACGTCAGGGTTACCCACAGGCAGGGTGGCATGCGTGGATTCCCGGCTGGCTACGGTTATACCTAGTCCTAATTCTGTGCTAAATAAGGGGTGGGTTATTCATGAACTTTCTAGAAAAGGGGTGGGGAGTTCCCAGAACCACGTGAGGTAGGTTCCAGGGCATTGGCAAACTGTCATGGCGCTGGGGGGAGTGTCTTAGGCAAATGTATTATAATTCCTGGTCCCAGCTGGTGTTGGCTGGTTTCTTTGCTACATCCCGTTTTGATCAGCAGGGTCCTGAAAATGAGTCCTGCTGATCTCCAGCCTTAAGCCTGCATCTAAACACCAGGGGTGATGTGCAGACCTTCAGTGTACACACAAAACTCCACTCACGGGAGATGTTGGGCTGTATGGCTATGCTCAACTTAAAATGTTTAAAAACAGGCCGGGCGCGGTGGCTCACGCCTGTAATCCCAGCACTTTGGGAGGCCGAGGCGGGCGGATCACGAGGTCAGGAGATCGAGACCATCCCGGCTAAAATGGTGAAACCCCGTCTCTACTAAAAATACAAAAAATTAGCCGGGCGTAGTGGCGGGCGCCTGTAGTCCCAGCTACTTGGGAGGCTGAGGCAGGAGAATGGCGTGAACCCGGGAGGCGGAGCTTGCAGTGAGCCGAGATCCTGCTACTGCACTCCAGCCTGGGCGACAGAGCGAGACTCCGTCTCAAAAAAAAAAAAAAATGTTTAAAAACATTTTTATATTTTGCATTTCTTTCTATTTTGTAAAAATTAATGCATCTTCTACATTTCATGTACTTTCACTTAAGAACAAGATACAGTTCCTAAACAAACTTCATTCATCCTAAAAACGCCTGAGTGGAGACGGGGCACAGGTGTCACCAGCCCCTCCCAGTTTTTTATAAGCAGACTTGGACGCTAAAAGGTATTTAGTTTGAGGTTGGGACATAGAAAGTCAATACTGACTGTGGGGTTGGAGCAAAGCATTCAGGCTCAGTTCAGGTCACTTTTAGATTCTTCTCCTCACCCTCGCTCTACATGTCCTCACCCGTGGGCATGTAGAGTGGGTGGTCATTTCACTCCCTCTTTCATGTGGCCTTGCAGGGTGCTGGAGTCAGTGAGCTCACGTCCCCACCCATGGGTATTGGGCTTGGTCATGCTTCTTGCTTTGTCTGATGGAGTGTAAGCAAGTGTGACTCAAGAAGAGGCCTTCAGTGTGCTGGTGTGGCATGGTCTGGCTCTTGTGCTGGTGGCCTGCCAGGAGATGAGAATGCCCAGCTAATCTGAGCCCCAGAAACCCACAGAACAAATGCAAACCCGGCTGTGAGTAGAGCTGCCCAGCAGGGCCCAACCTGGGTCAGGCTGAAGCACATGGGCCTGCAGAGCCATGCACACTAGAATGAAACCATCGTTGGAAGCCAGTGATGTTTTGAGACTGTTCACTGTGCAGCATTATTGTAGTAGCATTTGGCCAGTCCAGGAAATCACAGAACAGTCTACACGTGTGGTCCTGCATTTGTAAGAAAAGCTGCTATGTGTGGATCGAAATGATTCTTTCATATTTGTGCCTGCATATAATTATAGAATGACAAACAATAGAAAAAGAGTGTTTCTATTTCTAAAGGGGTGGTACAATTATGCAATATTTTTATTTGCTCTTTTATGGTTTCTTATAAACACGTAATTTGTGTACACTTTTTTTTAAAAAAAAACACATTCTTTGGGGAGAAATCATGAACTCTCCTTTAGCTATGCAAATATCTCTGAAATCATAACATTAAAACTTAAACCTCCATCAGGGAGGCACTTTCTAGAATACTCTCTAGATAGGGTAGTGGCCTTGCCTATTTTACTTCCCCATAACATAGCACATGGAAGTATCTGATAAATGTTCATTGAATTAAATCAAAGGCTATTCACATATTGCCACCCAACCTCTATTCCCTGAATACGGTTCTCAAAAATTATCAGGCTGACAGATTTTTATGTGAAATTCACCTATGATATTAGCCCTTTCCAATTCCAAAATGGCTCAATCAGAAAACATTGACTGAATCTATAAAATGCAAGGGTTAAGGTGAGTTTCTTCCACTGAGGGATGGTGGCAACTCTTCTTTCTTTGCTTGTTGGTTTCTTCTCAGTGACTTTTGATCTTAAGATGAGAGGCTGTGTTCCTGGCCACTGGTCCTACAGGGGGAGAAGCAGCAGGGTCTTGGCATTGGTAGCACAGCTCTGGTATAGTCTAGAAACAGGTGTCTTGCTCCCCTTGTCCAGTGAGACTGTGAGTGTGGGGGGGAAGGAGCTGAGACTTGTGGCCAAACAGCAGCACACTTCCGGCCACGTCTGCAAACATCTCGCATGTGCTGGTCCACGTGGCAGGTCTGTGGCTGCTGCTTTCTTAAATATCATACACCACACATAATTTTTGTTATTAATACATGATAGTGAGAAAAATAAAATATTGCACATTTCCATTATTTTTGCAAATTCCATGCTTTTGTTTATACTATTTTTGAGGGCACATTTCTTTCCTCCTTGGGGACATTTCTAGAAATTTACCACTCTAGTCTGTATAAGGATATAAGCCTTTGTGGCCCATGTATACAGATATAGGCCTTTCGAAGAAATTTATAAAAATACGCAGATTCGCCATATCCGGAAGTAGATTTGGATGATTTCAGCAGCAGCAAACATGAACAGGGCTGTGTTCCCACAAGGAAGTGGCTCCTGTGAGTCTTGTGGGAGCCCCTGGGGACTTCTGGTGCCCTTCTTTTTACTGCACTCCAGGCAGGGAGCTTTATGCTTGAACTGCTAATAGTTTTCTTTGAAAATCAACATTTCCGCATGTTCTGATTTGACCTGAGCACAACCTGAGCAGTGGTGTGGGGCCACGTGGTGCGGGTCTGGCTTTAGGTAAATATGGAACTCTGGTGTGTGTGTTTGCTCAGGCTTAACACATAGAGAGTGGGGCCCTCCACCTGCGGTGAACAGGAAATGCTGGGACACTCACAGAAAGTGACAAGCTTTCTAGAAATGAGCCTAGGGAACTCCCCTCCTGGGGTGACCTCAGCATATTTGACTCCTGACACAGCTTATGCTTTTGCTGTATCCCAGAGCTTTTTGCATGTTGTGTCTTTATTTTCGTTTGTTTCACAGTTCTTTCTTTCTTTATTAATTTCATTGTGTACCCAAAAGTCATTCAGGAGCAAGTTGTTTAGTTTCCTTGTACTTGTGTGGTTTTGAGAATTCCTCTTGGTATTGATTTCTAATTTTGCTCCACTGTGGTCTGAGAAAATGCTTGATGTGATTTCAGTTTTTTGGAATTCATTTAGACTTGCTTTATGACCGAGCATGTGGTCAACTGTAGAGAATGTTCCATGCAAAGAAGGGAAAAATGTATATTCTGTGGTTGTTGGATAGAGTATTCTGTAGATGTCTATTAGGTCCAATTGGTCATACATCTAGTTTAAGCCCAGAGTTTCTTTGCTAGTTTTCTGCCTTGAGGATGTGTGTAGTGCTGTCAGTGGGGTGTTGAAGTCCTCCACTATCATTGTAATACTGTCTATGTCTGTTCTTAGTTCTAGTAGTATTTGTTTTATAAAACTGGCTGCTTTGATGTTGGGTGACTAGATATGTAGGATGAACCCTTTATCCCTTTTTTATATTCTTTGTCTTTTTTTTTTTTTTTTTACTGTTATTGTTTTAAAGTCTGTTTTATCTGATATAAGAATAGCAACCCCTGCTCTTTCTGTTTTCCATTCGCATGGTAGATTCTTCTCCATACCCTTACTTCAATCCCCTGGGTGTCATTACATGTGACATGGGTCTCTTGAGGGCACCAGGAAGTTGGTCTTATTTTTTAAAATCCAGTTTGCCACTCATTTAGGCCATTTACATTCAAGGTTCGTATTGATATGTAAAGTTTTATTCCTGTCATAGTGTTGTTAGCTAGTTGCTTTGTAGTTTCAATTGGGTCATTGCTTTATGGAGTCTGTGAGCTTTGTACTTATATGTGCTTTTATGGTAGCAGTATTACTCTTTTGTTTTGTTTGCATGTTTAATACTTTTTTGAACATTTCTTGTAGATCCAGTGTGGTGGTGACAAATTCCCTTAGTGTTTGCTTGTCTGGGAAGTACTTCATTTCTCTTTTGTTTATGAAGCTTGGTTTGCCAGGATATGAAACTCTTGGCTGGATTTTTTTTTCTTTAAGAAGGCTAAAAATGGGACCTTAATCTCTTCTGGCTTGTAAGGTTTCTGCTGAGAAGTCCACTATTAGTCTGGTAGATTTTCCTCTATGTGTAATTTGTCCCTTTTCTCCAGCTGCCTTTAAGATTTTTTCTTTTGCATTGACCTTGGATGGTCTGAGGACTAAATGCTTTGGGGATGGTCTTGTACAGTATTTTTCAGGAGTTCGTTGAGTTTCTTGAATCTGGATGCCGACCTCTTGTGCAGGTTCCTTCTCATCAGTGGAAGCTGTTACCTCTTATTGTTGAACTTACTTTTGTTTGAATGGGATCCCCCCTCCAAGGGTGTGACTGTTGCCCCTGCTGGGTAGGGCCCTTTGGTTTTGGTTCTATATGATTTTAGGGGGCTTAGGCTCTGAATGAATTCCTTGGTTATAGACAGCCTTTGTGCAGTGGGTTTCTAAATGTTAGTTGTAGGTTGTAGTGGCAGTGTGCTGTGTGTGTGATCAGGCCACATTCCTTTTCCCCTGTCATCCTCCATAGTCAGCCATGTTCCTTTCTCCCTCTGTCACCCTCCAGCTTCCACCCAGCAATGCTAAAGTTGGGCTCCATGGTCTGAGAGCACAGAAATGTAGAATTATGCTTCCTGGCTTTCCTCTGAGGCCAAGTTCCACAGGGACCTTCGGTTGAAACTTTGGTTGACTTTATTTTCTCAGCATGAAGCATAAGCTGAGAGCTCAGGGTCTGCTGGACCTTGGGCCACCATCCTGTCCTTTCACAAATTCTACCCTAGTTGGCCCTGGAGGAACTCACAAAATGTGGGTTTGAAGGTATTTCTCACTGCTGATTCGACTGCCAACGCTTGGCTGACAATGTGCTGCTGCTGTAAGGGGATTTACCAAGCAGAAGTTCCAAAATCTTTTCATTTTGGCAGCTGGGGATTGGCCCTGTGCCATTGGCCTGGCCGGCAATGGAGGTGCTGGGTGTGTGGAACTCAATTGTGATCATCTAGCATTCTGAGGACAAAGGGACAGGATCTGCCTGTGAGCCCCAGCTTTGTGTGGTCATGGCCACCGTGTTAGAGGAATGGAGGTTTCTCCAAACCACTTGGCTGGCAGCTCCTGCTGCTCACACAGGCCTGGCAGAGCGGGGTGGATAGGCTGGTGTTTGTTTTGCTTGCATGTTTAATACTTTTTTGAATATTTCTTGCAGATCCAGTGTGGTGGTGACAAATTCCCAAAATTTGGCAAAAGCCTGTGTCACCGAAGGGAGCATCACACATTCTGGGAGGGTCACAGCAAACACGTTCAGATCACTCCATCACAGCCATGCTCTCCCCTTGGGAGGGCGACTTCCATTCCGCTCGGGCCCTGAAACCATGAGGCTCCGTGTGCTGGGATGAGGTTCCAAGAAAACCGTAGGCCCTCAATCCTTAGGAGGGGCCCCTCTCCTCCACATCCCAGCCTCTGTCCTCACCTGCCACCACCTGCTCCGGAGGAGTCTGCTTACTGGTGCACCTGCAACATGCCCTCCACTTGGTCTTGTCCACAGGACACTCACTTATCCCCAGGTCATGGAGTCAGAAAAAGTCAAGCCAGGCACCAGCTCCGCGAACACCCCTGAGGAAGGGTCTCAGTGTGCCTGGGCAGCATGTTACAGGTTTCCAGCATGGTTGAGTAGATAGGGTGAGATGGGGAGAGGTGGGACCAGCTGCAGGGCAGTGACACAGAACTGACAGTCGGCTTTCAGGTGATATCACAGTCTCCATCAGTGTCCAGAAAGAACAATGCAGTGAACATCCCTCTCATTCCAAAGAAATGCCTGAGGCTGGGATCAGACCCAAGGAGGACACCACACCCACCAGATTCAAGCAGAATGACCCAATTCAGACGCGTTTCCCCAGTGATGACCACCCTGTGCAACCCTTTAGGTGCTCCACTGACTGGAGACCGGGATGGGGGCACTGTGGTGGGTGAGTGGGGCTGGGACAGGGGTGTCCTGTGGGGTGAGCGGGGCTGGGACAGGGGTGTCCTGTGGGGTGAGTGGGGCTGGGACAGGGGTGTCCTGTGGGGTGAGTGGGGCTGGGACAGGGGTGTCCTGTGGGGTGAGTGGGGCTGGGACAGGGGTGTCCTGTGGGGTGAGTGGGGCTGGGACAGGGATGTCCTGTGGGGTGAGTGGGGCTGGGACAGGGGTGTCCTGTGGCGTGAGTGAGGCTAGAATGGGAGTTTCCTGTGGCTGGGTTGGGTTCACTCCACAGCACTGAGCTGCAGAGGAGGGGAGGCCTGAGGGATGCTGTACCCTGCAGAGCAGCTCATGCCTGTGAGACTCGGGATTTCCAAAAGTCCCTTTGGGTCTGACTTGAGGAAGGGCAGAGATTCCAGGTGGGCCTGTGGTCAGTGCCTTTTCACCCCATTTATAGTTTTTGTCCTTGTTAGGGCAGAATCTGCATATGTAATCTACACTCTTTACCATGTTTAGGTGACAGTTCAGGGGTAACAACTGCGTGCATGTTCCTTTTTCTCCTTCTTAGCCCCTGCCCTTCCTATCCCGGCCTCTGGCCGCCACTGGATCTGCTATCCCTCCAAGCAGTCCACTGTCTCAGCTCCCTCAGAAGCATGCGATCCTGCGGCATTCTCTTCCTATGCCTGGCTTATTTCCCTGAGCATAAGGACCTCCAGCTCCTTCCGTGTGGTTTCTGGAGATGGCTCAGGAGAGAGGCTGTGGATGGCTGCTGAGGATGTGGCCTTTCCCAAGCTGGCCCTGGAGGGGATCATGGCGGGTAGACCTCAAGAGAGCAGGTGGTGGGAGCCCTAAACAATCTGTTCACAGGGGAGAGGAGGGAGGACAGCGGCGCGGCGGCAGTGCCACCGTTTCCTTCTCTGTGACCACTGGACGTGCGTACCAGGCTCAGCAGCTGCTGCCCTGGTGGCAGACAGCTGGCTGTGAAAAGCAGGACACCACCAACCCAGCCTCTAAAAGGAAAAGGCTGCCAAGAGAGTTCCCAGCAGACGCTTGTCAGGAATTATGGAACATGAGCCTCACCACAGGGGCATCGGTGCTGACAAATGCAAATTTTCCCATCATTTTCACTAGCACACTGCTCCACGGCATGGCCTTCTTGACCTTTGGCTCTGTTTCTCCCTCCAACAGTGCCGTGGTCAGCGGCGGAGCCCACAGCTTCTTCCTACCGTACCCCCTTGACTGACCTCTCTGGAGTGTGGCCGTGACCCCTCCATCATTTTCCTAAATGACCAATTAAAAATACTTTTTCTTCACTCCTTTCCTCACTAATGAAGGACTCATCGATTGTATTAAATTTAGAAATTAGCTAAGCCACATTAATGAGACAGCGCCCCTGTGATGTGGGGATCCAGGTCCACCTGCTGCGTGCCTTTCTGTGACTTGTGTACATGCATCAGAAAAGGCTCTCATTGTACGTATTTTTTTAACCCTTTCCTCTCGATAATACCTTGCAAACACTGCACAGACATCAAATATTCTCCCACAACCTAGTGTTTAGTGACTGCTTGGAGTCCCCTGCCCCAGGTCTATTAGTTAATCAGTTAGTTCACTGGCTGCTGTTGGACACCTGGGGTATTTCCAGTGATTTGATTCGAGGTTGCAGATGACACCGTGGTGAGCATCCTCATAGCGGACTCTTGGAAGACATCCACAAACGTCTGCTGAAGATGAGCTCTTGGGAGCTGACACTCAGGACACTGTCCTGACCATTTCCTCTCTGGTGCATGAGGCCCTTCTGGAGTGAGGGCACATGCACCCGGGGGAACTGGGGAGTGGAAAGCTCCAGGAACCACCCTGGTCGGGAAGAACTGCCTCCAAGCTGTGAGATTTCACCCCTTGCCCAGCTCATGGAAGGGGAGTGCTGGCTCCGGGCAGACCCCCGACTTCTGGGGCCGTGTTTCCAGCTGCCCACGCCGAGGTCATATCCTCAACATCAATTCACTCTGTTGGACACAGACCTTTCATTTCCCTCAGACAAATTGGACTAATCTCATTTCCCTTCCAGTACTCTCCACCGTGGATCTTATATCCCTGTTGATCCAGTCGTTGTGTAGGAAGTCCTGGGTTGGCCACCAACTCCTGCCTCTCCTTCATCTTCCTCTCCAATCCGTTTCCAGCTCCCTCTGCAGTGCCTCTCAAACCAGCTTCCTGTCTTCAGCCACAATCACCACTTCTGTTCAGGTCTTTTTCCTGCTGCTTAAAACCTTGGCATTGTCTCCATGCCCCAGCCCTCCAGAAAGGATTGGGACAATTATTCCATGAACAGCAGCAGCTCCCACCCTCGGAGCAGTGATGACGGGCCAGTAAGTGAGTCAGAGGCACTGTTCTCATTCTGTGGCCAGTCAGTGAGTCAGAGGCACCTGCTCTCATTCTGTGGCCGGTCAGTGAGTCAGAGGCACCTGCTCTCATTCTGTGGCCAGTCAGTGAGTCAGAGGCATTGCTCTCATTCTGTGGCCAGTCAGTGAGTCAGAGGCATTGCTCTCATTCTGTGGCCAGTCAGTGAGTCAGAGGCATTGCTCTCATTCTGTCACTCAGTGCTCATTAGGACAGCCCTAAGGTTGGTATCTTATAACCACTTCACAAACAAGGACACTGAGGCTGAGCATTCACACTGGTAATCATGGCAGAAAAGGGGCACAGAATGGTGGATTCTGGAGCTAGAATTTCTAGCTCCGGAATTCTGGGTCCATCACTTACTAGCTCTCTGCCTCCAGCTGGGTGTTGGGACCATCCCTATCCAAAACCTCAGCATTATACAACATGCCATGTAACAACCCAGCACATGTACCCCTGAATCCAAAATTAAAAAATTAAATTAAATTAAAATTAAATTATATATGTGTGCATGTGTGTATAGATTATTTTGCAATTAAAAAATTATAGAGGCAAGATATATTCATGATTAACATTTTGTGATACTTAAATAAAAAATACATAACTGATTCATGCTTTGTGTAATTCTAACTTGTCATGGATTCATTATAAAAATGTGCCTTCCATTAATTATTTCAAAAGTAGGAAGTCCAGCTCATGATACAAATGTATAGAATGGAATAGTCAAATAAGGCTGAGCTGTCTTCTCACGAGGTTAATTTATAAATTCCACATTTAGAGCCTATAAAATCCTAAGAAAATACATTAAGAATAGATGTAGACACATACCTAGGTGGTGAGCACGGCACACAGCAGGTAGATTTTCAGCCCATGCCTCGCTCCCTCCCTCTGCTGTCTGGTAGACCCAGTGTCTGCTGTTCCCATCTTCACATCTATATGTATTCAATGTTTAGCTCCCACATATAAGTAAGAACACGTGGTATTGGTTTTCTGTTCTTATATTAGTTCGCTTAAGATAATGGCCTCCAGCTCCATTCATGTTGCTGCAAAGGACATAATTTTGTTATTTTTGATAGGTGCATAGTATTCCATGGTGTATATGTACATGGCTCTGATAGTGGTGATGATCTTGCCGCTTTTGTAAACCTGACAAAGTCTTTGAATGGTATTTTTGTTAGTAAAGAATTCTGGTTTGACGGGTTTTTCTTTTTTTCAGTGCTTTAACAATCTTGCTCCACGGTCTTAGCGTGCCCTGTGTCCAGTGAGAAATCTGCTGTGATTCTTCCATTTGTTCCCTGGTGTTTATGTATCTTCTTTTTCTCTGGTTGCACTTATCCATTTCAGAGGTATTCCAGGAAATAGATGGTAAATCTTAAATTCAAGGGGGTAGCATGAGATTTCATCATGTTACTTGGAATGACATAAAATTTAAAACTTATGGATTGTTTATTTCTGGAATTTTCCATTTAATACTTTTGGATGGCAGTAGAATGTGGGTAACTAAAATCATAGAAAGTAAAACCGTGGATGGGGGAAACTATGGTATATGCTGCCTATAAGAAACACACTTTAAATATAAAGACATGGATAGGTTAAAAGTAAAAAGTGGAAACAGATATACTAACACTAATAAAAATAGAGTTGGAGTAATTCTGATTGTAGCAATATCAGAGTAAATTTCAGAGCAAAGAATATTACTGTGCATAAAAGAGTTTATTTCATAATGATAAAGGACTAATTCATCCAGAGGACATAACAATTTTAAATGCATATGCACTTAATAACAGAGTTCCAAAATACATAGAGCAACAATGGATACAACTACAAAGAAAAACTTAACATGCACAAAATTTAACTTAAAATAGACCCAAAAAGAAAACTGAAAAAGGAGACAATATAAGAGATAATTTTTGTGTCCTTGGGCTGGGCAAATATTTCTTACATATGACATCAAAAATACGACCCATAAAAGAAGAAGAATGATATATTGGGCTTTACCAAAAGTAAGAATATCTACTTTTTGAAGGACATCATTAAGACAACAAAACAGTAAGCCATAGACTGGGAGAAAGTATTTGCAAGTTATATTTCTGACACAGGACTTGTATTCATGATTTAGAAAAAACTCTGAAAACCCAAAAATAAGAAAATAAACAGTCCAGTAAAACAATGGGTAAGAGATTTGGATGCTTCGCTAAAGAAGATAAGCAGATGGCAAATAGGCACTCAGAAGATGTTCAACATCATTACTCATGGAGAAATGCAAATTAGAATCACCACGATATCCCACCATAAACCCACTGGAGTGTCTAAAAGCAAAAGACTGACCATACCAGCTCTTGGTGGGAATGCGGGTGAACTGAAACTCCCACACATTATTAACATGCTAGTGGGAGTATAAACTAATATAACTTTGGAAAACATTTTGGCAGTTTCTTAAAAAGTTAAAGATAAACCTACTATACGATCTGGCCACTCAACTGCTAGGTATTTTACTCAAGAGAAAAGAAAGCATGTGCCCATATAAAAACTTGTATATGAACTTACTTTCACAGAAGTTTTATTAGGAATATCCCCCAAATGGAAGCAACTCCAAGTTCACCAGCAGGTGAAAGAAAAACAATGAGCATGTGCATTCAAGGGAATATTACCCAGAGATACATAAAGAATGATGTATTATTGATAATGCGACAACATGGAGGAAACTCTAAAATAGTTTGAGTAGAAGAAGCCAGTCGAAAAACAGTGCATACTGTATGGTTCAATTTGTAAAAACTTTTATCAAATGCAAATTGGTTTATAGTGACAGGAAGCAGAAGGGGGGTTTCCTGGGATGGAGGGAGAGGCCTTGGGGAAGGCAGGAGGGATTTAAAAAGAAGCTTCTTTTGAGGAAGGACTGGATCTGTTCCTTACCTTGACTGTGGTAATGATGCCTTGATGTGCGCAGATTTCAAAACTTATCAAACTGTGCAGTGTGTGCAGAACAGGCAATTTGTCAAGTGCTAATTGTACCCCGATGAGGTATTGGCAAGAGCCACTTAATTTTTGAAAATATCAGTATATGGCCAATTCTTTTTAAAATTTTTTTTAACTTTTATTTTAGGTTCAAGGTACATGCGCAGGTTTGTTACGTAGATAAACTCGGGTCATGGGGGTTTGATGTACAGATTATTTCATTGCCCGGGTACTAAACTTAGTATGCAATGGTTATTTTTTTCTGATCCCCTTCCTCCTTCCACCCTCCACCCTCAAGTAGGCCCCAGTGTGTGCTGTTCCCCTTCTTGTGTCCATGTGTTCTCATCATTTAGCCCCCACTTCTAAGTGAGAACATGCAGTATTTGGTTTTCTGTTCCTGCATTAGTTTGCTAAGGATAATGGCATAGAATGGGAGGAAATATCTGCAAACTATATGCATCTGATAGAGGTCTAATATCTAGCCCTATAAAGAGCTTAAACAAATTTATAAGCAAACACCAAACAGCCCCACTGAGAAGTGGGCAAAGGACATGAACAGACACTTTTCAAAAGAAGACATGGCCAATTCTTGGCATACAAAAGCTTCTAGAAAACTGCCCGCCATCCTGGAAATGAGTGGACAGGTGAGCCCTGTCCTCGTCACCACAGTAGAGGAAGGCAGGAGAGGCATGAGACGGGATGAGGGTCCGTGAATAATGCTCCCATGAAGACCGCCTGGCCCTGCTGGCCACCACAGGCACCTGGCAGGTGACAGAAACGCCACGATAGGACCACCTGCCTGCTCACGAAGACCACCTGGTTCTGCTGGCCACCACAGGCACCTGGCTGGTGACAGAAACGCCACGATAGGACCACCCGACTGCTCACGAAGACCACCTGGCCCTGCTGGCCACCACAGCCACCTGGCAGGTGACAGAAACGCCACGATAGGACCACCTGCCTGCTCACAAAGACCGCCTGGCCCTGCTGGCCACCACAGGCACCTGGCTGGTGACAGAGACGCCGTGATAGGACTGCCCGCCCGCTCCCCCACGCCCAAGCTGCTTACCACAGATTAAATGTGAAAGGCATCTTCACCCCGCAGTTGCCTCACAGGTCACCGTGAAGCAGAAGGAAAACCAGGAAGGCTTGCAAGACAATTTAGGTAGAAATTGCTGCCCCTGATTTATGACTTTAATTAAGAGCTTTTTAAGCTTTAATTAAAAAGGTACATGAGCATTCAGTATTCAAGAAAAATGACTTTGTGTTTGGGTCAATGGAATAACATAAAATAAAATGAGATACATATTTCTAGTCAGAAGCTTCACATAAGAAAGCTATGTACATAATTAAAAAGTAAATTTAAACTGATTTGGGCATAAAGTCTTTATAATGGGGAAGGGGGCTGAAAGGAATATATTTTTCCTCAATTGCAATATAGTTGGATATCAGATTTCACATATCAATGAAGTTACTTTCTGGGATGAGACCAAGGTGAGAGCATGGACAGCGTGTGAAGTTATTATTGATGGCAACCGACGCCCCTCAGTGGGCTTGGGCAGCCCCTCCACGTTGCTGGGTGTGGAGGGTGTGTCCTTGGTCTCTACCTCATGGCTTTATCTGCTTTGTATTTTCCTTTGCATTTGTTTGTTTTGCTCCTCAGACCTGGGAAACTTCAGGGAACGGCGCTAGGTCAAAGTCTTATTTAGCAATGTATGAATCTCCCGTGTGAATCAGCTCAGGGACATGGCGTCCAGAAGGAGGAAAAAGCCCCAGAGAAAGTCTCTCACCATGCCCTTGGCCACAGGTGACCTTGGCAGAGGTCGGCGCTCTGGGCCTCAGGGATGCCAAGGCTTTGCTGTGAGCTGAGGTTAAGAGTGCCCACGTGTTTGCTGTAGGCCCATAGGAGTGTGAGTGAGTGGTAGCAGGGAGGGTAACTCCAAGGCACAGGCTTGCTCTTTGAACATCTGCCCTCTGGACCTGCTGGCCAGTGGCAGCAGGAGGAGGGGGCAGTGACAGTGCCAGTTAGCTCAGAATGGTGAGTACCAGGCACTGGCCACCCTGTGGGCTGCAGAGCCTGCAGGTGCCAGTGTCTGAAGGGTTGTATGACCCACCAGTGCCTGATCCACAGCACTCCTGTGATGCTCCACTCAGTGGCCTTCTGCATTCACAGTGACCTCCCCACCACGTCCCTGGGAGGTTACTGGAAGGCGTCACTCCCCTGAGCATCACTGGAATCTCATATGGTGGCCTGGGGTGTGTTGCAATTCTGGCCAGGGGATCAAAGCTGTGCAAGATTTCTACATTTGTGCTGTGTCCTCTGATTCCTCAAACTATCCCTACAGTGTCTTTGCTAAACCTCCTGGACACTGCCCTGTGGGGCTGACGTCTTCCCCTAAACTCCCTTTTTTCTTAGTTCTTGATTTATTCTAAAGAATTATGTCCCATCCTGGCTTTGTGGTCTGGCCATTGGCTGGAATGGAACTCCAGAGTCGGGGCCTTGAAGCAGACGGTCAGCTCCCAGTGACTGCCCAGCGTCGCTAAGCCTAGTGGCAAGGCCGCTTGGTTGCTCCCATCGGAAGGAACTATGCATTTAGAAATAGGGCTTTAACTAATTAGGTGAACTGTTTGTTCCATAAATGAGCAACAAAAGGACTTAATCAGACATTGCCTTCAAACAACAAGCTTGAATACTGCATTTAAGGGCTATTCATCTTACAGAAGGATTTCTCCCTGCCCATTTTCAGGGACCTGTTTCTGTACCACGTGCTGTCTACCTGCAGTTAGTTAGGTGAGAAAGGCTTAAAGCATCAGCTTACCCTCCCACCCATCGATCACATTTTCTCTTACTTTATGATGTGCTGTGATTCTAGAACAACACAAATACCAAAGAGAAAAAGAATCAGAACCATGAAGGGCTTCCACATATCCTCAAGGTCTATCCAAATGCTTCCTTTCCACACTACAATTTCTGATTGCTCATCATATGCAAATCATGCCTTGGGACCTCAATAAGGAATTATTTTGGAACAGAACACAACTCATTCTAGAAATGTTTCCTTCCTAATTTGGTACTACGGTTTAAGTGGCTTCAGAAGTGCTGCAACTCAACTCAATTAAAGGGCCACTTTTCAGCTCCATCTTAAATTACTCCAAGAGGCATTTTTTACAAAGGACTTTCAGAGTATGCTGAGGACGTGGAGGATGCCAGCTCAGCTCAGGGACATGGAAGGACATCTTTATTGTACTTCTCACCTTCTGGGCCACAAATCAAACATGAAGACATAAATTGTCAAACATTTTAATCACTGAGCAGCTGGAAAATCGGTTTGTTTTTCAAATCACACTTGTGGTAAGTGGTAGAAGATAAACACCAACTGTTTGCTTCCTTAAGAGCAACAGAATGTTTTCATAACAAATGAAAGAAAAATTGCACAGAATTGACATGTCAACTTTTAGAAATGTTCCGTGTTTGGAGCAACAGCACACCAACTCCCTGTGTTCCCAAGTTCTTGTACTAGGGCAGAAGACCTTGTCCACTGTGACCTGATCAGAATCGCAGAGCCTTCCCTCAGCCCCACCCCCAGGGTGTGCTTGTGTGTTTAGCCTTCAAAAGGGGGGACCTCAGGGTGAAAGAAGGAAGAAGGTGGGGGAGAATGTAATCCCACAGCAGCTCCTAGACTTTGGCCTTATAGAACTGTGGTGCATTGGTGTGAGAAATAGGATCTAGGGCCAGATGGCTGGCTGGACTTTAAATCCTCTCTCTGCTGCTCTGCAGCTTTCAGCCACAATGACCCTGGTAAGCCTCAAACTCATGGTCTGCAAAATGGGAGAAAGGAGAGCCCTTGCCCATCAAGCTGGGTGAGGAGAGGATGAGTTAACGCACTTCTGCATAGAGAAGGTAACAGAAAGGACAACTTTACCTGCTTCTTTTCAGTATCACTAGTACAGAAGTTTTGAAAAGCAGCTTGTGGTTGAGGTGAAAGATGAGGGTAAGGGTCAGCAAAAGTCGGGGAGCAGGGAGCCCCAAGGGCTGTCCCTCTACAAAAACATCAAAAACAGAAAGAGAGACACAGAGAACTATTGAGATAACCTAGTCAGAACTCTGGAAAGTAGTCAAAGGTTTACAGCAACCAAACAAATGTTTTATCAAGAAAAAGGTGACTTAAAGATGGTGGGAGAGCCTTGTGGCATTTGAACTTAGCACTGCCTCATCCTCACCCTGTGTGGTGCTGGTCTTGAATATGGTGGTCCAGGCTTCAGTGTGGATCCCGGGCTCTGGGGGAGGGTGGATCTGATTCCCAAGCAATCATGTTTGTCTGTTTTGACTTGCTTGGGGTGTCCCTTAAGGAGTAACAGTGGGCCATTGTTTTGCCTAACTTAGAACTCCCTCAGCACAGAAAAGTGGACAGCAGAGAGTGTTTCTTACCAACATTGAAAAGTCAATGAACAAACTGCTGACACCTGGGTCAAACAATAGATGAGCCAAAAGCCTGGGGGATAATCTGAGAGTTACTTTGGGGATTAAGGGGTTTGAAAATCTCTTGCATATAATATAGAATGCCATGTGTATGACCAGTACAGCATGTAGACTCAGAAAGGACCTGAGAAGACCTAATGTTTCACCTCCAGCTTATCTTTGGGTTCATTGCAAGCAGGAAGTGAAGGCTAAGGCAGAGTTGAATGGACTGGCTAAGTGGAGGGGTGCTGCGATACAGAACTGATTTGCAAAGACCAGGGGAGTATTTCCTTTAATTTTTTTCTGGGGCCAAGGGAGGTGTTCCAGGCATTCAAGGAAATCTCTGTCAAAACATTGCTGACCATATCATATACAATAAAGAAGGTAGTCTTTAAAAATAGTTCAGAAAAGTCACTAAACAAGCAACTGCAACCTACAGCAAGGGACAACAAAAAACCTTGAGGAGAAGAACAGTCTGATTTTCAGATTTACCCCACTATAATATTCAAGATGTCTCATTTTCAACAAAAATATAACAAGACATGCAAAAACAAAAAAGAACGGCTTGCTTGTAAGCAAAAGTAAGCAGAAATTAAGCAGACATTAAACTTACTAGAGGAAGACTTCAAATCAATTTAAGCACATTTCAATTATGGAGAATATTATTAAATATGTTTGAAAAGCTATAGAAAACCATTGGCAAAGAAATAAAGGAAAATGAGAGAATGATATCCCCCAAAATAGAGCATATCAGTAAAGAGATAGAAATTATAAAGAGGAACCAAATTGAAATTCTAGAATTAAAAAGTAGAAGATCTTAAACAAAAAAAAATAACTAGAGGAGTTCAACAGTAGATTTAAACAGGAAGAAGAAATAATCAGAGAATTTAAAGACAGGACCATTGAAATTATTGATTCTGAGGGGAGGAGAGTGATATAAAGGGGCAGAGAGACTATATGAAGAAATATGGCCAAAACTTTTCTAAATTTTATGAAATATGTGAATATACAAATCCAAGGAGCTCAGCAAACTAAGTAGGATAAGCTCAAAGAGATCTACACTGAGATGTAATAATCAAATTAAAGTAAAATAAAATAAATAATTCCATTTACAATATCAAAAATTATGAAATACTTAGGAATAAACTTAACCAAGGAGGAGAAAGCACGGTATACTGAAAACTATAAAACATTGCTGAAATAAATTAAAGATTACATAAATAAGTGGAAACGCATCTTATGTTCATGGATTAGAAGACTTAACATTGTTAGGATGGCAACAGTACCCAGAGCTACTTATGAATTCAGTGCAGTCCCTGTCAATCTTACAAGAACCCTTTTTGCAAAAATGAAAGAGCTAATTCTAAAATTCATATGGAATTGCAAAAAACCTTGAATAGTTCTTGCAAAAGAAAAACAAAGAAGAATGAAGTTGAAGAACTTACACTTCCTGATTTCAGAACTTAACTACAAAGCTACAATAATTAAAACAATGTGATGCTGGCCTATTGATAAATATACGGACCAATGGAATGGAAGTGGGAGTTCAGAAATAAGCCTATGTAACCCATTGGTTTTCAAGAGGGTGTGAAAGCCAGTCAATGAAAAAAATAATTTCTCTAGCAAACGGTGCTGGAACAACTGGATATCCACATGCAAAAAAATGAAGTTTGACTGCTACATAACACAATATGCAAAAATTAACAGAAAGAGGATCAAAGACCCAATTTAAGAGCTAAAACTAAAACAGAGAGGAACCAGGGTTGAAGCACTGGGCCACCTCCCATGGGCCCCTTCCACTCTGGAAGAGCTGCTGGTGCAGGCCCAGCTGTTCAGCTATCCTCTCCTGGCCAGCCCTTTTCAGACGAAGCAGTGCCACTGTCAGGCCACGGCCCGTGGCCACCCTCTGGGAGGCTTCTCTGTGTTGAGGGCAGCTCCCTTGGGCGGTACATAGAACTCACCTCCCCCGTCGGCTTGGGAGGCAGGAAGTAACTCAGGCTCTGTCCATCAGAGGCTCCGATGGGAGAGTTCAATTTGGAGGAGAGTATTTGGTGGCCGAGGTAGCTGCCATGGTCTGAATGTCTGTGTCCCCCGCAAACTCACATGCTGGAACGTCCCCCGCAGACTCACATGCTGGAACGTCCCCCTCAGACTCACATGCTGGAACGTCCCCCTCAGACTCACATGCTGGAACGTCCCCCGCAGGCTCACATGCTGGAACGTCCCCCACAGGCTCACATGCTGGAACGTCCCCCGCAGGCTCACATGCGGGAACGTCCCCCGCAGGCTCACATGCTGGAACGTCCCCCGCAGGCTCACAGGCTGGAACGTCCCCCGCAGGCTCACATGCTGGAACGTCCCCCGCAGACTCACATGCGGGAACGTCCCCCGCAGGCTCACATGCGGGAACGTCCCCCGCAGGCTCACATGCGGGAACGTCCCCCGCAGGCTCACAGGCTGGAACGTCCCCCGCAGGCTCACAGGCTGGAACGTCCCCCGCAGGCTCACAGGCTGGAACGTCCCCCGCAGGCTCACATGCGGGAACGTCCCCCGCAGGCTCACATGCTGGAACGTCCCCCGCAGGCTCACATGCTGGAACGTCCCCCGCAGGCTCACATGCGGGAACGTCCCCCGCAGGCTCACAGGCTGGAACGTCCCCCGCAGGCTCACATGCGGGAACGTCCCCCGCAGGCTCACATGCGGGAACGTCCCCCGCAGGCTCACGTGCTGGAACGTCCCCCGCAGGCTCACGTGCTGGAACCCTAACCCGAGATAGGATGCTGTTGGAGATGAGGCCTTGGGGGTGATGAGGTCAGGGGGGCAGAGCCCTCGCGAGGGGAGTGAGGGCCCTTTATGAACGAGGCTCGAGGGACCGCGTGCTTCCCTCCCACTGTGAGAGGGCGCAGGATGAGGAAACCGGCCTTCACCGGCCGCCAATTTGCCGGCACTTTGGTCTTGAACTTCCCGGATTCCAAGACTGAGAGGAAGAAATGTCTGCTGTTTAGAAGCCGCCAGTCTATGGTCTTCGTCACAACAGCGTGAACAGACTCTGCAGAGGCTGAGGCACTCGGGTTTCTGTGGTAGCAGCGGCAGGGTCGTTCCTGAGGGGCAGCGAGGGCTGGGTGCGGACCGGAAGTGGCCCTGATGTCGGCCGCGGCGTCAGGCAGCAGAGCTGGTCCCTGCATCCGGGCTCCAGGGGCGGCCGCTGCGGAGCTTCCTCCTCACGCTGGCTCTGCATCGTGCTCTCGGGCTCAGCCCTGCGCCGACCTGTGGCCTGCGTCTGGGCTCTCCCTATAAGTGAGCTGCTGGACACTCAGTCCTGAGACTCTCCAAGCGGATTCCGTGGGATCTAGTAGACACAGGCGAAAGCAAGCTGCGCACAGCTCCGTGGAGGACCCCACCTCTCCCCCACCTCTCCCCCACCTCTCCCCACCTCTCTCCATCTCTCTCCCCCACCTCCCCCCACATCTCCCCCACCTCTCTCCCCCCACCTCTCCCCCACCTCTCCCCCACCTCTCCCCCACCTCTCTCCTCCACCTCTCTCCATCTCTCTCCCCCACCTCCCCCCACCTCTCCCCCACCTCTCCCCCACCTCTCCCCCACCTCTTCCCCACCTCTCTCCCCCACCTCCCTCCCCCACCTCCCCCCACCTCTCTCCCCCACCTCTCCCACCTCTCTCCCCCACCTCTCCCCCACCTCTCCCCCACCTCTCTCCCCCACCTCCCTCCCCCACCTCCCCCCACCTCTTTCCCCCACCTCTCTCCCACCTCTCCCCCACCTCTCCCCCACCTCTCCCCCACCTCTCCCCCACCTCTCTCCATCTCTCTCCCCCACCTCTCCCCCACCTCTCCCCCACCTCTCTCCATCTCTCTCCCCCACCTCTCCCCCACCTCTCCCCCACCTCTCCCCCACCTCTCCCCATCTCTCTCCATCTCTCTCCCCCACCTCTCCCCCACCTCTCCCCCACCTCTCCCCCACCTCTCCCCCACCTCTCTCCATCTCTCTCCCCCACCTCTCCCCCACCTCTCCCCCACCTCTCCCCCATCTCTCTCCATCTCTCTCCCCCACCTCCCCCCACCTCTCCCCCACCTCTCCCCCACCTCTTCCCCACCTCTCCCCCACCTCTCTCCATCTCTCTCCCCCACCTCCCTCCTCCACCTCCCCCCACCTCTCTCCCCCACCTCTCCCCCACCTCTCTCCCACCTCTCTCCCACCTCTCTCCCACCTCTCCCCCACCTCTCTCCATCTCTCTCCCCCACCTCCCTCCCCCACCTCCCCCCACCTCTCTCCCCAACCTCTCTCCCACCTCTCCCCCACCTCTCCCCCACCTCTCCCCCACCTCTCTCCCCCACCTCTCCCCCACCTCCCTCCCCCACCTCCCCCCACCTCTCTCCCACCTCTCTCCCCCACCTCTCCCCCACCTCTCTCCCACCTCTCTCCCACCTCTCCCCCACCTCTCTCCATCTCTTTCCCCCACCTCCCTCCCCCACCTCCCCCCACCTCTCTCCCCCACCTCTCCCCCACCTCTCCCCCACCTCTCCCCCACCTCTCCCCCACCTCTCTCCCACCTCTCTCCCCCACCTCCCTCCCCCACCTCCCCCCACCTCTCTCCCCCACCTCTCTCCCACCTCTCTCCCACCTCTCTCCCACCTCTCCCCCACCTCTCCCCCACCTCTCTCCCACCTCTCTCCCACCTCTGCCCCCACCTCTCCCCCACCTCTGCCCCCACCTCTCTCCCATCTCTCTCCCCCACCTCCCTCCCCCACCTCCCCCCACCTCTCTCCCCCACCTCTCCCCACCTCTGCCCCCACCTCTCTCCCCTACCTCTCTCCCCCACCTCTCTCCCCCACCTCTGCCCCCACCTCTCTCCCCCACCTCTCTCCCACCTCTCTCCCCCACCTCTCTCCCACCTCTCTCCCCCACCTCTCTCCCACCTTTCTCCCCCACCTCTCACCTACCTGTCCCCCTACCTCTCCCCACCTCTCTCCCCCACCTCTCCCCACCTCTGCCCCCACCTCTCTCCACCTCTGCCCCCACCTCTCTCCCCCACCTCTCTCCTACCTCTCTCCCATCTCTCTCCCCCACCTCTCCCCACCTCTGCCCCCACCTCTCTCCCCCACCTCTCTCCCCCACCTCTCTCCCCCACCTCTCTCCCACCTCTCTCTCCCACCTCTCCCTCCCACCTCTCCCCTACCTCTCCCCCAACCTCTCCCCCCCAGCTCTCTCCCCCACCTCTCCCCATCCACCTCTCCCCATCCACCTCTCCCCCACCTCTCCCCATCCACCTCTCCCCATCCACCTCTCCCCCACCTCTCCCCCACCTCTCCCCCACCTCTCCCCATCTCTCCCCCCACCTCTCCCCACCTCTCCCCCCACCTCTCCCCCACCTCTCCCCCACCTCTCCCCCTCACCTCTCCCCCACCTCTCTCCCCCACCTCTCTCCAAGCACTGTCAATACCAGCTTGGTCAGAGTGGAAGTCCAATTTCCTTTGCTGGTGAATGTTTGGTAGCCTTAGGAGGAGGAGAGTTGGAAGCTTTTTCTATGCGCTTGTCTTTTAATCAAAGCCACTCTGGAGGCCCTGATTGCTAATCAGGGAGTGCAATGGAAACAGAGCCACACACCCACCTTGCCATCAAGGTGCCTCTTTCTGTTTTTAAGAGCTATGAAAGCATTACATAAAAACATGAAATTGTTATTTGTAGGAGACGAGTGATAATGAAAAGAACACTCCTGAAATATGACATCTTTTCAAAGGCAGATGGGAGAACAAAACTTCGTGGGCACGAGGCGGCAGCAGCTCCTGGGAGGGTCAGAGTTGGGGTGAGGTACAGGATGAAGCCCCAGGCCAGGGCAGTCTCTGCGTGGACCTGGGGCCCTGGGTTCCCGGGTGTGGCCTTGCTTTCATGCCTCACTAAAAATGAGCTCATGACGAGGCTGGGGAGGCAGCGAGGAAGCCCTCGTACCTGGGTCTGATGGAGCCCAGCCGGGTTTGAATTCTGTTCTCCCACTCACAGGCTGCATGACTCAGTGAGGTGCGGCTTCCTCCCCTGTGACCTGGGGCAACAGTAACGCTGCTGACCTCACAAATCCAGGCAGGGAGCCTCAGATGATCTGTGCTGTCTCCCCTCCTGGAGCCTGGTGTTACAGGCCCCCAGCAGCGGCCACCTCCGACCCCGTGGCACTGCCTGAGGTGTCCTTGCTCATCCTTCTTCAGGATCAGGACAGCAGTGGAGCTTCTTCTGGTGTCTGTTTCCCCAGCTACCAAGTTCATTGAGGACTTAGAGAACCGCATCCGACTAGGGGCTGGTAGGCTATGCTCCCAGCCTGGCAGCGCCTTGGCCTCTGTCTCTGTTGGGTAGGGCCCTGTGTGTGTGTCCTGAGCCGTGATCAGGGTGGGGCAGATGAATCAGCCCTGGGGCAGGTGTATGGTCAGCAGTGAACTAGGGGCCAGGGCAAGGCCTTCCCACGCAGCTCCCGGCTTCACTGCAGGTCTGTGAAATGCATAGGAGCCCGTGTGTCGGCCGCCCTGATCCCTGACCCCTGTGAGGTTCCCTGCAGGAATCCTAGGGAAAGTACACACAGAGACTCTGGAAAATGTTGGTGAAATAAGAAATTCTTCAAAATCTGCAAACATCTGAAGGATGTTGACTAATGTTTGTTGTCAAACAAGCCGAAATCTGTGAAATGTGACCTTTACTATAAGAATTAAAAATAAAGGACCCACAAAAGCATGGATAAAGAATGCTGTATGATACATTCTACTGTAGGGCTGGCATTCTACAGCTGAAGCCCAGGAGACAGGGACGGTGCCAGGTACCTGCACAGACTGCGAGCTGAATAATGGCTCAACTCTGATGTGATCCTGTCCACATATATGCATACACACAGGTACACACATACATGTACAAGCCCCACACGCACAGAGACATACAGGCACACACAAATATCCACAACACACACAAGCCTACACTAAAACACGTACATACCCATGTTTATACACACAGAGACGTAAATGCACGTACACACGTACACCCACACATGCACACTCATGCACACTCATATGCACGAAGGTACATGTAGGCACACGTGCAAAAGTGACAAACACATATACACATATATGTGCACAGACACTTTCACATGAGCTCACAAACACAGACTTTCACACTGTGTCTCTAAAGGAACAATACCCGCGGCACCCCTGCCCTCCCAGCACAGTGTGTGCCCAGCTCAGAGGATGCCATGCTGATTCTCCCTGCACGCTCCAGGATCCCCTGCCCCAGTGTCTCAGGAGACCCCAGCCTCTGGCTTCCTGTCCTCAACACATGCTCTCGTTGCAGGCTTTTCATTTCTCAGAGCCCGAGACCCCTCCTGGGAATTTGCCAGGGCCAGATTCCCCAGCAACGTGCCCCAAAGTCTGACAAACCCACCGCTGCTCTGGGATGTAAGGAAACAGAAGGAAGGGCAGAGACACAGAGGGTTGCCCCAGTCCTGGGGGTCCTGCAATGCTCTGCCACGACCAGTGTTGGTCCGAGGCTGGGTCACTGCACCCTGCCCCGCAAACCCAGGTGGAGGCTGAAGCCCCAGGTGGGAGCCACCTCTGAGCAGGGTGGGGAGGAGGTGAGCACTGCTGCTCACCCTGCGGCTGAGTGAGAGCCCCAGGACTGCAAAGCTTGGCGGGCCCTTGGGTCATCCGATTCAGAGTGTTCTAAGGTGTGTCCTATGAGGGGTTGCAGGATATTGCCTGAGCTAACAGGGACTACCCCGTGCTGAGATTTACGCACAGCCTTCCCCCAAACGCTGGCACCCTCCCAGGGCTCAGAGAGGTAGAGACTCACCTGGGCATGGAGGTACTAGGCCAGGAGGACCCACCCCTGCTCGCCCACACACCCCCACCAGGCCCTTTCTGGCTGCTGCCCCAGCCGCAGACAGGGGGCTCCTAAGGCTGAGGAGGGGATGGGGCTCCCTGAGAGCCAGGCCAGTGCCCCCACCCTCTGCAGCTGCAGGGCCCCTCTGTGATCCATCTTGCAGACAGACCGTGCCTCCCCCACACCCCTAATTCTGCCAGCCCTACTTTTGGGGGACACAGTGTTCCCTGCTGCAGTTCTGGGGTCTGGGCATCTGGGTGCTGGCACTGATGACCCTCAGGCTGGTCTGATGTCCTCCAAGGCCTCCTGCTAGACTCTGCGCTCCTGTCCCTTCAAGGGTGTCCAGAGCTGGCAGAGGCCCCCCCCCCCCGCCTCCTCTCTTTAGCAGTGCTGTGTTCCGAGGAAACTCATTGCCTAGGTGAGAGTATTCAGAGGTGGGGCCTTTGGAGGTCATTATTTCATGAGGGCAGAACCCGCCGGTGAGTGGGATTAGTGCCCTTATGAAACAGGCCAGAGGAAGCTTGTTTCCCCTCCACCAGGAGAGGGCACAGCTCGTAGTGCAGTCCATGAACAAACTGATATCCAATGTACAACCCACATTTACGGAGAAGGCCACTCTTTCTTGAGTGCTCAGCACTACCCAGAAACATTTTAACTCAATGGTTCCCAAAAATAAGTAGATCAGAAGACATCTTTTAAGCTTACACCCGTTAACATCCTATAGACACCTGTCCCACAGGACACACCTTAGAACACTCTGAATCGGATGACCCAAGGGCCCGCCAAGCTTTGCAGTCCTGGGGCTCTCACTCAGCCGCAGGGTGAGCAGCAGTGCTCACCTCCTCCCCACCCTGCTCAGAGGTGGCTCCCACCTGGGGCTTCAGCCTCCACCTGGGTTTGCGGGGCAGGGTGCAGTGACCCAGCCTCGGACCAACACTGGTCGTGGCAGAGCATTGCAGGACTCCCAGGACTGGGGCAACCCTCTGTGTCTCTGCCCTTCCTTCTGTTTCCTTACATCCCAGAGCAGCGTTGGGTTTGTCAGACTTTGGGGCACGTTGCTGGGGAATCAGGCCCTGGCAAATTCCCAGGAGGGGTCTCGGGCTCTGAGAAGTGAAAAGCCTGCAACGAGAATAAAGGCCTCCTTTATTCTTCCAGGAGCACACGCAGAGTGCATGGGGGCTGCTCAAACACCCCCTTTTTCTCGGGGACCCCCTTTTGCCCACCAGGTGCTCTGCCTCCTCCTACCCTATCTACTCCGTCCAGGCGATGGTGGAGAAAAGTGCAGGAAGATGCCTGTGCAGTGGCACCTGTCCTGCATAATTATTAAGCCGCGTGCTTACTCCGGTTCCTGAATGTCGCAGAGCACAACTGGCTGGTGAACCAGATGGTCCCTGGCGTCTGCAGCTGTTCCCCCTGAGTCCCGACCTCAGCCCTGGGTGATCTCTACCCCATGGCCCACAGGTAGTCTGGCCAGAGGTGGCAGCAGGAAACACTGGCCGATGGCCTGGGGCTGCTGGGGCATTCGCCAGGCCCTCGGGTCTCGGGGCCCCACGGGCCCCTCCCAGGCTGACTTCCTGTTTATCCCAGGTTCAGTTTTCCACCCCTTCCTCGCTGGGCCCTAGTGCTGGGACCCCCTGACCCTGCAGCCAGCGCCCTCCCGCCAACAGTTGGTCTCCCAGGTGCTGGTCACTGGCCAGGGCATGGCCGCTTCTGCCCAGCCGTCTTGTCCTGAAGCCCGGGTGGGCCGTGGGGCGCTGGGCTCAGGCCAGTTGCTCAGGAGCAAGGTGAGGGTGGCTCCACCTCCTTTCGTGACTCCCTGTTCCAGTGTCTGTCAGCCCACCTGGGCTGGGCTCTATGACCACTGTGGGGACCTGAAACCTGGAAACAGCTAGTCCTTCCAGATGGGTCCCCGGGCTAACAGGGCCTGAACTCAGAGCCAGGCAGCTGCTTGCTTGTTGGAGGCCGGGTCTACACTGTGCAGGAAGCCCACGTGCCAGGGTCACCTTGGGATTTCACTGGGCTGTTCCTGTCTCCGAATCGACCAAAAGGCTGTCCTCCGTCTGGACCAATCGGAACTCATTACACGCTGACCAATCAAACGAAGCAAGTGTACATCCGCCATTTGCATAAGGGACCAGACTGGGACCCCTGCGGACAGTTTGCAAACTCAGCCCCTCGCTTGCTTTCTTCTCTCTGAAGGCTACATCTCCCCAGGTTTGCAAACTGCTCACTGGAAGAGATTATTTCCTTTTTTTCTGTTTTTATTTTTATTTATTTACTTATTCATGTTTTGGAGACAGTATCTCACTCTGTTTCTCAGGCTGCAGTGCAGTGGCGCTGACTGCCTCTCAGTGCAAGGTGCAAACAAGCATGCCACCACACCCGGCTAATTTTTTTTTTTTTTTTGGAGATGGGGTCTTGCTCTGTTGCCCAGTCTGGTCTCATACTCCTGGGCTCAAGCGATCTACCCACCTCAGCCTCCCAAATTGCTGGGATTACAGGTGTGAGTCACTGTGCCTGGCCACCGATTTTATTTTATTTTTTATAGAAAGTCCTCAGTGGATTTGTGGAGGATCCAAAAGCAGTGCTAGGGCTGGCTCCTGCTCTCCAGGCTCCCTGTGTTCCTGCACCTGCCAGGCCTGGCCCCCTGGTCCCCGGCCTCCTGGCCCCCCAACCCCCGACCTTCAGCCCCTTGACCCCCTGGCCCCCTGGCTCCATGGCTCCCTGGCTGAGCCGGTGCAGAGGCGCCTCCCTGCCTCGGAAGAGCAGGCAGCGTGGGTGGGTGCCGGCCCTGCTCGCGGGTGGCTGCCAAGACACGGTCGCCTGCTTGTGGGAGGTCTGCACCACCTGGGCTGCGAGAGGCTGGGCCTCTGGGCCCTTGCTGGGGGCACCTCCCGGGCTGGGCTCCATGCTGCGCACATGTTGGCCTCTGGATGAGGAAGGCGGCCCAGGGAGCAAGCGGCCTTCTGCCAGTGAGGTCCACGTGGCCCTGAGCAGCCCTGGAGCCTGCACTGAGGTCCAGGTACAGCCCTGGCCGAATCCTAGGCTGGGGCTGCAGACCCCTCCCACTTCTGCCTTCTGCCCTCTGCCCACCTTCTTGTTGCTATGGAAACTGGTTTCCACCAGTGGGGAGGGCTGACCAGGGCCATGGAAAGCCCCCCGCAGCCGACAGCGAGCTCTCTGGAAATGGAAATGGGAGGCCGACCCGAGTGGCAAGATGAAGAGGCCTTCTCGCCTCGGGGGCTGGCTGCGGTCATGGTTCCCATGGTAACCAACGGTGGCCGAGCGAGGAGGACGGCAGTGGTGCAGGTGGACTGGGCTCAGCGCAGTCCAATGAGGCGCTCTGGACGGTCGGGTTCCAGGAGCCGGCGGGGTGGCGTCCCGTGCACAGCTTCTACAAATAGAAAGAGAGATTTTTCATCTTTAAAAGAGAAAGCATGCACACCTTTTCCATAAATACAAGTTTTTTTTTTTTTTTTTGTTTTTTTTTTTTTGAAACGGAGTCTCGCTCTGTCGCCCAGGCCGGACTGCGGACTGCAGTGGCACAATCTCGGCTCACTGCAAGCTCCGCTTCCCGGGTTCACGCCATTCTCCCGCCTCAGCCTCCCGAGTAGCTGGGACTACAGGCGCCCGCCACCGCGCCCGGCTAATTTTTTGTATTTTTAGTAGAGACGGGGTTTCACCTTGTTAGCCAGGATGGTCTCGATCTCCTGACCTCATGATCCACCCGCCTCGGCCTCCCAAAGTGCTGGGATTACAGGCGTGAGCCACCGCGCCCGGCCCATAAATACAAGTTTTATTTGTGAAAATAGCAACATTAAAATGATGTTTTCATTTTAAAAATAGATTAGGCCCATGCTCTAGTCCTCTCACTCCGAAATGTAAGGCGCTTTTTGTTATAGCTCATGCAAAGTCTGCACAACAGGGAGAGGGGCTCTGCCCTCATCGGGGGTCGCACTGCTCTCCTTTAGATTTGCTGCTTCTTGCTGATAGCAGGTGCTTACAGTGTGCCAGGCACCTTGCCGGCTACTGATTGAGTTCATTTCTCCTCCTCTCTTCCTATGCTTTTTTCCTTGATACAGTCTGGTCTTTTTTCTACTTTTAGAGGAGGAAAGACCTGAAGAGCATGAGTACCTAGTGGCATCAGGTGCCGGACCAGTCGCAGGCTCTGACCCCAGACCAAACCCTTTGTGCAGGTCCCATAGGTGGGGATCTGGGCGGTATCCTCCTTGTTTCCAGGGAATATCTCCACTTGGAATGTCTCCACCTCTGCATCCAGGTTGTGCTAATCCAGGGTCTACTGGGGGATTGGACCACCTTCCCGGCAGTGGTGGGACACGGAGGTAGATTAGGGACCCCGGGGTGGCAGCAGCTTGGGAAGCACCACCCCCTTGTGTGCTATGGGTACTGAGGACACCCCTCAATGCTCTTGTAGGGCACTGTGGGAAGATGCACCTGTGTTGGATGTGGCTCAAGGAAAATGATGATCTAGAGCAGTGAACACATGTTGCCTGTGCCGTGAAGGACATCACTTTGTTTCTTTAATTACAAAGAAAACTATTATCACTACTAGTCATAAAACCTGTGCATCCATAGACCTGTGGCTCCATACACTTGTGTCTCCAGACACCTGTGCAATAATACACCTGTGCATTCATATGCCTGTGCCTCCATACACCCGTACATCCATACACCTGTGCATCCATCACCTGTGCCTCTGTACACCTATACATCCATATGCCTGTGCCTCCATGCACCTGTGCCTCTATACACCTGTGCATTAATACACCTGTGCATCTATATGCCTGTGTCTCCATACACCTGTACATTTATATGCCTGTGTCTCCATACACCTGTACATCTATATGCCTGTGTCTCCATACACCTGTACATCTATACACTTGTGCATCCATCACCTGTGTCTCGATACACCTGTGCATCCATACAGCTGTGCCTCCATACACCTGCACATCTATACACCTGTTCATGCGTCACCTGTGGCTCCATACACCTGTGCCTCCAAACACCTGTAAATCTATACACCTGTGGCTCCATACACCTGTGCCTCCATACACCTTGACTCCATACACCTGTGCTTCCATACGCCTGTTACTCCATACACGTGTACATCTATACACCTGTGCCTCCATACACCAGTGCATCCATACACATGTGCCTCCATACACCAGTGCATCCATACACATGTGCCTCCATACACCTGTGCATCCATACACATGTGCCTCCATACACCTGTGCAGCCCTGAGCATTGTGGTCTGCATTCTTTGTTTCCATTGTGGAGAACTTCTACTGAATGAGAGTGGAAGTCAGCCCATCTTATCCTGACCCAATGCCTATTAACTTCTTCTAGATTTTCCATCTCTCTATCTGCATGTGCTATCCCTTTTGGTTTTCTCAGCTGTACCTTACCAAACTGATTAATTCTCTCTTCAGCTATCTCTAGTTCATGACCTTACTCATTAGCGAATTTGTATGTTAAATGACTATTTTTTCATGTCTAGAATTTTCATATAAGTTTTATTTAAACTTGTCTGGTGTTAGATCTTTTTTGGCCTATTCTTGCCTTTCAGTCTCTGAACATTTTAGGCTCAAGATGATTGTGAAGAATTGCACATAATATCTTGACCTATGAGAGCTAAAGCTTATGATGAAGCTACAGTGATTAAACAGGTTGAGAATGAATATATTGGCAGACAGACCATGAAGCATACATCATTCACTAGAAACTGGCCTATGTTTATGTGAGGACTTGGTATTATACATCAGGGGGTGAAAGGAGGTGGTGAGTGGTCCAAGTTAAATTGGTTAACAATATAGAAAAAGTAAATCCTTATTTCACCCTGTTCAGAAAAAAAACTCCTCTAGAACAAAATGCTACAAGTGAAATATTAAACACTTCAGATGAACATACGGTAGAATGCTTTGATGACATCATGATAGGAAAAGCAAAAGCACAAACAATTCAGGAAATGATGAATCCTTTCACTGTATTCCTCTCTACCAGCCACCAAACCCAAACAATGCAAACCAACAGAAGGGAAGAAAGGAAAATACTTCCAAAGAAAGAAAAGCACCCCAAACATAGTTAGCAGCACAGTTACAGAATGGGAGAGGGCATCTGCAATGCATATAACTGACAAAGAATTGGGACTAAAATGGATAAGGGACTTTTAGAAGTTAATAAGAAGAAATAGAAGTAATCCAGTAGACAAATGAGCAAAGATGAAAGCCCAAAATTTAGAGCAGGAGAAATCTGGAAGAACAGCGAACAAGAATAAAGATGTCTGACCCCATGGGCTGCTAAAAAATGCCAATTAAAAACATAGTGAAAGGGGCTCTGCTTCTACTCAGGGAGAATGGAGCACTAGGGAATCACCATCTTCCTGCAAACAACTAGAAAACCCATGACATATAAGAAACAACTGTTCCAGACACCGGGCAGTGGGCAGTGGGCAATGCAGGACAGTGCAGGGCAGTGGTCTGTGAGAGACAGGAGCAGAGGAGGCGAGTCCTGCACCTGCTGAAGCTTGCAGCCTAGAGGATCTTGAGCTGTAGGCCAGGTGGCAGGCAAAGGACCTAAAGGGAACCCAGTGACCTCACTGAACCGAGGAAACAGGGATGGGACTTGAGGGGCTGAGGCAGTAGGTAGCTGTGGGCAGAGTGCTGGAGAGGCAGGACTTACCAGGAGGATGGAGCTTTGAGGTCTGGGAAGGGGTCCCGAGGCTTTGCCTGAGTCCCCACCTGCCTGTGTGTGGGCCAAGGCTTAGAAGGCTAGAAAAGGAGCCCTGGAAAGAGTGAGCTGGACAGCTCATGGAGCAGACTCAGGTTGGGAACAGTTTGTATCTCCAGCAGCCAGAATGAGGGGACCATCTTGTTATACCTGGGTGATATGGTCCTCACCCACATCTCATCTTGTAGCTCCCATAATTCCCACGTGTTGTGGGAGGGACCCAGTGGGAGATGACTGAATCATGGGGTCGGGTCTTTTCCATGCTGTTCTCATGGTGGTGAGGAGGTCTCACAAGATCTGATAATTTTAAAAAGAGGAGTTTCCCTGCACAAACTCTCTTCTCTTGTCTGCCACCATGTGAGATGTGCCTTTCACCTTCCACCATGATTGTGAAGCATCCCCAGCCACGTGGAACTATAAGTCCAATAAAATTCTGTTTTTTTTTTTAATTGCCCAGTCTCGGGTATGTCTTTATCAGCAAAGTAAAAATGAACTAATACACTGGGGTGCTGGGTCAGCTTCTGTGGACATTTTCAAGCTGAGACAAACATTTATATGGAAATGTAAGGGACCTAGGAGAGCCTAACAATTTTGAAAAAGAGCAAATTTGATGAATAACAGTAGCTGAAATAAAAACTCCCTATGAAACTTTATAAACCTGTGCAGTATGGTATTAGCATAAGAAAAGCCACAGAGATAAGTAGAACAGGATAGACTCCAGAAATAGAACCACACATGTACGGCAGAATGATTTTATGCAGAGGTACCAAGGTAGTTCAATTGAGAAAGAATATTCTTTTCAACAAATACTTATGAAAAATTGGTTACCTATATAAACACATTGACTCTCAGTGCTTACCTTATACCATGTACAAAATTTAACTCAAAATGGATCATAGATCTAAATTAAAAGTTTTTGAAAAAACTATAGGAAAAAAGTTGTGATTTTGGGGTTAGGCAGAGATTTCTTATATTGAACACAAGGCGTATACACCAGAAATGCAAAAGAAATTGGTAAAATAGACGTCATCAAAAATAAAACTTTTTCTATTAAAAATACTCTAGCGAGAACAATGAAAAGGCAAGCCACAGACGAGGAGAAAGTTTTCAAAACATGCCTGATAGAGATATTGTGTATAGAATCTGTAAGAATGCTTACAACTCAATAACAAGAATAAAACAACCTCAAATAATCGGACAAGGATTTGAACAGGTCCAAACATGTGATGTCCATCAGGCATGTGAATGATGCTCCCATAATTAGTAAGTCAACACAAATTAAGACAAATTATTAATTAGTACAAATTAGTAATACCACTGCTCATCTGCTACAATGGATAAACAAACAAACAAAATAAACCCAACTGTGGTTCAAATTAAAAATACAATCACAATGAAGAAGAGGGACCTATCCCAAGCGTCTCTTAAACACAGTGTTTTGACTTTCTACCCTCAGGTTAAAAGCAAAAAGGACTGTAAACAAATACACAGTGGTATTCATTAGCAATTCTGAAGGTATTGCATATTCCTTATGGAATTGAACAAATAAATAAATACATTGTGAATACAGTAGTGGGTTTCTTATTGTCGGAGGAATCAGGACAGGGGAGCTCTGGAGTTAACAATGCAGTGCTGTGTTGGAATTAGAGGTGTTGGTGTGAATTAATGGTGATAGATACATAGATAGGAGTGGATGCAGATGAATTGTGTGTGTACGTATCCACACACATTATATACGGACAGTCCTCAATTTACAGTGGTTCAACTCATGATTTTTCGATTTTACAATGTTGTGAAAGCAATACACATTCAGTAGAAACCATGCTGAGAACCCACACAACCATTCTGTTTTCCACTCTCCGTACAGTATTCAGTAAATTACATGAGGTATTCAACACTTGATTATAAAATAGGCTTTGGGTTACATGATGTTGCCCAACTGTGGGCTAATGTAAGTGTTCTGAGCACGTGTAAGGTGGGCTAGACCAGGCTATGATATTCTGTAGGTTAGGTGTACTAAATGTGTATTAAATGTGTATTAAACTTATGATAGTTTTAACTTATACATATATATACATATCTATATATGTGTGTATATACTATATTTTATATCTTTATATCTATATGCACAGTTGTGTATATATATCTATATCTCTTTATATATAATACAATTCCTTACTAGAAGGAACCAGAAAAACTAATTTCTGTAGAATTTTCTCAATTAGAATTAGGCTGGGTGGGCACAAGACAATCCCAGAATAGCTTTCTGTGGTGAAAAGCAAGAACACACTCAAAGAATAAAAGAACATGCCAAAAAGACATGGGAGTCAGCTCCAAGGGACTCCCACTGGCCACTGGATATGGAATGGAGTATCAAACAAGTAATGACAGTCATAGAATATAACTCATAGAAAAGAATCAATGAAATTGTATAGAACACACACACACACACACACACACACATGCAGAAATGAGGGAGAAGAGAAAGCCCTTCCTGTTAGTAGAATCCTATTAGTAGAGGTGGGAGTGAGTGATGGAATAGAAAATCATTGCTTGTCAACCATCATATTAGTAATTGCTTCAGGCAATGGTCACCAATAGATGCCACAACTATTAGGTAAGCGTCTGATGGAAAAACAGAGTATTTACATAGTCTCAAAGGACCTCTCCACAAAATATTTATTAGGCATGAAGGAAACACAATAGCTTTACAGTGACCAAAGATCACATTGCCAGCACAAGGACACACCGACAGCCTGTGCCTCTTGATTCAATGCATGGAGAAGGCCACAGCTCCACTTTTCTGGCATTTCTGCCCAAAATGCATTATCTGTGTCTAATCACAAAGTGACATTAGGCAAACCCAAATAGAGCAAAGACCATCTTACAAAATAAATGGCATGCATATTTTGAAATATCAAGGCCATGAAGAGCAAAGGAAGACTGAGGAAATGTTCTTCGTTTAAAGAAACTAAAGAGGCAGAACAAGGACCCACACGGGATGCAGCGTGGGAGACCAGAATTGCTTTCTTTTGCTATAAAGAGCATTAATGTGACAACTGGAAAATTTTGAATAAGATCTTGTAGGCTAGATACTAATACTGCCTCGACGCCAATCTCCTGATTTTGATAACCCTGCTGTGGTTACATAAGAAAATATACTTTGATTTTAGGAGATACATACTGGAGTATTTACAGGTGAAATAGCATTATTTAAAAATTTATTCTCAAGGGGTTCAGAAAAAGTATATGTGGAGAGAGAAAATAATGGATCAAATATGATAAAAAGTAAAATTCTGGGGAATCTGAATGAAGGTGAACACAAATTCTGTGTATTGGTTTGACAACTTTGTATTGTCTGAGGTTATTTCAAAATAAAATGTAAATGAAATAAAATAAACGTGAGCAGATTAAATATACAGAGATCTCATTTCGTATTCTTCATTTAGAAAAACTTGGGGGTACATGTGGCCCTATCACAGGGGCATTTGTTCCTGTTATACAGATGCAGGTGTGCTGTGCCCCTACTTGAGACCCGTCTGCTCAGTTTCAGCACTTCTCTGAGAGTCCCCAGCACATGCACACAAGGGTTCATAAATCAGACTCTTCCTGTAGCAATGGCTGATGGCAAGGAACTGGAAGTTACTTAAGTCACTAACAAGGTGGAATGCATACGTACATTTTGTGCATATGTACATTTTGTACATATGTACGGGTCCCTTGTATAACATTATCTATTTCAAAATACGCAGGCCGTTTATTTTGTAAGATGGTCCTTGCTCTATTTGGGTTTTTTCTAACATTATTTTGTGATTGGACGCAGATAGCACATTTTTTGACAGGAATATTATTTTGTTATACGTGGACTTACTATTCATGAAGTGAATGGATGTAAGTTATATGTGCCAAGATGTAGAATTCTCCAGAATGCTATGGAGCAGAAAAGTCTTCACAGAATAGTCTATGCAACATGAAACATAAGACTTAAAAATACTCAAAGCCATACTACCCTATTGCTTATGAATACACAGTACCTATTATAAAACAATAAACAGCAAACAGGTCAGGAATGGGACTGATTTCAGCATAGTTGCTATTTCTGAGAATGGAGGGGATTCTAAGGAGGTTTTCAGGTATGTAGAAATATTTCATGATAAATAGTGTTTTGATAAAGCATGGTTTGATGATGTCATATGAAAACAGCATGGGAGAAGGTTAAAATGTGTTAATCTGGGTGGAGGGTGTGGACCCGTGTGTTCGTTCTCTGTCCTTTCCATTGTGTCTGGGGTATTGCCTAAAAGGTAAAGTGATCTCGAGGATGACTGCGTTTGCCTCTGCCCCCTTTCCCATGTGGCCTGTGCCCGGAGGCTGAGCGTGGGGGACCCCCTCCCTGGGCTCTCTGCCCTCTGCTCCCAGCTGGGGTCAGATGATGGGGAAGCCTCGGTGGGTATCAGACGGGGATCAGACGGGGTGACCCACCATCCCAGTGTGCCTGGGACCGAGGGGCTTCCTGGGACGTGGAGCTTTTGGGGCTAACACCAGAGGGTCTTAGGCAAACCAGGATGAATTGGTCACTGCAGATGGAGGGAGGGAGGAAAGTGAGACTCGTTTGTTCCCTGTCCCTCTTCCTTGCTTCCAGAGAGTCCTCACACTGGCTGCCACACCCTATACACTCATGCGGGCTCTTGGTTTCCTAATTCTGTGCACAGTGGGGCCCGAACAGGGCGTGGGAAATAAAAGCGACATCTCTGGCTCATGCCTGTAATCCCAGCACTTCGGGACGCCGAGGCAGGTGGATCACAAGGTCAGGAGATCGAGACCATCCTGGCTAACATGGTGAAACCCCGTCTCTACTAAAAACAGAAAAAAATTAGCCGGGCGTGGTGGCGGGCGCCTGTGGTCCCAGCAACTCAGGAGGCTGAGGCGGGAGAATGGCGTGAACCCGGGAGGCGGAGCTTGCAGTGAGCCGAGATCGCGCCACCGCACTCCAGCCTGGGCGACAGAGCGAGACTCTGTTTCAAAAAAAAAAAAAAAAGCGACATCTCGTTTTCTCTATTTGGGCTTCAGCGCCACCACTCTGGTGTGCGGGACCACCCCTTGCCCTGGTCCTCATCCTCAACCCTTAGATAAAGGTATCACCTTGCAGCTTTTCGGTGAGAAAAGTGCCCCCACTTCTTCCCAGGAGCAAACAGGCAGTAGAGCCCTGGGCCCAGGTGGGCGATACGCTTGAGCTTTGTTAAATGTGGCTGACTTTCTGCCTTCAGACTACATCCATAAAATACGTGTCCATTCCAGTGGTGCTGGGGGGTTTCTGGATGCTGTAGCTTCTTTGATTTGGGGGTGAAAACTCTGTTCATTACCTGTTGTCAAGAATGATTGCATTTCACAGAACATGCAGCTCAGTCAGGTAGGTTTCGGCACGCTCCATTACAAAGAATAGCAATTGCAGCTGGAGAAATTTTATGAAAACCTCTCACTAAAGTGCAGTAAATGTTTCTATTCTGAGCATTTCATTTGTCTGAGAGTACTTGATATTCATTTATGACCCAGAGAGCCCATATTTCAATTTTATCAGGCTTAATAGGTTGTAAGCTAAGAATAGCAAATCTAATGCTACATAAAATTACTAACAATGAGCCAAACAGGTGCATAATTGGCATTTGGACGATTTTGAACTATCAACTTTTGTATAGGTAATGTATTTTGGCTATTTCTGTGTGAGGTTAGTCACAGGTAATACAGTCGGGTTTGCTTAAAGACATCTATTTAATACGTTATTTCCTTAATTAGAGTAGGCAGCTAGAAAGCCATTTTCACATAATGAAATACAGGAGGTTCAAAATTCATTTTATTAGAACACCTGTGGTATCTTAAGTTCTGTGTGAGAAAGGCCTGCAGGAAATAAAAGAAAGATGCAATTTGATGATAAAGTTGTAAAACCAATTTTAAGGGTAGAAACTTTGTTTTCTCAAGTCATGATTTTGACCGCTGTGCTGCTGCTGATCTCCTGATATAAACACAGGTATAAACATCCAATTACTTGCTGTTATGGCCCATTAAAATGCACGTGGCTCTTAATTTAGCAAACGTTCAATCTTAATGGAATAGGAAACTTAAAGAATGGGTCACAAATGTACTCTTGGAAAAAGCACATGGTGTGTGCGGCTGGTGTCTGTGCTGGCTGTGTCTGGTCTCCCCCAGCCCACTCATGGAAGCAGCATTTCTTGTGTGGCATTGTGATCTGTGAGAAGGGCCAGTGACCACCACGGCAGGATGGTCAACATGAGCATCATCTACTGATTGAGTGGATCCACTTATATTTTTAATTTTTTATATTTCTTTGTCTATGTTATCATTTTTTAGGTATGTACATTTAAAAAAGTCATCGTACTCTGAAGTGTGATGGTAGTGCCTTCAAAAGTCAACATTGATTCTTAGTTTAAAAATCGATGGTTTTTGCAAAATGATGGGAATTGGAAGCTCCAGGGTCTTGTCTTCCACAGAAACATCAAACTGACCAAGATGGCTTTTTGGGGGCTCTGGAAAGCTCTGGATTCTTGCTGCTGTCAAGGGTCTGCAGCAAACAAATGAATTCCCAGTCAAGAAAAAGCCAGAAGCCATATGCAAAGTGGTAGGGAATTTTGTGACCTTTTTTCTTACCCTTTTCTCACCACCTCCTTGGCGTAGTGCCGTGCAGTGGGGAAAAACCGAGTCAATTCCTACTTCTTCCCTCAGGTTGGAAGAAGGAGAGCGGAGCTTGTTTGCAGTGACTACGCTGCGTGTGGGCTCCCTGAAGGCCTGGTTTCTGTATTTCCTGACTTGGAGCTCAGAAGGGAAGGGCTGCATAGTTCATATCTCACATTGGTAGCCACAGAAGGCAGTGGTGGCACTGTGGTGTGTGAAAACTGTGTGAGGACTATAGACCTCATGTGACCATAGACTGAAAAGAGACTCAGGCAGAAAAATGCAACAGGACATCTAGGTCCCTGGAAGAAACAGAAGTAAGACTCTTAGAGAAACTAAAATGTTTAAAAGCAGCTGTGTATCCAGAGGAATTGCAAAAAGCAAACAAACACCAACCCCCAAACAAACACACACATGGCCAAAACACATGCACAAGACACATACCCAGAAAAAGACTGGAAAGACTTTAATCCTTCACTTCAGGTGATTAGTGAAGGTCTTCCCACATACAAGGTCAGACTCTAAAGAGAGAGAGATTGATGCCTTCTCAAATGCTCAATATTCAACAAAATATCACAAGGCATACAAAAAAAAAAAAAAAAAAAGGAAATGTGACTCATCAAAGAAAGAAAATAAACCTTCAGACTGACCTTAAAGAAACACAGTAAATCAACTTGCCAAAGACTTTAAACAGATGTCTTAAAGAAACTCAGACAGTTAAAGGAAAACATGGAAAAGAACATTAGGAAATCTGGAAAATGATACATAAACATAGTGAGAATTTTTGTTTGTTTGTTTTTTTGAGATAGAGTCTCACTCTGTTGCCCTGAGTGCAGTGATATTCATGGCTCACTGCAGCCTTGACATCCCAGGCTCTAGTGACCTCCCACCTCAGCCTCCCAAATAGCTTGAACTACAGGCACATGCCACCATGTCCAGCTAATTTTTGTATTTTTATTTTTGTAGAGACAAGGCCTGGCTATGTTGCCCAGGCTGGTCTTGAATTCCTAGACTCAAGCAATCCTCCTGCCTCAGCTTCCCAAAGTGTAGGGATTACAGGCATGAGCCACCATGCCTGGCCAGAATATATTTTTTTAAAAAAGTAATTATAAAAAGAACCAAACAGAAATTATGGAGCTGAAAAATACAATAACTGAACTGAAAAATTCGCTAGAAGGTTATAACAATAAACTTGAACAGGCAGAAGAATCAGCTAACCTAAAGATAGATCATTTGAAATTGTTGAGTCTGAGGGGCAAGAAGAAAAAGAATGAAGAAAAGTGAACACAGCGTGAAAGACCTATGGGACAAGATCAGGTGGACCAATATACACATTATAGGTGTTGCAGAAGGTAAGAGAAAGAGAAAGGGGAAGAGAGCTTATTTGAAAAAATAAAGGCTAAAAACTCCTCAAATATAAGGAAAGAAATGGATGTACAAATACAAGAAACTCAATGAACTCCAAGAATAATAAACTCATAAAGACCCCACAAAGAGACATACCATAATAAAAAAGTCTGAAACCAAAGACTATCTATTAATTTATTATTTTTTCCCAACTTTTTTGAGGTATAATGTCCATCACAAACCTGGACATTATGTGAAGTGAGAACATTATGGTAAGCTTGTTACAAATGACAGAATTCTCTTTCTTTAAGGCTAAATAATGGTCCATTATTTATGTATACATACTACAGTAAAAAATCTATTCATCTGCCCATGGACACAGGTTGTTTCCACATCTTGGCTATTGAGAATAATGCAGTGATGAATATGCAGCCGCAGATATCTCCCTAGCATACTGATTTCATTTCCTTTGGATATATGTCCAGAATTTGAGTTACTGGATTGTATGATAGTTTTATTTTTAATTTTTTGAGAAGCCTCCCTATCATTTTCTGTAATGACTGTACCAATCTATATCCCCATCAAAAGTACACAAGGTTTCCTTTTTTTCCCATATCTTCACCAACACTTGTTACCTCTTGTCTTTTTGACAATATATGTCCTAACAGATGTGCTGTGATATCTTATTGTGGTTTTGATTTATACTTCTCTAATAATTTGTGATATTGAGTACCTCTTCATATACTTCTTGATCATTTGTATATCTTTGGAAAAATGTCAGTTCAGGTGTCCTTGTCCATTTTAAACTGGGGTATTTATTATTATTATTATTATTATTATTAAGTTGTATGAATTCTTTATTTTTTGGATATTAACTTCTTATTGAATGTTTGGTTTATAAATTTTTTTTCCCATTCTGTAGGTTGCTTTTTCATTTTTTAGATTGTTTCCTTTGCTTGGCAGAAGCTTTTTAGTTTGATATAGTTCCATTTGGTTATTTTTGCTTTTGTAGATCTGTGCTTTTATTGGTATATCCAAAAAATTATTGCCAAGACCAAGGTTTCAAGTGCTATGTTCAAGACTTAGTCTTTAATCCACTTTGAGTTGATTTTTGTGTCTGATGTAAGATTAAGATTCAATTTCTTTCTTTTTTTTTTGCAGTTGGATATCCAGTTTTCCCAACAATATTTATAGAAGAGACTGTTCTTTTCTCATTCTGTATTCTTGATGCTTTTGTCAAAGATGAGTTGACTGTATATATGTGGGTTTATTTTTGAGCTTTCTATTCTGTTCCATTCATCTGTGTGTCTGTTTTTACGCCAGTATCATACTATTTTGATCACAATAGCTTTGGATATAATTTGAAATCAGGAGTCTAGTGTCTCCTGCTTTGTTCTTCTTGCTCAAGATTGCTTTAGTTACTTGGGATCTTTTGCAGTTCCATACAAATATTAGGATTAGTTCTTTCCAGATAGTAAAAAATGCTATTAGAATTTTGATTGGGCTTGCAAATGAATCTGTAGATCACTTTAGATAGATGTTTTAACAATATTAGTTCTTCTAATCCATGAACACAGGATATCTCTCCATTTATTTGTGTCTTCTTCAATTTCTTTCACCACTGTTTTTATAGTTTTCAGTATAGAGGTTGCTTTCTTTTTGGTTGCATTTATCCTAAATATTTTATTCATTTTGATCTATTGCAAATAGGATTTTTTTCTTATTTTAAATTATGGACAGTTCATTGTTATGAAAATACAACTAATTTTTGTATGTTGATTTTGTATCTTGAGAGAATCTTAAAAGCAGTGAGAGAGAAAAGCAATTTATTGCATAGAAGTGCTCCTCAGTAAAATTATTAGTGAATTTATCAGCATAAATCTTAAAATCCAGCAGGCAGCAGGATGATACATTCAAGTTCAGAAAGAAAAAATAAAGCTATCAACCAAGAATTCTGTGTCCAGCAAAACTGTTCTTTAAAATGAGGGAGATACTATGACATATGCAGATACACAAGCTAAAGAAGTTCTTTACGACTACAGCTGCCCTATAAGAAATGCCAAAGTGAGACTTTCGAGTTGAAATGAAAGGATGCCAGATGGTAACTCAAAGTCATACCAAAATATAAAGGTAAACAGTAAAAGTATATATATTCTAGTATTACCAGTATTGTAATTTTTGTTCTTCACTGTTTATTCTACAGGAATTGAAAGACAAAAGTATAAAAATAAATACAAATAACTGTTAGTTGGCTCACAATATATGTAATTTGTGACAAAGATGTAGTAACAGAGATATAATTTGTGGCATTAATAAAAAGGGTAGGAGTAGAGCTTTAAAGGAGTAGAGTTTTGTATTTGATTGAAGTTAAGTTGGTATCGGTTTAAAATAAATTGTTGTAATTTTACAATATTATATATAATCTCCATGGTAACTGTACACACAAAACTATAGAATATACACAAAAGGAAATGAGAAGGGAATGAAAGCATGTCACTATAAAAAATGAACTAAACACAAAGGAAGGAAGTAAGGACGGAAATGAGAGATGAAAAAGCTACAAGATATACAGAAAACAAACAACAAAATGATAATAGTAAGTCCTTAACAGTAAATACTTTAAATGTAAACAGATTAAACTTCCCAATCAAAAGACATAAATTGGCAGAAAGGATTAAAAAAAAAAAAAAAAACCAAACCCTGGGAGCTAAGTATATGCCGTCTGCAAGAGAAACACTTTGGATCCAAGGACATGCATGGATTGTAAGTAAAAGGACAGAAAAAGATATTCTGTGCTTTTAAAAGTATAGTACACAAATATGAACCAAATGAGTGCAGGAGTAGCTATGCTACTCTCGTACAAAATAGACTTTAAGTAAGAACTTGTCAAAAGAGAAAAACGCAGTCATTATATAACAAACAATAAAAGGGTCAAGTCATAAAGAAGATATAACAGTTATAACCATATATGCGGCAGACACCAGAGCACCTAAATATATGAAGCAAACATTGACAGAATGAAAGGGAGAAACAGTGCTACAATAATAGTAGGATACTTACATATCTCCTTTTTAATAATGGATGGAACAACCGGATAGAAAAAATTAGGAAATAGAGAAAATCAGAAAAATAAGGAAATAGAACACCGCTATTGACTAACTAAAATAATAGAACAGCCCCAACCAACAAGAGCAGAATACACATTTTTCTCAAGTATACATGAAACATTCTCTAAGATAGATCATATCTTAGGATACAAAGCACATTTTTAGAAATTAGAAAATATTAAAATTATGCAATTCTGATTCTGATCACACTGGAATGAAACCAGAAATCAATAGCATGAGGAAAGCTGGAAAATCCACAGATATGTAGAAATTCAGCAATATACTCATAGAAACCAGTGAGTCAAAGAAGAAACCCCAAGGGAAATTAGAAAATGTCTTGGGACAAATGAAAATAAAACATAACATACTAAAACTTTTTTTCTTTTTAACTTTAATTCTAGGTTCAGGGGCACATATGCAAGTTTGTTTTATATATATATTTTTATATTATGTATATTTATATAATAATAAATATTTATAAAATAAAAATATTTTATATTATATATATATTATATATATATGTAAATTCATGTCACAGGGCTTTTTTGTACTGATGATTTCAACTGCAGGTATTAAGCCCAGTACCCAAAAGTTATTTTTTCTGCTCCTCTTCCTCCTTCCATCTTCCACCCTCAAGGAGACCCCAGCATCTGTTGTTCCCTTCTTCGTGTTTGTGAGTTCTCATCATGTGGGTCCCACTTAGAAATGAGAACATGCCGCATTTGGTTTTCTGTTCCTGTGTTAGTTTGCCAAGGATAATAGCCTCCAGCTTCATCCATGTTCCTGAAAAAGACATGGTATCACTCTTCTTATGGCTGCGTAGTCTTCTATGGTATATATGTACCACATTTTCTTTATCCAGTCTGTCATTGATGGGCATTTAGGTTGATTCCATGTCTTTGCTATTGTGAACAGTGCTGCAATGAACATTCGTGTGCATGTGTCTTTATGGTGGAATGATTTATATTCCTCTGGGCATATACCCAGTAATGGGATTCCTGAGTTGAATGGTAATTCTGTTTTTAGCTCTTTCTTTGAAGAATCGCCATACTGCTTTCCACAATGGTTGAACTAACTTACACTTTCATCAACAGTGTATAAGTGGTCCCTTTTCTCCACAACCTCACCAGTATCTGTTATTTTTTTGAATTTTTAATAATGCTATTCTGATTGTTGTGAGACAGTATCTCGTTGTGGTTTTTATTTGCATTTCTCTAATGATCAGTGATATTGAGCTTTTCTTCATATGCTTGTTGGTTGCACGTATGTCTTCTTTTGAGAAGTGTTCATGTCCTTTGCCCCCTTTTTAATGGGGTTGTTTGTTTTTTGCTTATAAACTTGTTTAAGTTTCTTATAGATGCTGGATATTAGACCTTTGTCAGATGCATAATATGCAAATATTTTCTGCCATCCTGTAGGTTGTCTGTTTACTCTGCTGATAGTTTCTTTTGCTGTGCAGAAGCTCTTAAGTTTAATTAGATCTTATTTGTCAATTTTTGTTTTTGTTGTGAGGTGCTTTGTCATGAAATCTTTGCCCATTCCTATGTACAGGATAATATTGCCTAGGTTGTCTCCCAGGGTTTTTTATAGTTTTGGGTTTTATATGTAAGTCTTTAATCCATCTTGAGTTGATTTTGGTATATGGTGCAAGGAAGGGGTCTACCTTCAATCTTCTGCATATGGCTAGCCACTTATCCAAGTACCATTTATTGAATAGGGAGTCTTTTCCCCATTGCTTGTTTTTGTCAGCTTTGTTGAAGATCAGATGGTTGTAAGTGTGCAGTCTTATTTCTAGGCTCTCTATCTGTTCCATTGGTCTATGTGCCTGTTTTTGTACCAGCACCATGATGTTTTGGAACACAACTCAAAATAATAAGAGCCATATGTGACAAACTAACAGGCAACATCATACTAAATGGGCAAAAGCTGGAAGAATTCCTTTTGAAAACCAACACGTGACAAGAATGCCTTCTTTCACCAATCCTATTCAAGTATTATTGGAAGTCTTAGCCAGAGCAATCAGGCAAAATAAAGAAATAAAGCATATCCAAATAGGAAGAGAGGATATCAGACTATCCCTATTTGCAGATGACATGATTCTATATCTAGAAAAACCCATAGTCTCGACCCAAAAGCTCCTTCAGCTGATAAACAACTTCAGCAAAGTTTCAGGATACAAAATCAATGTAGAAAAATCACCAGCATTCCTGTACACAAACAACAAGAAGAAACCAAGCCGAGAAACAAATCAGGAAGGCAATCTCATTCACAATTGCTGCAAAAATGAAAAAATATCTAGGAATACAGCTAACCAGGGAGGTGAAAGATCTCTGCAGTGAGAATTACAAAGCACTGCTGAAAGAAATCAGGTAAGACAAAAACAAATTTTTAAAAATCTCATGCTCACAGATAGGAAGAATCAATCTTATTAAAATGACCATACTGCCCAAAGCAGTGTACAGATTCAATGCTATTTTTATTAAGCTACCAATGACATTCTTCACAGAACTAGAAAAAACTATTTTAAAATTCATATGGAACCAAAAAAGAGCCCGAATGGCCAAGGCAACCCTAAGCAAAAAGAACACAGCTGGAGGCATCACATTACCTGACTTCAAACTATATTGCAGGGCTACAGTAAACATACCAAAACTTACCAGATGCATCAAAATCTGTGCTAGGAGGGTAGTTTATAGTGTAAATGCTTATGATAAACAAGAAGAAAGATCTTAAATTAACAATCTAACATTATACCTTAAAGAAGTAGAAAAAGGGAGAACACACTAAACCCAAATCCAGTAGAAGGAAAGAAATAATAAAGACTAGAGTACAGACAACTGAAATAAAGAATAGGAACATGGTAGAGTAAGTTAGCAAAACCAAGTTCAGTTCTTTGAAAAAATCACCAAAATTAATGAACAATTAGTTCGACTGAGTAAGATAAAAGAGGGAAGTCTCAATAACTAAAATCAGAAATGTAAGTGCAGACATTACCACTGATTTAACAGAAATAAAATGATTATATTAATAAGACAATAGTATGAATATTTGTATGCCAAAAAATTGGACAACCTAGACAAAATGGATAAATTCCTAGACATATACCACCTACCAAGACTAACCCACAAAGAAATAGAAAATACGAACAGACATATAACTAGCAAAGAGATTGAATCAATGATCCAAAATCTGCCAACAAAGAAAATCCCAGGAGCTGATGGCTTCATTCGTGAATTCTACCAAACATTTAAAGAAGAGTTAACACTAATCCTTCTCAAAAGTTTCCAAAAAAGTTTAAGGTAAGGGGACACTTTCAAACTTATTCTTCAAGGCCAAGATTACTCTTTCACCAAAGCAAGACAAAGGTACTACAATAAAATTAAGCTACAGATCAATATCTCTGATAAATACTGATGTAAAAATCCTCAACCAAATATTAGTGAACAGAATTAAGTGACACATCAAAAAAATTATACACATGACCTCGTGGGATTTATTTCTGAAATTCAAGGATAGTTCAACATATGAAAATGAATTAATGTAATAACTACATTAACAGAATGAAGAAACAGTTCCCATGTGATCATCTCAATTGATGGAGAAAAATATTTGACAAAATCCAACACCTTTCCATGATAAAAAACATCCACCAAACTAGGAACAGAAGGAAACTACCTCAACATAATTAAGGCCATATATGGAAAGCCCATTGCTAACATCATACTTAATGATGAAAGATTGAAAACTTTTCTTCTAAGCTAAGACACAAGGGAAGAATGCCTACTTTTAAATTCAGCATAGTAATGGAAATCTTGACCAGATAAATTAGGAAATAAAAAGCATTAAAATTGGGAAATAAAAAGTAAAACGATCCCTTTCATAGATGATGTAATTTCATATGTAGAAAACCCCAAAGATTCCATAAGAAACATGATAGAACTAATAACAAAATTAGCAAACTTACAGAATACTCAGCATACAGAAATTAGCTGTGTTTCTATACAATAACAATGAACAACCTGAAAAAGAAATTAAGAAAGCAATTTCATTTAAAGTGGGACCAAACAAAATAAAAAATAGAAACAAACTGAACCAAGGAGGTGAAAGATGTGTACACTGAAAACTATGAAATATTGCTCAAAGAAATTAAAGACACTACAAAAATAGACATCCTTTGTTCATAGATGAGAAGACCTAAAATTGAAAGATGTGGTCTCTAGATTAAATGCAATTTATCTTAAAATTCCAACATCAATTTTTTTTTTACAAAACTAGAAAAATCTATCCTAACATTCATATAGAATCTCAAGGGACCCTAAATAGCAAAAACAATCTTGAAAAAGAACACAGTTGGAGGTCTCACACTTCTTAGTTTCAAAATTTCTAAAAATCTACAGTATTAAAAACAGAGTGGTATTGACGTATAGACAGACACATAGATCAGTGAGATAGAATAGAGAGCCCAGAAATAAACTCTTGTATATATGGCCTTGTGATTTTTTAAAAAGTTGCTAGGACTATCCAATAGGGAAAAGGACAGTCTTTTCAACAAATGTTACTGGGAAAACTGGATAGCCACATGCAAAAGAATGAAGTTGTACCCTTACCTTACACCATATGCAGAAATTAAAAATAGTCAAAGACTTAGATATGAGAGTTAGAATACTCACAAGAAAATGTAGGGGCACAGCTTCATGGCATTGCATTTGGCAAGGATTTCTTGGCTACGACACCGAAAGCATAGGCAACAAAAAAATCAGATAATTGGAACATGTAAATATTAAAAATTTTTGTGAATCAAATGACACTGTCAACAGAGTAAAAGGCAACACACTGAATGGCAGGAAATATTTGTAAATTATATATCTGATAACGGATTACTATCCATATATAAAGAACTCTTGCAATTCAACAACCAAAAAACAACACAATTAAAAAATAGACAAAGGACTTGAATATATATTTCTCCAATGATATACAAATGACCAATAAGTACATGAAAAGATGCTCAACAACATGAATAATTAGGAAAATGCAAATCAAAACCACAGTGAGATACTACACAACTATAGAAACAATATGGTGGTTTCTCAGATTTCACATGATCCAGCAATTACACCTCTGGGTATATACCTCAAAGAATTAAAAGCAGAGCCTCAAAGAGATGTTTCTACACCCATGTCCACAACAGCATTATTCACAATAGTCAAAAGATGGAAGCAACCCAAGTGTCTGTTGACAGATGAATGGATAAACAAAATGTGGCATATCCACAAAATGGAATATTATTTAACCTTAAAAAGGAAAAATAATTAATCCCAGTACTTTGGGAGGCCAAGGCAGGCAGATCACAAGGTCAGGAGTTCGAGACCAGCCTGGCCAACACAGTGAAACCCTGTCTCTGCTAAAAATACAAAAATCAGCTGGGTGTTCTGGTGGGTGCCTGTAATCCCAGCTACTCGGGAGGGTTAAGCAAGAGAATCACTTGAACCTGGGAGACGGAGGTTGCAGTGAGCCGAGATT